>NC_000004.12:5119514-5426011 GCF_000001405.40 Homo sapiens
AAGCTTTCATGTCATATTTTTTTCCTCTCAAATATTGTCAGTATCTCCAGGCTTCTGTTCTCAAGGTTTATCTCCTTCCAAGAATCTGACAAAACCTGAGCATACGCTCAGCAATTTGTGTTACGACTGGTGCAAAACGTTTTGCTTTTTCTTCCTTCTGCTTCTTAAATCAATTAAATAAGGACACTTTTAGTTCTGAAGGAATGCAGCCAGCTTATAAACATGAGGAAGGACATCATATGTGAGCGACCTAAATTTCACATGCTTTCGTATTCTGAAGCTAATGTGCTGACTAGAGCTACAAGAGTTGCTATTTTTTTGCATAAACTCCATTTTGTAAAAAGTTTTAATAATTTTTCTCTTTTCTACATGCATTTATTTCAATATGCAATCTACGCATAGGCATTCGGGACTCAAGTACATTAGTCCCCCTTATCTGTGGTTTCACTTTCCTCGGTTTCAGTGAACCTTGGTCAACCATGGTCTGAAATATTAAATGGAAAATTTCAGAAATGAACAATTTTTAAGTTTTAAATTGCATGCCCTTCTTCTAAGTAGCGTGATGAAATCTCATGCTGTCCTGCTCAGTTCCACCCAGGACATGAATCTCCCTTTGTCCAGTGGATCCACGCTATAGACACTGCGCCAATGACACTGGTAATCATTGACGTAATCTGCTCCTGACATCTGGCCATCGACATCGTCATGGCTTGATGATCCAGGATCACCTGAATCAGATTGATTGATACAGCAGAAGGCAATAGTAGCCTAGCGCTCTGTCACAGTGCCTACGTCATTCACTTCCCTTCATCTCATCACGTAGGCATTTTATCATCTCATATTGTCACAAGAAGGGAAAGGGGGAGTGCATCACAAGAAGAGATTTTGAAAGAGGGAGAAAGCATTCACATAACGTTTATTACTGTATACTGTTATAATTTTTCCATATTTAGTTATTGTTAATTTCTTACTGTGCTTAACTTATAAATTAAACTTTTTCATAGGGAGGTATGTTATAGGAAAAAAACAGTATATATAGGATTCAGTAGTATCCAAAGTTTCAGGCATCCAGTGGGAATCTTGGAATGTATCTCCCTTGGATAAGGTGGAAATACTGTACAAAATACTTGTGGAGTGAATGTAATGTTTAGAGATGATATGTGTAGTCATGAGAATTTTTGAGATTTCCTGTGTTAGTGACAAATTACAACTAAAAGCCTGATGACCGATTGAAAAGGTATCTGATGCCAAGCTTTTTTCTAAGCACTTTACATATGTGTATGAAATATATAGAGAAAATACATATAGAAAAATATACATAATTTCTATATATTATAAAATAATATAACACTTCATTTAAGAAATTATATTATAAAATTATAATATATTTTCGTTTAAGAATATTTGGTTTTATTTCTTCTTTTTGTTTCAATAGTTTTTGGGGTACAGGTGGATTTTGGTTACATGGATAAGTTCTTTAGTGGTGATTTCTGAGATTTTAGTGCACCCATCACCCCAGCAGTGTACATTCAATCTAGTCATTTACCCAATATCTAGTCTTTTATCCCTCCCCACTTCCAACCTCCTCAAAGTCCATTATATCACTCTTAGGACTTTGCATCCTCAGAGCTTAGCTCCCATTTATAGGTGAGAACAAATGATATTTGGTTTTCCATTCTTGAATTACTTCAAATAATGGCCTCCAGCTCCATCCAAGTTGCTGCAAAATCCATTTTGTTCCTTTCTATGGCTGAGTAGTATTACATGGTGTATATATACCACATTTTCTTTATTCACTCCTTGGTCAATGGGCATTTAGGTTGGTTCCATTTCCTTGCAATGGCAAATTGTAAGCACTTTACATGTATTAAAAGAATTTGGTCCCACAACGACCCTGTTATATAGCTGTTGTTATGATTCTTCTATTAAGGATTAGGGAACAGATCATAAAACTAGTGAAAGAGGAAAAGCTGGCTCCAATTCTGTCTGTGCAATCAGGTCATTATAATAATATTAATGAGAATAGGACCTATCAGCAGTAATCACAATTATGATAGCAATAACACCAAGGGCAAAGGATAACAGCAGGCATAATTTGTTGAGCAGGTTTGATCCACCAGGTAGTGTACTGGACTGGGTGTTAATGACTTCTGAAGGTAAGAGATATTATTGTTTCCACTTCACAGAAATGGAAACAAAGCCTCAGGTCCTAGTGGGTGGAAGGGATGAGGCTGGAGTGGGACCTGCCTGGCACCAAAGTCTGTATTCAGTCTTGCTGTGACAGCTAAGGAGACTGCTGTCCCCAGGGACAGGCCAGGGACAATCATCCTGTTCAGGAGACTTGTCCTGGGCACCACTTGGCTGCCAGCCACAAGTGAGGGGCCAGAAAAGTTGAGGAGAACACAGCCCAGGCCTGTCCATGCAGATCTCACTGTCAGTGGGAAATGGGACAGAAGGGATCAACCTCCATAGAACCATGCAAGAGTGATTGTGTGTTCACAGTGTCCACCCATTCACTCACTCATTCATTCACTCGCTCATTCATTCACTAATTCACATACTCATTCTCTCACTCATTTACTCACTCATTCACTTACTCACCCATTCATTCACTGTTTCACTCACACACTCATTCACTCCTTCATTCACTTATTCACTTCTTCACTCCTTCACTCACTCATTCACTCATTCTTTTACTCATTCACTCGCTTATTCACTCATTCACTCACATTTACTCATTTACTCATTCATTCATTCATTCACTCACCCATTCACTCACCCATTCATGCATTACCTCATTAATTCAGTCACCCATTCACTCATTCATTCACTGATTCATGCACTTGTTCACTCATTCACTCATTCATTCACTCACTCATTCATTCACTCACTCACTCATTCATTCACTCATTAACCTACTTCACTCATTCACTCACTTATCCATTCAGTTGTTAACTCCTTCACTCATTCATTCACACACATTCACTCATTTACTCATTCATTCACTTGCTCCTTCGTTCACTCATTCTTTTACTCACTCATTCACTCACTCACTTGCTCATTCACTCACTCATTCACCCACCCACTCACTCACTTATTCATTCCCTGACTCATTCACTCACTCACTCATTTACTCATTCATTCATTCACTCATTCATTTACTCATTCACTCATTTACTCACTCAGCTGTTCCTTTGCCAACGCTTGGAGGACTTACTGTGTGCAGGTCCTGGCTCTCATTGAGGTTGCTGGGCTGACTGCATCTGGCGTTGGCCTTGCTGGACCACTCCCTTGCTGCACTCTCCTGCCTGGGTTCCATGATACTCTCCCTGGTTCTCTCCCAGCTCTCTGTGCACCCCTTCTCTGCCTGAGTCCCTTCTCCACCTACTTCAGCTGTTGGTGCTCTTCCACCCTCAGCCCCTGCCTTGACTCTCTATTTGCTCCACCTGCACCAGCTCATGCATTTCCTCCTGTGGCTGTGGAGCCCAAATCCCAGCTCCCTTTCTCATTTCTCACTGCTGGGTCCCCTTCTTTATCACCACAGCTGCCTCAAACTCAACAGGACCCAAGCCAACTTCCCCACCTCCCCACAGAGTGGTTCTTCTTTCTCCTGTGGGCTCTGCTCCCTGAGGCCTTGCTGTCCATGTGTCACTCATGCCCCAAGCTGTAGAGACAGAAGGTGTTGCTCCACACTTCTCTGGCTGTGTCCCGTGGTCTTGCTGGTCAGTTTCCCATGTGTCTCTCAAGTTTCCCCCATTTCTTCACTGCCTGGATCCTACATGCCTCCCGGCTGCTATCTCTGCACCCGGCTTCATCTTCCTTGGAGCCTCATGCAGCCGGCACAAATGAGGATTGAAGGAGTTTTTGTCCATAACCCGGGGTCCTGATGACACCCAGCCCCGTGCTTTTCCAATCACAATGCTAGCATCATTGTTATCATATTTGCTTGTTGGGGCTGCTGTAACAAAGTGTCACAGCCTGGGGGGCTTCAACAACAAACATTTATTTCTTGTAGTTCTGGAGGCAACAAGTCTGAGATCAAGGTGTGGGCAGGGTTGATTTCTTCCAAGGCCTCTCTCCTTGGCTTTATACGGCCACCTTCCCTCTGTGTCCTCCACGTGGCCACCCTGGGTGCATCTGTGTTCTTATCACCTCTTTTTACAAGGACTCCAGTCATATTGGATTAGGGCCCCACCTTTTTGACCCATTTAACCTTAATTACCTCCTTAAAGACCACATAAGCAAATCCAGTCACATTCTGAGGTACTGGGGGTTAGGATTCAGCACATGAGTTTTGGGGGGATACAATTTGATCCATGACAACTATGATTACCACCACCACCACCACCATCATCAATCTCCTCATCCTCATGTCATTTCACCTTTTCACCATCCTCCCTCCTGCCTTTTATTGATCACTTAGTATGTGTGGGGCTCTGATCAAAGCCTGTTAGCCTTCTCATGTGTGATCTCATTTACTTTTCACAACACACCTGTGACCTCTGTTTTATTAGAGCAGAGGAGAAGAGAGGTAAGGTAAATTCTCATATCATCTATTCAAAAAGTAGGTCTCTCATGCCCTGGTTTTGCCAAAATGTCAGCATCCTCCCAGTTTGTTGGCCAGGGGAACTATCACAAACCCCATCAGCTTGTTGAGTTCACTCCCTCAAATTACATAATTTTGCTCTCTCACAGAGAAAAAGTCCCGAAATCTCCGGCTGTTCTAAGTTCATCAGATGTCCGAGTGAGCAAAAGGTTTCACTGGGTTGCTGAGAGCTATGTGCTTTCTGCTCTTCTCTGTAAAACCATCGGCATTTTCTTAGTTCTGCAGCCTCCCTGACTCTCTTAGAGGTGGGTGGACATTCCCTTCTTGGCCCCCAGCCCATTGCCTCCTGAGAGTCCCTCTCTTCTCCCACATCTCATGCAGTGTTTCCTAACCCACCAGAAAGTGAGGGCTTGGGTGGCCAGGACTGAGTTTGGTTTGTTCCTGGCTCAGGGCCTGGAATAGAGCCACATCCTCATGGAAGGTCAGAAAGGAAATACAAAAAAACAGAAGATCTTAACTCTACAGGGACACTACAGGTCATAGATATAAAGGGTCTCAATGAGGCTTCCCATTTTATTATTCCAGTTTGTGTTAGGCTACTAAGGGAACAAGACTGTGTGTATGTGTGCACACATGTGTACATGTCTGTGTGCATGCACCTGTATGCATGTGTGTATGTGTGAGCATGCATATAGATGCACGTGTGTGTTTTAGGGGACATCCTTACTCTTTGGTTGTTCATAACAAAGAATTCGTCACCTACTGGGTCCTGTAGGAGGCAGAATGTTAAGATGGCCCGTCATGAACCTTCCCCTCCAATCTTACTCCTGGGTTATGTTCCATTACATTGTGAAGAGGATATTATGCAAGTGGACCTAATCTAATGACAGGAACTCTCTCAAAGCAGACAGAATTCTTCAACTATTAGCAGAAAGGAAAGTAAGGTAGATTTGAAGCGGAAGAGGGATTTGTTGCAGTATACTAGACAAGCCTCTAGGTGCTGAGAAGACTCCCAGCTCACAACCAGCAAAGACACAGGGACCTTAGTCCTACAGCTGCAGGGAACGGAATCCTGCTAATTATCTTAATGATCTGGGAAGCAGATTCTTCCCCAGATGTCCAACAAGAGCAGCTTGGTCAACACCTTGATGTTGGTCTTCTGATACCTTAAACAGAGAACCCTGTTGATCCTGCTCAGGTTTCTGACCTACAGAACAGTGAGTTAGTAAATGCGTGTTGCTGAGAGCTGCTGAATTTTTGATCATTTATTTTGTAGCATAGAAAACTAATACAAAGCTTTCCTATGTGTGGCCTCGGGCTAGGAACTGAGAATGTAGAAATTAATGCAATAGGTCCCTCCAGCCCCCCTCCCTGAGCAGCTTATGGTTAGAGACAGGAATCAAGGGATTCAGGCAGAGTCATGGGGGCAGCTGCAGCAGCACCTGGTGTGGGTGGGCGTGGTGGACCAGAGCAGCCTTACTTGGCCTGAGGCCAGCGATGCAGGGAGATGCCCAGCAGGCTGAGCCTGCTGCTGCACCCACTGTTGGCTTTTGGAAGCTACTGGGCCAAATGCATATGTCTGGGCTCCAGGGTCATCTGGGACACGTCTCCCTGGTTTTCCTCTCTACTCTCATCCCCGCACCTCTGTTCTCTCACTTTCTATCTGCTTCTGCTTTCATCAAGAGGTCTGCTTCCTCCTTCACAGTGAAAATAGCTACTCCCCAACTCCTTGCTTCAAACCCAGTGACTTCACTGCATTTGTAACTCTGCCTCCTGTGGACCTCCCTCTCCCACAGACCCCCACGAAGGGGCTGCCTCTTATTCCCATCTAGGAGAATTGTTCAGTGATCTGCCCCCATCAGATCTACCGGAGGCCCTTGCCTCAACCTAGGTTGAGCTTCACTTTGGCCTGTGATTGTCCAGTTGCCCTGGCACCATTTGTTGAGAAGCCATCCTCCCTCCACTGAATTGCTTCTACACCTCGGTCAAAAGCCAGTTGGGCACATCATGTGGGTCTGGGTTCTCCATTATGTTCCATTCCTCCATATGTCTGTTTGTCTTCTCATACCACCCAGTCTTGAGTACTGGAGCTACAGAGAAGGCCTTACTATTGGATAGAGTGGGTCCTCCACTTCTTTGTTAAAATTGTTTTAGTTCTCCTGTAGCTAAAATTCCCAGCTCCTCTTAGGATAGTCCTTGTGCCCTTTATCTCCATCCCTTCTTGTCATTTTTCTTCTCTCCCTCCATCCCTCCCTTGTTCTCTCCACCTCCTTGTCGGTAATACTACTTAGCAGCCACTCCGGCAAGCCTTCAGGCCCCCACTGCCCTGCAGGCCAGCCCTGCTGAGCGTGGCTGGGCTCGCTCACTTATCTGGGAGTTGGCTGGTTGTCAGATAGTCTAGGGTGTCTTCGCCAGGACAGCTGTGCTACTCACACTGCCCAGTGTCTCACTGTCTAGTGCTGCCTGGGCATCTTCCCATGGCAAAGTAGATGAGCACCTGTGTATGTTGGAGTTGTAGAAATAAAAAGATATTTTGGAAACATCATTTTGTCATTTAGCTCTTCATTCTGGTAGAGTAGAATCAGAGCTGACAGCGCCAGGTGAGATAGCTTTAGTTACTTCTTAAACCAACCCTCAGCAGTGCAACTTAGGACAAATCAGGTGAATAGAAAGTAACATGACTATATCACCTGTAAAGGCCGCCTATCTCTCAACAAATGATTCGACGGGCAGCTCTGTAATATCTAAAACATGGCCATTTCTACTGATAACCCAGTTATCAATTTCCTGATTTTTTTAGGGAATGAATAATACAGGGTCTGGGACCTAATTTGTGGTTTAGAGTCTACTGATATTTTTCAGTTCAATACTGAGCAGCAGAAAGGGGAGTGGTGATAGGTAATAGTTGGGATACTGTCTATTCCCTCTCCTTTTGCACAGATGACAGCATTACTCACATAATGCTCAGAATGCTCAATGCTGAGATAAAGGTGCCATGGACATTGGTGCTGCCTAAGTGCTTTATTCATGAGCCGTGAAGGGAACTTAACCAGACGAGAATAAACAAGCTAGGATCTTGATGCCAATGATTACATTTTTACTTATCTTTCCGTTAAACATAAGCAAACATCTTCCATTAGCTGCCATACAGTTGAGCGTCCCAGAAAATTTAAATGTCCTCGTTGTGTGGAATGGATATTAACCACATTAAGTACTTAAACAACTGACTGCTGGGACAAAATCTTTCCTGGTGAGGTTCACCTGGTGTGAGGGTCTGATAACCAGGCAGCTCTTGAGTGCAGAGGGCAGAGGGAAGAGTTTGGGGCTGTGGTGAATTGACAGAATTAATTGCCCTGATTCTTCATCGGTGGCACAGATGTGGCTCATTCAGTTACATCCAGTCATCATTTATTGAACCTCTTATTCATGTCAGGTGCTGTTTTGGGTGAGCAATTCTCTCAAAATTATGCCCGCCCAGAACCTCAGAATGCGACCATATTTGGAAATAGGGTCTTTGTATATGTAAGTAGTTAAGCAACTTGAGATAAAATCCTGGATTTAGAATGGCCTTATAAGAAGAGAAAACAGAGACAGACACATAAAGGGGAAGGCCATGTGAGGACAGAGGCAGAGGTTGGAGCCATGCAGCTGCAAGTCAGGGAAGGCCAAGGATGGCTGATGATATGGTTTGGCTGTGTTCCCACCCAAATCGCATCTTGAATTATAGCTCCCATACTTCCCACGTGTCGTGGTAGGGACCTCGTGGGAGGTAATTGAATCATGGGGGTGGGTTTTTCCCAGCTGTTCTCGTGATAGTAAATAAGTCTCACGAGATCTGATGGTTTTATAAAGGAGAGTTCCCCTACACGAGCTCTCTTGCCTGTTACCATATAAGATGTGACTTTGCTCCTCAGTCACCTTCCACCATGATTGTGAGGCCTCCCCAGCCATGTGGGACTGTGAGTCAGTTAAACTTCTTTCCTTTATAAATTACCCAGTGTCAGGTATATGTTTATTAGCAGCGTGAAAACAGACTAATACAGCTGGCAACTCCCAGAAGCCAGAAGAGACAAGGACAGATCCTCCCCTAGCACCTTCACAGGGAGCATGGTCCTGAGGACACCTTCCCTTTGGACTTCTGGCCTCCAGAACTGTGAGGCAATGAATTTCTGTTGTTTTAAGCCATGTAATTGGTGGTAGCTTGTTACAACTGTCCTAGGAAACGTATACATTGGGAATGCAGGAAGGAGGTATGCATAAGGCGGTGTTTGCTTTCGAGGAATCGATAGTTTAATTCTTATTGTCTCTCAAACATGTGTTTGATTCTTTTCTTGTCCTGAATTCCACATTTCCACCAGCATCCAAATTATCTTCTGTCCTGAGGTTTTTGCTGTGTAATATTTTCCTGTATGAATTAGGCATATGATTTCCTGAGTGCTTATAGATTCAGTGTTTTTGCTGGTAAGAGTGTGGAGCGAGGGGTAAAAAGAGGTTTTAAGGCTTTACAAAACACATTAATCAACTAGAAAGCAAAGCAGTTTTTAATGAGGCAACAAGAGGTGGTTGCAGCTCAGCTTAGCAAATACTGGCTGTCTACTTCGTACCAGGCAGTGCCTCAGGCACATGGGGAGTAAACAGGGAGTGGAGGAAAAGTCTCTTCTGAACAACTGATCGGCTACTGGCCCTGGCCAGCCAGAATGGATACTGGCCAGGAGCTGAATCTCTCTCTGGCTGCTACCGGCTCAGGATATGAATGTGAATGAGGTGAGAAAGGGAAGCTGTGTGCAGACTGCTCTAATCAGAGCCATGAATGTTAGTATTGACCTGTGAACAGGGTGCAGTTGGAATTTCTGGGGTAAAACGTCACCTTCAGCATTTGAAGCAAAGGACATACACGTAGTTTCTCAGTGTGTATTGCCTGGAGAGCTGTCGATTCCAGCCCTTGTGTAGCCTGTGAGACTGTGGCCTTGAACTAATAGATTATCTGCTGAGAGGCAAAATCGCACACCTAAATAGTCATGTCCATAAGTTATGGGGAAGGCAAGAGACTGATATTTATTGAATGCTTTTCATGTTAGGCAGTGAGCTTTATGGCTTTTATGTTGTTACAAGTAACTCCAATCCACTCAGGAATTTACTTTGGAGTCTAGTGAAAGGAGAGACATTCATTTTATTTTATTATATTTTTCCCCAGTAGCTAGCCAGTTCTTGCCCTGCTCACTGAATAACTCTTCTCTTCTTTATTGGAGTCCAACCTAGGTCTGTTAACGTCCAAAGCTGTTTTCTTCCCTCCACCTTCCTCAAGCTCTGGTGGACATTTTTGTGACTAGGTTTCTGGTAGAATACACATCACTAGAGGTTTTGTCTCTCTTGTTCATTGTAGGCGTCTTATCCTGTGCAATGACTATTTGTTGAATGAATAAACTATGTATTCTTATATCTGGTAGGATGAAACTTTTCTCTTCAAAACTTATTTGGCAGAACATTTGACCTATTCTCACCTATTTATTCTCCTAAGAATAATTTTGTCAATTTTGGGGAACAACCTTGATTATAATTATGTTAAATGTGAACACGAACTTGAGAGGAACTGACATATCTCTTGTGTGCCTCAACCTTTAGTACCTTACCGCATTAATCACCTTAACAACCCTAAGAAGTAGGTATCATTGTGCCTATTTTATCAATGACTATGGTGAGATACTTCCTGAAGATATCCTTAACTCCCTAGGCAGAAGTGACCCTCTCATTGCAAATGTGTACAGCCAGCACTCCTTTGGATTTCTCCCATTCAATATTTATTCATTCACTTGTTCTTTCTTTTTTTATTCAGTAAATATTTATTGAGTGCCTATTATATGCCAGGCACTGTTCTAGGTGCTTGGGATGCTGAAATGAATGAAACAGGCAAAACTCAGTCCTCAAGGAGTTGACATCCCAAAGGAGAGGTGCAGACAATAAACAAGTCAGTAGGAGGACAACAAATATTTCTGATCATGACAATTCCTAAAACAGAAATAAAAAATACAAAAGAAACGGCAGTGAGGTAGGGAGTACCAAGGGAGGTGACCCAAATAGGGTGGTGAGGGAAGACCTCTCACCTTCTCCGGCGGGGGGAGGCCTGGGGGATGGGAAGGAGTCAGCACTGGGGCACCATGACCAGGCGTTCCAGGCAGAGGGACAGCAGGGCAAAGGCTCTATGATAGTAGAGTGCCTGGGCTGTGAGGCACAGCCAGGAGCCATGGGTGGCTGAAACACACTGTGGTGAGAGCAAGGAGAGTGACGGTGGGGAGGTTTGGCGGGAGGGGTGACTGGGTTCTTCTAGGCCATGGTGAGGAGCATGGATCTTATTTCATGCACAATGCCATGCTACTGAAGAATCCAAACCGGGCTTGGGCTGTCGGCTTTGAGAAGGTAGGCAAAAGGCAAAGAAAGTAATCTCTTGGCCTTGGACCTGTGAACAAACTCAGCACCCTGGAACCAATAGGTTCACACCAAGAGGACACCTTCCTGAGAACTGCAGTGGTCTAATCTGTTGTCCAAAATAACCCCTTTCCAAAACCTGAAGTCCCTGGGAGGCCAAATCAGGCATTGGAGAGCAACTTGGTAAACAAAGGGAGGTGAGGCCGCTTGAGCAATGGTTTTTTAAGGCGCTGCTGAGGCCTGACCCATTCCTGCCTGAGGAAATGTCTACCAATCCAGTGGGTTAATCCTTCCTCCACCCTGCCCCACTCATCCCTTCCACTCATACTTCTGTCTTGCTGTTCCTGGAACTCATCTTGCTATTTCATGCCACTGTTGAAGATTTTCCTGAAATCCTTTCTTCTTCTCATCCCCTGGGAAATTTTTGTTATTCCTCATGTATATGCTCAGTGTCTTGTGCTTTTCAAAACTTTCCCTGATGGTCCCAAGAGGATGGAGTGGATTCTTCTCCCTGACCTTGTGCCTGACTCTGCCGCTGCACCCGTCACCCCCTTTTGATGTCTGCCAGGACCTGGGCATGCCTCTGCTAGGCAGAGGATCCTTGGGAGCAGAGCCATCACATCTGAAGTCCTCTACTCCTATCAGGGAACTCAGAAAATTTGAGGAGAACAGACCTAAATCCAGTAATGAGAATGCCCCTTTCACTGCTTCCCACGTGTGCACAGGCTGCACCAGCACTAAGGGCTTGCTCTGCCTCCCCCTTTTCCAGGCTGATGTCTGACCACTCACCCCATCTTTTCAATCAGCTTTCGTCAGGCAGGCTGAGATCGCTGTACAATCACTGAGATCCTGCTTCCCTAGTTACCGTCATGTGGCAATTTTATCTCCACCTGATTACATCTAAGATGCTTTGATTGAAGTTTGAATATTTCCAAACAGCTTAAACAAACATCAACAGACCATATTTTTCGTTCTCCTCCTCAGAACCCTGTAGTACTTTCTCATCATGTTTGAAAAACTTCCTAGAGCCCTTACCCCAGCCTGTGAAGCCCTGCATGGCCAGCTCATGACCTCTCCTCTGACCCTGGCTTTCCCACTTTCTCTCCTTCCTACACAGCAGTCCAGCCATCCTTGCCTGCCTGCTGCTCCTGGGGACTGTCATGCATGTTTTTTGCCAAGGGCCTTTGCACATGCTGTTCTCTCTGCCTGAAATAACCATCCTCCTCATATCAGCATGGCATCTTCTGTCACTTTATTTATGGATCTGCTCTATTATCCTCTTTTTAGAAAGGCTTGCCCTGACCACCCTGTCTAAAATTGCAGCTCCTGCCCCCAACACAATCACTATCACCTTACCTGATGTAGAAGGAAGAATAACTGCTCCTCAAATATAACTGTGTCTTAAATGTTGGAATCTGTATACATTACATGGCAAAAGGGACTTTTTAGATGAGATTAACTGAAGGATTTGAGATGGGGGAGAGCATCCTGGATTGTACAGGTAGCCTTTAATGTAATCAGAGTCCTCATAAGAGGGAGGCATTTGGTTTTCTGTTCCTGTGTTAGTTTGCATGGGGTAATGGCCTCCAGCTCCATCCATCTTGCTGCAAAGAACATGATCTTCCTCTTTTTATGGCTGTGTAGTATTCCTTGGTGTATATGTACCATATTTTCTTTATCCAGTCTATTGTTGATAGACATTTAGGTTGGTTCTAGGTCTTTGCTATTGTGAATAGTGCTGCAGTGGACATTTGTGTGCATATGTCTTTATAGTATGATTTATATTTCTTTGGGTATCACTTATAAGTGGGAGCTGAACAATAAAAACACATGGACATAAAGAGGGGAACAACAAACACTGGGTGGAGGGAGAGGATCAAAAAGCTACCTATTAGGAACTATGCTTACTACCTGGGTGATGACATAATCTATACACCAATGCCCTGTGACATGCAGTTTACCTAAGTAACAAACCTGAACTTGCACCCGGAACCTAAAATAAAAAATAAATAAAAGGGGATGCATAAGGGTGAGAGAAGATGTGACAACCAAAGCAGAAGTCGCAGTAATATGGGATCACAAGCTGAGGAATGTGACACCTCTGGAAGCTGAAAAGACAAGCAGACAGATTTTCCCCAAGATCTTCCAGAAGAAACACAGTCCTGCTGACAGCAGGATTTCAGCCCAGGGAGACTTCCAGGACTGTAAGATAATAAATTGATATTATTTAACCTACCAAGTATATGGCCATTTGTTATAGCAGCACCTGGAAATTCATACACCTGGATTTACTTTCATTCATAGAATTTACCACTTTTTTTTTTTTTTGGGACAGAGTCTTGCTCTGTTACCCAGGCTGGAGTGGAGTGCAGTCGTGTGATCTTGGCTCACTGCAACCTCTGCCTTCTGGGTTCAGGTGATTCTTCTGCCTCAGCCTCCCAAGTAGCTGGGATTACAGGCATGCACCACCACTCCTGGCTAATTTTTGTATTTTTAGGAGAGATGGGGTTTTGCCATGTTGGCTAGGCTGGCTGGAACCCCTGACCTCAAGTGATCCACCTGCCTCAGCCTCCCACAGTGCTGGGATTACAGGCATGAGCCACTGTACCTGGCCAGAATTTACCACTTTCTGCCATTGAATTGCAGATTTGTCTCCTTGCACCAGAAGGTCAGCTCCCCTGTTGTAGGTTCATTGTGTGTTTTGTTCACTGTTGGTTCCCGGTACGTAGTAGAGGGCCTGGAAGGCAACATATACTCAGTCATCATTTCAACAAGTGTATACCCACTCAGTAAAAATGTATTTATTCTCCCCAAAATATTTTTTGAATGAGTGACTAATGGAAGCTTTTCATGATAGATGCCTGCCACAGCTTGGTCAGCCCCCTTTCTGTGTAAACATCAACAATTTCCTGTAGAGAGGGTGATCTCATTTCCCACTCCCTCAGAGAGCTCCCTACCCATACTCCCACTACTCAATGTAGGTCATTCATTCATGCATATATGTCATTATCTTGAGTGAGTACTTAACACAGCACTACCTGCCTGGCACCTGGATTCAGCAATGAACAAGACTGTGGCTCTTTGTTAAGGGGTCATCTGGTTACCTGGATTATTTCTGTACTAAGGAGAGACAAACTCAGAAATAATCGCCATCATTATATGCTGATTATATAATAGTCTTATTCCAAGAAAAATCTTAGAGAGATGTTAGCTCATTGTACAGATGAAGAAACTGAGATTCTGAGATGTTAAGTGACTAGGTTGAAGGCCCATGGCTGGACCAGGGGATTGGGTGGCCACTCTTCAGTGGCTTCTGTTTACTGAGTTGCCCTTTTGCTACGTCACTGTCTATGGCCGTCATCCTGACTTGGGGATGCAGGCATCACTACCTCCATTTTATTAAATGGAAAATCAAGGCTTGGAAGTTAACTTACGTCCTCAGGTTCACACTGACTCAAATAGTGGGGCTGGGTTTAAAACTTTGTTTAAACCTTTGTCCAGGGAACACCAAACCCTCCTTTTCATCCATGGCCTGACTCTCTCCCCATCAACAGATAGGACCTCTCTCTGCTGCAGCCCAATGACCCATACCTCAGATGCTTACAGAATCAGGCAGGAAACAGAGATGCATAAACTGGGCCAGGTGTGACAGTGGTGAATCAGAGAATATTGTGGAAGGGCATCGCAGGCCCAGATTTTTTTGGCAAATCTTCCAATTTCTTGCGGTTTTAACGTGTTCCCCAAAGTTTATGTGTTGGAAACTAAATTTCTAATGAAACAGTGTTGAGAGGAGAGGCCTAATAAAAGGTGATTAGGCCATGAAATCTCTGCCCTTATGAAGGGACTGCTGTCATTATCATGGGAGTAGATTAGTTATCACAAGAGTGAATTACAAAAGCAAGCTTAGCCCCCTCTTGCTCCTTTGTTATCTTGCGCTCTCCTGCCCTTCCTCTGTGGGATGATGCAGAAAGAAGGCCCTCATCAGATGCCAGCACCTTAATTTTGGACTTCTTAGCCTCCAGAACTGTGAAAAAATAATTAAAAATAAATAAATTACCCAGTCTGTGGCATTCTGTGATAGCAACACAAAACAGACTAAGGCATATCAGAAACCAGGATTTGGGGGTGACATTGTCTAATTTTTAAATACTGTAACTTATTCAAAACAATTTTAATCATTGGACTAGCCAGACTAAACACACGCATGACCCACCCATGTGCAAACTTGTGCCCAGCACCAACTCTGCAAGGAATGAGCCGCAGGTTTCAGGTTTTTAGGAGGGCAGGAACGGGATGTTTGCTTACTTTTCTTGCTTGATGCCCACAGTGCTTAAATGCATGTGTTTGTACAGGATGTGGACTGTGGTTTACTTTCCATTAGAGATTGTTTGAAAGAGTTACTAGCCATCTTGAAAGTTCACTCTTGGCTGTTTGAATAAACAGCTTCATGAATATTGCAATGTTGAAAGCGTGCTATGAAATTCATTAGAAATAACTGGTCTAGTGGAAATGAGAAAAGAGCCCACTGGCATGTAAAGTAGGACAACCAGATTTACCCAGTGTGATCAATCACCATCAATAACTAATTAGCACTAATACACTTCCAGATTTATCAGTCGTGGAATATTTTGTCATGATTTAATCAGACCAGTGTTGTATCACAAGGGTGAAATATGAGGAAAAGCCACTAACATAGAATAATATTCATAGCAATACCTAAATGCTTAACCTTTATTAATTAAGATACCATGTACAACACTATGAGGTAGGTGTTGTATTTTACCCATTATATAGGTGTGGAGGCTGATGCACAGAGAGCCTGAGTGACTTCCCCAACATCACCCAGCCACAGCCACTGAGTGTTGGAGTGAGAATCCAAATCCAGGCAGCCTGGCTCCTATGTTGTTGTCCCAAATAACTCTTGTTCTTTGGCCTCTTAGTAAAATGACAGTGGGGCTGGAAATTTAACAATAAAATAGTTAGCATTTACTAAGCCGCTGCTATGTGCCTGGCTTTGAGTATCAGAAAAGAATGTTTCTAGCTTCTAGTAATAGACAACCTGACCCACTGAACAAATAAAATTGTTTTGTTATTTTTCCTAATATATTAAGTCCCAAGGTAAGTGGTTGCTGGCCTGTGTTCAGAGGCTCACAGGAAGGAGTGGCTTCCCTGCATCTGTCTTGATCCTTTGCTCATGTTTTTGGCTTTATAGTCACAAGATGGTTGTTGCAGCTCCAGATATCACGTCCACATTGAAGGCAGGAAGAAGTGGTAGAGTGGAAGGGCTACTCCAGCTCAGTGTGCCCCTTTCCTCACATACACAAAAAATGCTTTCCCAAAAATGTCTCCATCTCATTGATTAGATCTCATTGATTAGATCTGGATCACAAGGTCACTGCTGGCTGCACAGTGGCTGGAAAAGTGGGGAACACAATTGTCCGGATTAATTAGATCGGTAGTTCCCAAAGTGCAGTCCCAGAACCATCAGCACCACCTAGAAACTTCTTAGAAATGCAAATTCTCTAATGCCTCCTTAGAAATTCAGGAGGTGAATTCAGGAGGTGGTACACACTGATCTCTTAACAAGGTTCCAGGTGATTCTGAAAACGCCACTGGATTTGATCAATTATGACTATTGGGGATTATCATTCATTGCCTGGGGCTGGCCACAGTGATCCCTAAGGAGAGCTGGGTTTTTGTTATCAAGAAAGAAGGGAGAATTGAGCCTGGCTGAGCAAATAATGCCGCCAATGTGTTGTTCCATTGTCTTCATGATGCCTGGCAAGGCAGGTGCCACTGTCCTTGTGTTTTTGGCAAGGACACTGACACTCCTTTGCCTTTGCAGCAGTGCGTTTCCCATTTCTACCCTAGTGGTACACTTTTAGCGGTGTAACCCTTTGCAGCTCTAAGAGTCTGGTGGTGAGATACCACTTTTCAAGAATGTACTTCACCTCCAATCCGATCACTCTGCTAGCCCAAGCAGTGCTTGTGGCTTCCTCAGATGGAATGGGTTCCTGTTCAGAAACCAAGGGTGCCAAACTGGTTTTCCCCAGACTGGGTAGTTTTCAAGGATGCAGAACTTCCCGTACTAAAACCAGGAAGATTCCAAGGAAACCAGGACAAGATGGTCACCCAAAGAAACCACTCTTCAACCCTCTCACACCCCCCAGCCAATTCTTCCTACTCTGAGCAAACAACCTCACGTGACAGTATGATTCTAGGACCCATTATTGGCTTGGCATTTTCATTGACTGAAGCCATTTTAATCTGTTCATCAACCAAGTGTTAACTTTTCACTTATTCAAAGTGTCTTCTTTTAGGTGCTATTATGTCAGTGTCAGTGTAGTACACCCCAGGGAGATGCCAAATAAATAGGAACCACAGGCCGTGTGCTCAAAGTCATCTACATCCAATCTAGTCCAAGAAGCAGACAAGCATTCATTAAGTGCCTTTTTGCCCCATACATTGTTAGTTTCCCCAAAGGAGCCCACAATTTTGTAGGGGATATGGATGACATGGGTGAGTGGGAATATTTACAATGTTATAACACTAATTATTAAAGTAATAATGGCTTTTGGCATTTGACCATTTATTCAGTAATTAACACCTCCCTCCAGTTAGGAGACATGACAGAGGAGGAGGTTGATAGAGAACCAAGTCTCACCTCTACAGCGATAAAGCTGTGGCCAAGGAATGTAACTCAGGAAGGCAGTAATCATGCACTCCCTAATGCTGAAGCCTAGAATTAGCTGGACTTTCCCACCTGGCCAATGCTCAATCTGGACCCCACAGACCTCTCCTCATGGCAGCTGGTCCTGAAAAGCTTCTGGCAAGAAGGAGCAGAAGAGAGGCCACTCCCTAAAGTCAGACTCCACAGAGAGGGCACAGTGAGCATCAGTATGCTGGTGCCATTCCTTTTCCAGTTCATCACTCGGATAACTTGCACCACCTTGGATGGGGCAAGAGGCCACGGATGTGTAAGGTATCCCAACTGGAAGAAACCAGAAAAGAGGGAGGGGAATTGCTCCTCACCCCCAACACAGAGCTAGCACTTTTTGAAAGGTTGTAGTGTGCCAGGCATGATTCTGAGCTCTTTATGGAATGTAGGCCCCATTTTCCCTATTTTACAAATGAGATAACTGAGGCACACAGAGGCTAAATGATGCCGCTAATGACAGACTGACTGAATAGAGCTGTATTGTGGACCTGAGCAGACTGGCTCCAGGGAATGTCCTCCCAAACTGTTAGATGTCTACAGAAGGTTCAGAGTTAACTCTAAGGAAAAAAATGGTTAGTTGGGGGTTGGGGAAAAGCTTCCCAAGAGAGCAAGTGCATGAGCTGCGTGTCAAAGGCCAATGAAAAGTTTTTCCCAAAATAAGGTGTGTTGGAGAAATGGTCTTGCAGGCAAGGGAAACAGCAGCATGAAGATATGGTGCTATTCAGGGAACCCGTGATGTTCATTGCTGATTTGAGGACCCGACAGTGGTACCTGCCCCGTGGGGACCTCGGGAGTTTCTCGACAGGACATGTGCATTTCCTAGCATGCTGCTGGTTACATAACAAGCTGCAGTCCAAGCTCATTGCTTTTTTTCCCTCTTCTCTGATCTTTGGTGAATGAGTAAGAAGTGAAAATATGAAATCTCTTTCTTGGCAAGTTATCCTGAAAGGAAATAAATCTAAATCAAAGAACCAAGGTTTTAGTAAGTTAACCATTAACTCCGTCTCTCTATTCTAAGCACGTTAGGCATTCGACCTCACGCTGGATTCTGACTTTGGCTTGGCAGGGACACAACTCAGCATAATTATCCTCCATTGCATAAGTTTAATATACAAGGAACTAATTGTATTCATTTACTTCCTCACATCCTTGCTTCCATTATGTGGTGAACTAATCAATTCACTTCATTTTTTTTTTTGTAAATAACATATCTTTTCTAGTTATTGGAAACTGGCTGTAATTCAATCTAATTCAAAAATATTTACCAAACACTTATTATGTACCAGGAGTTGTGTTTGGCACTATGAATATGGAGATTAGTTCATTCAGTCATTCCTCCTGTTAATGAATATTTATTGAACAGTAACTGTGTACTAAACACTGTGCTGAGTGCTAAGGGTACAACAGAAAAAAATAAACATGGCCCTTGAACTCAGGGAGCTTAGAGTCTAGTAGGGAAAAGTGAACTTAATGAAATATACAAAGGTAAAATTACACAAAGCGATGTATTTTGGGGAAAGTTCCACAGTGCCATGAGAATGTATCGTAGGGAGCCAGACGTAGTCTGGAGGGTGAGGGAAGCCTTCTGAGGATGTAGAGAGAACAAGGGTAGGGCAAGGAGGAGAGCACTCAAGGCCTGGGAGTAGCTGCTCTCACGTGTCTGGCATTCAGTAGGTGATGGGAGTGAGCAGGGAAGGGAGGCAGGAGAAGCAGCTGGAGCCCTGCAGCCCTGGGGAAGGATTTCCTTTTTCCACTGAGAGCAATGGAGGGGACATCGGAGGGGAGGAAGCAGAGGACAAGCAAGATCACTCGGCTCCTCACACATTTTCCTGAGTGGAAGAGTCAGGTGAGGATGTTGGGAGGCCACCATAGTGGTCCAGGAGACAGAAGATGGTGGATTAGACCAGAGCAGTGGCCATAGGGGTAGACAGGTGTGAGACACTGTGCAGAGACAACATGGAGCTACCTGATGAAAGACCGGATGTGGGGTAAGGGGAGAAAGGAGTCAAGGATGAGTCCCAGGTTTTGCACATATAGGACCAGTGAACGTTGAGACCACTCATCCTGCATTCTGCTTTGGATCTGTTGAGTTCATGGTGGCTTTGGAACCTCCATGAGGACCTGAGGGCAGGCATTGACACATACAGCCAAGGCTAGAGACACCTTGGAGAGCCACTGCCAATTAGGTGGTCATTGCAGCCTTTGGAGCCCATGACAAGAGAACAGTTGTAGGACAAAAGGCTTGACAGACTCTAGTGTTTAATGCCTGGGAGGACAAGGCTGAGTGTGCAGAAGGAAGTGAAGCATGAAGGGGAGAATTGAGAGAGTGAACAAGTCAAAGGAGGGGAGGATGTCCATGGGATTTACTGGCAAGGCCGTACATTGTTGACCTGTCTTGGTGTAGGGAAACATGTAGAAGCCAGGCAGAAGTGGGGTAGAGAGTGAAGCAGCAAGACTGCAGAGCCTCATCAAGAAGTGTGGAGTGAAGGGAAGGCTTCAGATGGACAATTTGTGTGCTGGGGAAAAAATGGAATGTGCTGCAAATTCCCCTGTGGATAAGGGTGGACGGCTGCTCTGGCAAGTATAGTGCACCTGACCCAAGAGCCTTTGGAATAGGTGGGTAGGTACATAGGTAAGGATATTCAAGGAGCAATACCAGGTTTAGCAAATCTGACTTGTTTCCTTTTTTGTTTTCTTTTGCAGTCAACTTTGACCATTTTCAGATTCTGCGGGCCATTGGTAAAGGGAGTTTTGGAAAGGTAAGAATATAAATGTCTGGACCACTGGGCTTAAGTATGTGTGTATATTTGTGTGTCTGTGTGTTGGTTGCTGGGCACTGGGAATGTTCTGTTTGACAGTAAGATTTCGACTTGACAAACTTGAAATGTGAAAGGAAGTCTGAATAGTTTCCTTGCGATCTGGTGTAATTTTCTTCTGGAAATTAAATTACCACAACAGCCCTGGTTTAGGTGAATTACAATGGTATTTATTTCAGGATTGCCAATGCCGTTTGTTCCTTGAGAATCTAAGTGAGGAAAGTTGAAAAAAAACCCATAAACATCACAAAGGCAGCTCTTTCCAGCAACATAGACGTTTGTTGTTTTGGTAAGTTCATATTTGTGATCTTTGACTATTTTTTTTGAAAAGGTATAGAAGGCTAGGAGAAGATGGCAGGAGTTTTTAGAAAACAAAAATACTCCCCCCAGTCAAGCTCCAGTCTGTTCCCACATACTCAGAAATTTTTTTTTTTGGCAATAATTGCTTTGAGTACCTATTGAATGCCAGAGATATTCTGTTATGTTTTTTTCACATCTATTGTTATTTCCATTTTACAGATGGAAAAGCTTAGATGTGAAACATAGTCTCTGTAACTCAGAAAGATGGAGCAGGTTACCCTTGGCCACATAGGCGGGAAGTGTCAAAACTGGGATTTGAGCTGAAGGCTGACCAGGAACCTGCTGTTTCAGCAGCCCATACTGTTGATTAGACTATTTAAAACTCATAGAGCTAAACTGAGGCATGTGACTTAAGAAGTTGGATAGACCCAGACAACCTCCCTCCCTCCCTCCTTGCCTAGTTTTATTGATCCAATCCATGCATACTAATTGCATGCAAACTCTGTACCAGGCACTATTTTAGACTCTGTTGATCAGTAGTAACCAAAACAGATCCAAGTGTCTTTTCTCATAGTGCTTATATTTAAAAAATGAGAGAGATGCGAAACAGATAATTGTATACCTTTATGGTACATTAGATAATGATAAGTACATTAAAATACAGTAAGGTAAGGGGAATATGGAGTTATGGGAGAGTAGCAGGGAGAAGTTGCTGTTTTGTAGAGCTGAGCTATCAATAGGGTAGCCACTAACCACATGTGGATATTTAAATTTGAATTAATTAACATTAAGTAAAATGGTAACAATTCAGTTCCACAGCACACTAGCTGCATTTTAAGTGCTCAGTAGCCACGTGTAGCCAGTGGCTACTGTATTGGAAGCTCAGGTTATGACGCATTTCCATATCATAGATGGTTCTGCAGGACAGTGCTCTCATACAGGGTGTCAGGGACGTCCTTGATAATAGCATGACATGTGAGCAGAGACCTGAAGGAAGCAAAGGAGGAAGACAGGCAAGTTCCAGGCAGAGGGAACTTCAAGTGCAAATCCCACGGAAGGGAGTGTGCTCTGTGTCTTTGAGGGGCTTCCAGGCAATGGGAGTGGTGCAAGGTGAGGTCAGTGAAGTCGGCGAGGCCCAGGTCTTAGAGGACTTCTTCCATGTGGTAAAGGCTTTGGCCATTTCACAGAGTGGGAAGAGAAGGCTTGGGGGTTTCTGGGGGAGGAGTTGCATGATCTGTTTGTAGAAGTTCATAGAAGTTCACTTTGGCTACCATGTGGAGAATAGCCTGGGAGGGGCCACAGCAGCAGCGGGGAGCCCTGTGGGGAGAGGAGGTGGTGGCCTGGGGCACATGGCAGTGCTGGGGGTGGTGAGAAATAGTCAGATTTTGGATATATTTTGAAAATGTCACCAAATCAAGTGGTCCATAGGTATAGGGGGTCTCTGCAGTAGCTCAGAGGCTGTCTGATGTCATCACAGGTCTGGACACTTTTCACCCACCCCCTCCACCTTCCTCAGTGGGATGAGATTTTCTCCTCAGGTTTCCTATCTAATGGTTTAGAGGTTGCCGAGTTCTGTGTATCACATCTTCACACAACTGCTCCTCACTTCTGTGACTTTGTTAGAGAAGGACTTCCCCCCTGGAACCTCCCCAACCAACCCGTTTTATTGGCTATAATTGGTCACATGACCACTGCTTCCTACTGAGGGAAGCATCTTCCATCTTCAGCCTGTAGCTGGGAGACGAGCTCTTCCGGTAGAGAAGGGCAGGAGGATAGTTTGGGTGGGCACAGAAAAGTGCCCTTGGGAATGTCCAATACACTAACTATCCTTGTGCTTGCTGCTTGGGGAGCAAAGTTGAGTAAGAAGTGATCCCTACTGACCAGAAACTCATCCTCTTATGGGGTAGATGGTTGTATGGACCAATATATTCAATGGTCAACTCTATTCCTGGGAAAAATCTCTTCTTCCCTGGGGAGTATTTTCTGATGATTTCTGCTTCTCTTTTACTTATGTGGACCTTCTTACAGAAACCTTTCTAAACACGACACATTTGGTATTAATTCACTAACCAGAATGATATTGAGTTGTGCCAAGTTCTGCAACTTTAATTTGTCTTTTCTACACAATCCAGACTTCACTGTAGGCACATGGAGGCACCACAGAGCTTCTTGCCTTTTCAGAATCTCATTCCTGAGTTTTGCTATATGCACATTTAACAGTGTTGGGCATTTATGTTGTCAAGTGAATTGGGTCACTGGATAATTTAACAGACATTCACTGGGCCACTGAAGGGGCCATGTGCTCCATTAGACACTGTTTTCCTGACATGACTTGGAACTTGTTGAGGGCAGAAATCTTTTTTAAAAATCAGACATAAAAAACAGTAAATTATGACACAGTATGTGATGGTTAATTTTATGTATCAACTGGGCTAGGCCGTGGTGCCCAGATGTTTGGTCAAACATCGATCTAGATGTCCCTGCGAAGGTATTTTTTTGGATGAGATTAATGTTTAAATCAGTAGACTTTGAGTTAAGAAGTTGATTCTCCACAATGTGGATGGGCCTCATCCAACCATTTGAAGACTTTAGGAGAAAAAGGCTGACTTCCCTGATGAAGGAGGAATTCTGCCTCCTGGTGGCCTTTGGACTGGAGTTGCAGTATCAACTCTTTTCTGGATTTCCAGCCTGCCAGCATGCCCTGTAAAAGTCAGAAGTCAGATTTGCAAGCCCCTACAGTTGTGTGAACCAGTTCTTTAAAATAAATCTGTTTCTGTCTCTGTCTCTGTCTGTCTGTCTGTCTGTCTGTCTGTCTATCTGTCTGTCTATCTGTCCATATTCTGTTGGTTCTGTATTCTGGAAAACCCTGACTGATACATGGCACAATAGTGGGACAACAAGAGCATGTGCAGGCTCCAGCCCAGGTAGGGAGAAGGAGGGTTCTAGAAAGAGCCAAAGAGAAAAGAGTTCACATGTACAGCAAACTGTTTCACATGAGTTTACTCTTGTCTCCTTGGTGCTTTTGACTCTCTGCAAATGATTATTCAGAAATCATGTTGTATATCTGACAGGTGCCACTTTGGATCCTGGTGAGCCTCCCATGCCTGCTTTTATTCTGGAGCCCACGCATCACACCAGCCCCTCACTTCCTCCTTCTCACACTTCCTTGTGGGTCAGGAAGGGAGGATGTTCAGTTCTCAAGGCTTGGATTGTATGGGTGAAGAGTTGAAGTTTCCCTTGTATGGTGAGAGGAGCCACATGGTCCTGCAGACTGATAAACAGATCTCAGGACCAGTTCACAGACACACCTCTCAGCCCTTCCTCTCGCCTCCACTGTCTTTCCACAGGCCCTTGCTCCTAGCCTGCTGTTCTCTCTGCCTGGCACTCACACTATCCCTTAGAATTCCCTCCCTCCAAACTGGCCAGCATGAGGACCCGGAAGGATCCAGAAGGTGGATCTTAGCAAAGCTTCCCCTTACTTCTGTCCCTGACCTTCCATCATTCATGCTGGCTTCTTCCTCCATTAGCACCCTTCTAAAAAAGTGTCTCCAATCAATAACTTGTATTTTGAATGCCCACTCCAGCCTCCACCAGCCAGGATGTTGTGATGTCAATGACATTTTCCCCCTTGAAGCAAGTTCACCATCTGTACCTCCACCTACTCCCCTGACCCGGCTGGAATTGGGCCTCTACTTTAGAGTGGTTGCCAGAGGAGTGATCGGCTAGTCAGTGTTTATAAGGAGTAGCTCATTCTTACATAACACATTGGGCGGACACAAATTTCCCTTGGGATAGTTACCACCACTGGGAATTCAGCTCAGCAAGTGTTGATGAGAGTGCAAGGCAGTGTGGCGCAACACAGAGAGCAAGCAGCTTGAAAACTGGACAAACAAGGATTCAAATGCCATTCATGCATGCACTTTGAGTCTCTGTGTCTTCACCTGTAAAATAGGCATATTGGTGTCTTCTGCATAGGGCTGTTGTGAGAGGTTAATGAGATGGTATAGTAGAGTGTCTAGCACAGAATCCAACCTGATATTCAATAAATGTTGATTCTTTTGTTGCTTAAGGCTCTCTTTCCCCTACGCAGCAGGGAGTGAGGAAGGGAGACTTTAACTGAATGTGCTTTTTGGCAGTTTGTGGCGTGAAGATTTCTTGCTTGGAGGAGGACCTGTCTGGACACAAATATGGTACTGGGACAGGCAGGGCTGTTGTGTATACTTAAGTTCCCAGAATATCTCACCATGTGACATCTGTCACTGCTGATAAATGGTGGGATAAGGCCTGGCAAGACTCATGATCTTGCATGACACTCATTCTTCTTGGAAACTGTACAGCTCTGGGCTTAGCACTGACATTGTCTTTGTATTTTCTCTAAGTCTGTGTCTTGTCTGGTTATTGGAAGTTTGTGTGGAGTTTATATAAAATCAGGCAGCTTAGGTTCATTTGTTAATTCACTCATTCACTCATCCATCCATCCATCCATCCATCCATCCATCCATCCATCCATCCATCCAACATACGGAGGACCAATTTGCTCTGGGCCCTATTCTAGGTACTGAGGTTACAAAAGTAAACCAGATATGGTGCCTGCCTTTGAGGATCTCTCAGATACATGCAGGAGGCAGAGTAATAAACAGTCAACTATAGTCCACTCTGAAAAGCATGGTAGGGGAGGAACACTCATAGTTTATGGGTGTACAGGGATGGAGTGGAGGATGCCTAATTCAAACTTCAAAAGCTGTGATGCCCTTGCTGTCAAGGGCAGGGTTGACTGCATACCCATATGATTTTTTTCTCATTATTTTAGTATGAAAACATGCAAATACGCAGTGAAGGTGAAAGAATTTTACATTAAGCACCAATGTCTTCCACCTCCATTCCCAATTAACATTCTACCAAACTTATTTTATGAAATACCTATCCTTCTACCCACACATCAATCCATCTTATTTTTTGATGCATTTTATAGCAAATTGCAAATATTTGTACATTTCTCCTTAAATATTTCAGCCTAGAGATTTGCCTGTAGTTTTTCTTTTGATGTAAAATGTACATACAACAGAATGAACACATCTTAAACTTACATTTATTGACTTTTGAGAAATAAATGCATCTGAGTAACCTAAACCCATACCAAAATATAGAATATCACCATCCAAAAGTCCCCTCTTGACCCTTTACTGTCAAAACCTCTCTCAAAGTCAACTACTCCATCCATTATAGATTAGAGTTGCCTGTTCTAAAATTTAGTATAAAATGGGATCATGCAATATATAGTCTTTTGTTTAAAGCTTCATAATGTTTTACATTTTATATAAATTTTTCAGCATAATGTTTTTGAGATTCATTTGTATTGCATTTTTTGCTATTGTTTAAAAAATGGGTTGTTTGTCTTATTTAATTGTGGGATACATATCTGGATACCAGTCTTTTGTCAGACATGAGACTGTTTTCAACCAGACTGGTTTACCTGTTAATTTTATTAGTGGTGTGTTTTGATACATGAAAGTTTTCTATTTCGATAAGATCCAATTTGTTGAGTGCTTTTGCTTTTAGGGCCATTGTTTTATGCCATTTGTATAAGAAAACCTGGCTCACCAAAACATACTCAATTCACAGAGATATTTTTCTATGTTTACTTTCTAAAAGTTTTATAGAGTTAGCTTATAAATTTAGTTCTATACTTCATTTTGATTTGATTTTTTGTGTGGTGTGAGGTAGGGTCAAGTTGTTTTTTTTTTTTTCCCTAGTATGGACATCAGTTTCTTGAAAATGATTTCTTTTGTTTATTGGATTGTGTACGACGATTGTCTAGAGGGACAGAATTAATAGGATATATGTATATATGAAGGGGAGTTTATTAAGGAGAATTGCCTCACATGATCACAAGGTGAAGCCCCACCATAGGCCGTCTGAAAGTTAAGGAGCAAGGAAGACAGTAGTGGCTCAGTTCGAGTCCCAAAACCTCAAAACTAGGGAAACCGAAAATGCAGCCTTCAGTCTGTGACCGAAAGCCTGAGAGCCCCTGGCAAACCACTGGTGTAAGTCCAAGAATCCAAAAGCCGAAGAATTTGAAGTCTGATGTTGTAGGGCAGAAAGCATATCCAGCACAGGAGGAAGATGAAGGCTGGAAGAATCAGCAAGTCAGTTTCTTGCACCTTCTTCTGCCTGCTTTTTCTAGCTGGACTGGCAGCCGATTGGATGGTGCCTACCCGTGTTGCAGGTGGGTCTTCCTGAGGATGGGTCTTCTCTCCCAGTCCACTTAATCAAATGTCAGTCTCTTATGGCAACACCCTCACAGACATACCCAGATACATCCAGAACCAATACTTTGCATCCTTCAATCCAGTCAAGCTGACATTTAATATTAACCATCACAGATTGCTTTGGGGTTCATATGAAAAATTAGATGATTTGTATGTCTTCTTCTGTACTCTCGGTTTTGTACATTTGACCTATTTGTTGATCCTTATGCAAGTACTAGTCTGTCTTAATTACTGCAGGTTTCTGGTGTGTCTTAAAATCAGGTAGTATAAGTCCTCCACATTTATTCTTTTTCAAGATTGTTTTGGATATTCTAGATCATTGATTTTCATACAAATTTTGGAGTTGCTTATCAATTCTACAAAAAACTGTGGAATTACAATTGGTCAAATCTGTATATCAATTTGGAAATAATTATATCTTAAGAGTAGGGAGTCTTCTAATCCATGGACATGGTATATCTCTTTATTTATCTCTATTTTTATTAGGTATTTAAAAGTCTATTTTAGTGATGTTTTGTCATTTTTAGGGTAGAGGCTTTGCCCTTTTTTGCACTAATGTTTTTCCCAAATAGTTGATGAAGTTTTTTGGGGGTACGGGGGACAGGGGGAAGACACTATTGTAATGAAATTGTTTTTAATTTAGTTTTTAATTGTTTACTAGTAGGTATAAAAATACAATAAAATTTTTGTATCTTAATCTCACACCCTGAGACCTTGCTAATTAAATAATTAGTTGTGATAGTTGTTTTGTAGTATTCTGGAGATTTTCTGTCAACAATCATTCTATTTGCTAATAAAAGTAGTTTTACCTATTCTCCCCTTTATTTATGCTTTTTAAATCTTTATTGCAGTAGCTAAAACCCTCGGTACAATATTGAGGAGAAGTGGTGGGAGCAAGCATCATTGTTTTGTTCTTAATTTTAGGGGAAAAAGTGTTCAGTCTTTCTTCATTAAGAACATCTTTACCTGTAAGTTTTTCAGAGATGCTCTTTATCAAATTGAGCAGCTCCTTTTTAGTTGTAGTTTTCTGTAAGTGTTTATCATGTCTTGCTGAATTCTATCAAATACTTTTTGTGCATTGGTTGAAATGATCATATTTTTTCTCCATATTTTGTTACTATGCTAAATTACATTAATTTCCAAATTTTAAACCAACTGTGTATTACTGAGATAAATCCCACTTGAATATGATACCTTATTCTTTTTATGTTTTATTGAATTGGATTTGCCAATATCTTATTAGAGAATTTTACATCACATTCATAAGGAATATTAGTCTGCTTTTTTGTAATATCTTCATCAAATTTGTTTTCAGGGTTATAGTAGTCTCAAAAATGAGTTCAGTCATTTTCCTTCTCTGTTTTCTGAAAGCACTTGTGTAAAGTTGGTGTCACTTCTTTAAATGTTTGATAGGTTTTACAAATGAAGTTATCTGGGTATAGAGTTTTCTTTCTAGTAAGGCTTTTGACTACAAAATTACCTTCTTTAGTAGATATAAGGCACTCAGATTTTGTGTTTTTTCGTATATAACTTTTGGTAAGTTATATTTTTCAAGAAATTAATCAATTTTCTCTATGTTGGCAAATTTGTTGGCACAAAGTAATTCATGATATTATCATAGGATCTTCTTAATTTTTGTAGTGTCTGTGGTTGTAACTTCTCTTTCATTTCTGATATTAGCAGTTTGCCTTCTTTCTCTTATTTTCTTCATCAGTTTATAATCTTAGCTCTTCAAGATAGAACCTTAGGTCATTGATTTTAGACATTTTGTTCTAATATAAGCATTTTAAGCTATAAATTTTCCTCTAAGGACTGCTTAAGTTACACCCCCAAAATTTGATATGTTGTATTTTATTATTTAGTTAATAATATTTTATAATTCCCCTTGTGATTGCTTCTTTGACCCATGAATTATTTAGTTATGTGTTGTTTAACTTCCAAATATTTGGTCTTTGAAGCTTTTTTATTGTTATTGGTTCTAATTTTTTTCATTGTGGTCCAAGAACATACTCTACAATTTCAATTCATTTGTATTAATTGAGACTCATTTTATGCCCAACTTATGATCTACCTTAGTAAACACAGTATACCCACTTGAAAAGGATGTGTATTTAAAAGTTGTTAGGTGTAAGATTCAGTAAATATTAGTCCAGTCAAAGTAGTTAATATTATTCAGAGCTTCCGTGTCATTGCCGATTTTTAAAATCTAGTTGTTTTATTTCTGGACAGTTGTGTAAAATATCCAACTATGATTGTGGAATTATTTCTTCTTCCTTTAAGTCTGTCAATGTTTGCTTCTTATACGTTGAGATTTGTTGTTAGATGCATACATATTTATGATTATTTCCTTATGATGAATTGTCCCTACTATTATAAAATATCCTTCTCTTTTTCTTCTAGTACTCTTTATTTTGAAACTTATTTTCTTTGAGATCAGAGTACCCATTCTAATCTACTTATGCTTATTGCGTTCAGACATTTTTCTTCTTTATTTTCTTAAAACGCTGTGTAAAGTTGGTGTTACTTTTTAAAATGTTTGATAGGATTTACACATGAATTTATATAGCCGTTCTAACCTACTTATGCTTACTGTTTCCATGACATATGTTTTTCTATGCATTTATTTTCATTCTTTGTTTTTATATTTAACATTAATTTCTTGAGGACAGCGTATAGTTAGGTCTTGCTTTAAAAAAATCCATTCTGACAATTCTGCCTTTTAGTTGTATTGTTTAGTTCATGCACAGCTCATGTAACGGTTTGATTTTGGTCTATTGTTGTTTTATTTGTTTTCTTCTTACCTCTTCTTTTTTTCTTGTCTCTGTTCTTTCCTGTAGTGCTGTGGATTAGTTGAATATTTAAAACTATGTTTTAATTTATCTATTGACTTTGTAAGTATACGTTCCAGTATTATGTTTTAAAATTGTTGCTCTAAAGGATTATACTATACATTCTTAATTTATTTTACAGTCTGCTGAGGGTTGATATTTTACACTTTACATAAAATGTGAAAACCTTACAACTGTAGAGGCCCATCTACCACCCTATCTGTCCTTATAGTGTAGGTGTCAAATGTATTGCAGCTTCTTAAATTATAAATCTCTAATACAATGTTATAGTTTTTGCTTTAAAAATATATATGTATAATTAAATAGAAATAATGAATATATTGCTATTAGGTGTAAGATTTTGCTGTTAAAAATTAGGAGGAAAATAGTTTTTGATATTTATTCATATTTTTAAGGAAAATCTAGGTTTCTCTCTGGTATCATTTCCATTCAGCCTGAGGAATTTCCTTTAGTATTTTATGTGGGGCATGTCTCCTCTTAATTTATTCTCTTTATTTTATTTTATCTGAAATATATTTATTTCTCCTTCTTTCTTGAAGAATATTTCTACTGGATACAGATTTTTAGGTTGACAGGTGTTTTTCCTTCCATTACTTTAAAGATTTTGTCTTGTTGTCATCTAACTTTCAGAATTTCTGATGAGAAGTCATTAAACTTTGAATCATTATTGTCCAGTATGTAATGTGTCACTTTTGTCTCCCTCCTTTCAAAAAGTCCCTTAAAATTTGACTTTTAGAAGTTTTCCTATGGTATGCATAGGTGGAAACTCTTGACTTAAAAAAATAGTTTTTCTTGCTTTGTTTAGGTTTCCTATCTTTTCCTTTATTTCAGTCATATTACCTTTTATATCATGTAGCATAGTCATAGCAACTGCTTTATTGTCCTTATGCTAATTACAACATCTGGGTCATCATAAGATTCACTTCCACTGATTATCTGTTCTGTTGAGGATGGGTCCCATTTTCCTGGTTCTATATATTAAGTAGTTTTGTCTTACATCCTGGACATTGTGGGTGTTATTTTGTAGAAACTTTGAATTCTACTGTGTTTTTTAAAAACATATTTTTAACAAGCAGTTAACTTGGTTGGACTTACATTGCATATTCTGCCTCTTTGGCAGGCACATGAATCTCAGTCCATTTTTTTTTTCTTAACTGGACTGCTTTCAGCTTGTTCTATGTCTGTGATCTTTAGGAGTCAGCAGTAGATTTGGTCAGAGGTTATTTACCACATTTGAGGCTCCACTTGGATTTCTCCTCTTGGATACTCTTGGAGTTCTCCTCTTGGATACTCTTGGATTTCTCCTCTTGGATACTCTTGGATTTCTCAGAAAGAGTTGTAGCCCAGTGAAGTTAGGAGGTTTGCCCATAATCTCATGAACAGTGGCTGAACTTAACAAAACAAAAATATTTTAGAGTAGTGTCTCATCTTAATGTTGAGATTTTATGGCTTCAGGAAAATTGAGGCATTCCTTTTCAATCCACGACAAAGTTAGCATCACAAAGAGGCATACCACTTTCCCCCCATGTCATTGAGAGTTTTGTTCCTGAACCTTTTGTGTTCCTTTAGGACATACTACCAAATCTGTTAGTGTGTGGCCTCAAGATTTTCAAATTGACTATAGCCTGTCATCATCCGTTGAAAATTTAATGGATCTTTTGAGAAATATAAGCTTTCTAGAAGGTCTATTTCTAAGTTGCTTTTGGGTTGTAGCAATTTCTTGATGACACGCAAATTCATATAGAATGTACACAAATGTCAAGTATTCAGCACAAGGTTAACCTGCTTTAAGGGAATAAAGCATAGCTTTGTTCAGGTTAAAATGCTAAATAATCACTGCCTTTCATAATAAATGCAGGTGAAGTCTACATGACTATTATTAAAGTTAAGGTGGAGGGAGGCTGGCATAAGATGAAGAAAACCATCCTCCTAATATTGAATGAATATTTTGGCTTTGCTGTCTGTCTTTGGCAGTTTTGATACCTGACATTTATTAAGAGTTTTCCAGAAAGACATTTCATTGTTAAACTATGATAATAGCCTTGGTTATCAGGAAAGAACACATGTGAATTCACAGAAATCTTTTCACTGTCATGCTGGAAGAAGTTGTGCCTCCTAGTGTAGCACCAAAGTAAACAACTGCTGGCAATCCATTGATTTTTAGCAATAATTTACTCACATTTAAAATAACCATTTTATGACTAAATTCTGGGACAGTTGAGGCACACCACATTAATTTCTATATAACCAGTGGAAACAATTTAGATTTTGGAGTCAGGCTGATGCTAATATATGTTAGTGGTGGATACCTAGGAAAGCAAATTAACTTCTCTGCAGCTTAGTGTTCTCATCTGTAAAATGGAAAGGGAATGGAGAACCATAGTACACTGGAGGGGCTACTGTTTTTGACTCTCCAGCATGCTTTTGGATCCCTTTTTCTTATTATAATGACATTCCTTCCCCTTGGAGAACACCGCCCCCTCCTCATGTCACTGTGGTCCCCAATTCACTTGAGATGACCATATGATGTGCCTGTGCCAGCCACATGGACCATATTCAGCCAGACATAGTGCCTGGTCCAAGGTGTCGCCATGTGATCCAAGTCCAACCATTCAGAAACCTTCTGTGGAATCAGAGGTGAAAAACTTGCTCTCAGTTATCATGCACTGTAAGAAAACAGGTCTGCATTTTTTTGGTCATTTTCGTCAGCAATTGATGAAGTGAAGGTTTATCTGTAGAAGAAAAGAATGAAGCTTAAAGCAAAGAATCAGAAACAGATATACGAGGTGGGTGAAGAGATGGCGTTTTGTTGGTGAAGGTTGAGATTAAGGTGAGGCAACTGAGTTAAACATGTGCCTTGCTTTCTAAAATTTTGCAGATGCAGGCTTGACACTTGCTTCCTTGTATTTTGCAACCTGGACACATCACTAGCCTCACCCTGGTCCTGGCTCTGTTGATAACTGTTCTCACTTGGATTCCTCCAGAAGTTGATTTTGAGAGAAAGAATTTAGTGCAAACTGTTTATTTGAAGATGATCCCAGGAAATATTTGTGAGACAGGAGGAGTGAGACAGAGAAAGGAAGGCAGCCAATAAAGGGTTTCTGATCAAGCCACTCACCCCGGTGGGCTTCTGGAGCCTACTTCCATGGAGGATGTCAGGAGACAGTGCAGAGTGTGTGTCTGGTGGCTGTAGATGAAAAGCTAATGCGTGGATACGCAGTTCTCATTCGGTGACAGTGGAGGGCTGCCCGTGCAGCATTGCCTGTCCTGCACCTTTGGCTTGCTCTTTGCAGGCCATTGCAGGTGTCATAGTAAGCCTGAGGTGTGTGGATGTGATGAGAGGGACCTGGGTGGACACAGCAGCACTGCCACCTTCTTATTTTCCTATTCCCATGAATTACCCACTGTCCTTACCAGCTATAGAAACTAACATTGTTTTCTGCTCGGTGAGATCATGTTGGGCTTCCAGTATTTGCCACCTAAAGAGTCCTGACTAATCAGAAACTAACAGTGATGGTCCTGGCAACTGGAGACCCATTGTCTACCTTGTCCCACTAATAGCCCAGTATGATGGATGTTATTATCCCCGTTTTACAAATGATGAATCCGCGTCCTGGAGAGGACCCCACTGCCATGCACAGCCTGTTTTATTTTCAAATGTCCCTCCCAGATACAGAAGTGACGTTGAAACTGGCTTCTATCACAGGCACATCTGCTGGAAACAAGTGGGGTCAGGAGGAAAATGTCCATCAGTGTCCAATGACAGACATTTGGTTTTGGATGCAACAGGGCATAGAGGAAAGGGTACAGGCTTCCAGATTGGGGAGGTCTGGCTCTGGGTCAGAGCCTGCTTCTTCCAGTCATGGAAACTTGGACCAATCATGTGGCTCCTGCAACCCTCCCTTTTGTCTTCTGAGAAAAAGTAATGATTATAATGGATAATGGACTTTAGGTTCTTATGTGAGAATAAGGGGGCAAACAATGTTCAGCCCTCAGCATGGTACCTGGCGTGTGGATGGCCTTTTTCTTTCCTTTTTTTTTTTTAATTTGGTAAACTTCAACATTCATTGGTGGAAAAAAAAAGCTCTAAAGAAAGTAGGGCCTAGAAGGAACTCTCTCGACCTGATAAAAAGCATTTACCAAAAACATACAAAAACATTTTATATAATGCTGAAAGATTAAATGCTTTTCCAAAGTAGAAACAAGGCAAAGATATGACTCTTGCCACACCTATACACATCAACAAATGTCCTAGCTATTACAATAAGAAAATAAAATCATACAGATTTACTATGAATAAACAGAACTGTCTCTATTCACAGACTTATGTTTTTTCTACATGGAAAACATCAAAGAAACTACAAAATGTCTACTAGAATGAAAATATGAGTATAGCAAGCTTGAAGAATACAAAGTCAATATAAAAAACTATGTTTATGCTTTGGAATATTTATTTTTATTAAGATGGCAATTCTCTGCAAACTTATATACAGATTTGATTTTGGTTCTGTAATCAAAGTCACAGAAGATTTTTTATAGTTATCTATACTAGATTCTAAAATTTATATGAAAAGTAAAGGATCTAGAAGAGCTAAAACAATTTTGTAAAACAAGATCAAAGTTGTAGAGGTATATTACCCAATATCAAGATGTACTGTGAACCTACAATGATTGAGACAGTATGTTATTGATGAAAGAATAAGCATGAATAATAATGGAATTTGAGAGTCCTACTAATCTATGGCTGGATGGCCTTTTTCAAATGCCTTCCATGTCTTTTTTTTTTTTTTTTTTTTCATGACAGAGTTTCGCTCTTGTTGCCCAGGCTGGAGTGCAATGGCACGATCTTGGCTCACTGCCACCTCTCCCTCCTGGGTTCAAGTGATTCTGCTGCCTCAGCCTCCCAAGTAGCTGAGATTAGAGGCATGTGCCACCAGGCCCGGTTAATTTTGTATTTTTAGTAGAGATGGCGTTTCACCATGTTGGTCAGGCTGGTCTTGAACTCCTGACCTCAGGTGATCCACCAGCCTCAGCCTCCCAAAGTGCTGGGATTACAGGCGTGAACCACCGAGCTTGACTGGTTTCCATGTCTTCTTGAAGCCAGCATGGCTAGGATTTTACTTGGCTTGGTGGGTTCTAGAAGGATCTGGGTATCCACATGGAGGAACATGCCAGGGAGAAGACCTGGGACTGAGGCCCTTCCTGTGTCTGGTGCTCCTAGTGTCATCCTCACCATCTCTCTCACACAGCAGCGCCAGGCATGGCTTCTGGGCTGCTGATCTGCCTTCTCCATGTGACTGAGATTCCCAAGGGGCTGGGACCTGGTCATGCCCATCCGCACTTAGCTTGGTGCCCAACATGTGGTAAAGGCTCAGTAAGTGCTGGCTTAGTGAGTGCTCGGGTGAGAGAGGGAAGAGGACAGCAACTCTTGGTCTAGACAGCAGCCAGGGATGTGCGCAAATCATGAATTAGCTTGCTTGGTTGCTGCCTCCCTCCCACTCGGGATATGTGCCAGTCCCTCCATGCCAGGCCACAAGGTCATGCAGTCTGGCCTGTGCCTGTTTTTCTGACTCTGCTTTCTATCCTCTCTGTCTTCCTGCTCATTCTGTTCCAGCCCTTCTTCAAGTCTCTTGACCACACTGGAGTTATTTCTACCTCAGAACCTTCACACTTGCTCTTCTCTCCACCTCAGTCACCTTTCCCCCAGGTGTTTGCAAGGCTCACTTATAGCATACAGGGCTCTGCTGAGATGTCCACTCTGTGGCGCCTTCCCAGAATGCCCACCCTCTTCGTCTCCACCTCAACCTTCCATATTTCCTTGCCCTTCTCTTCCCCTTTTCTTTATAGCACCTATAAACTACCTGTGATTCTATTATGTGTTTATTCAGATGTCTTCTTGGTTATGGGTCTCATGCACCAGAACATAAGCTCTTTGAGGGCAGCAATGTTTCCTCTTGTTCGCTGTTTTATCCCTAGCTCCTGCTAAGCAGTATACATGCACACACACACTCACATGCACATATATGTACATATACCTACCTATCATGCAGTTTATAGAGACACACATATGTATATGCATATACATTAGGCATACCCACCGATATGGTTTGGCTCTGTGTCCCCACCCAAATCTCATCTCGAATTGTAATCCCTACCTGTCAAGGGAGGGGCCTGGTGGGAGGTGACTGGTTCCTGGGGGCGGTTTCCCCCATGCTGTTCTCATGATAGTGAATTCTCACGAGAGCTGATGGTTTTAAGGTGTGGCACTTCCTTGCTCTCTTTCTCCTCCTGCCTTGTGAAGAAGGTGCCTGCTTTCCCTTCATCTTTCGCCATGATTGTAAGTTTCCTGAGGCCTCCCTGGCCAAACGGAACTGTGAGTCAATTAAACCTCTTTTCTTTATAAATTACCCAGTCTCAGGTAGTATCTTTATAGCAGTGTGAGAACAGACTAATATACCCACTAAACAGTTCACATATATACACAGTGTCTAAGCAATATGTACACGTGCATATACATATACATAGATATGCATATACATATATACCTCTCTACATAATATATATACCCACTAAACAGTATATATGTACATATACCTATAGATCCACCACAAAACACATACAGTACACATATTCATAGATACACATACATGTATATGCATATACATATATACACTCAATGTATATGTATACACATATACATATACACACTCATATGTATATGTGTATACATATACACATATGCATACACCACTGAAGTGGTCTATATGTACATACACTTACACATATAGCGTATACACATACATTGATCTATGATACAGATAACATATATAATATAAATGCATGAATATTATATAAATAAATAAATATAAATGAATGAAGAACTTAACAATTAACCAATCAACAGATACGATTTTGACACATGGTTTATATTGATTGACTCAGGGTTAGCACGCAGAGGTGAGTTTCTCCCACTCCTCTGCATGCAAATTTACTTCGCACAGACACTCCTCTATTTCCACTCACCCTCGTCCAGCCCCTACTCTTCACTCTCCATTGGCTCCTCTTGACCCCTTTGATGGCTGAGCCAGCAGGAGCGTCCACGGTGAAGTGCTCCACTTTGAGTTAACTCTGTAGTCAGCAGGGCTTCGTTATTTCTGAGGGAAGGAGGAGGATACCTTTGGGAGGACTCTGAGGAGTGAGCTTCGAAAGTGTCTTCTTGGATTGGCACGTGGGCCCTCTGCTTGAAGAGCTGCAGGGTCAAAGTGAAGTAAACGTGGAGTTAATTAAAATTCATGGGATAGCTGGAGGCAGTCTGCACATAAAATGGCAGAAAATGGCACAGTGTTATATGATAATAGCTCTTTATGCCCCTCAAAGGAAGATTCTGGATAAACTTGAGCAAGAGTTGTACAAATGATAATTCCAGACTCCATACCGCCTTATTATGCAATGATGATCATTTCCAGACCCAAGCATATTATTACTTGTCTCATTCCACATGAGAATAAGGAAAGACTCTTTGCAGGCTCTCACAGCTGCATGTGAATTCAGAGTGTGAAAAAAAAAAGATTTGATTAATAGCAGACTAACCAATTTAGTGCCCAGACTGTAACAAATCCATTTGGGAATTAGCAGGAATTCGATTTTAGATGAATGTTTGTAAGGTTCAATGTTCAAAAGCATTTGGCTTATCAGGGTTTTCCTTAAAAATGTATTCTTTTAGAATCTTATTGATCTTTCAAGGTACTGGGTCTCTAAGATAATGGGAGCATGCTGGAATGCCTGGCAGGATACTGAGTTCAACAGTTAATGTTCACGGATCACTGCTCTGCCCTGGTCTTACTCTAGCTACCTGTGAGGATGTAAAAAAAAAAAAAAAAAAAAAGCTGAACAAGGTTCCTGACACTGAAGAACTGACAGTTTAGTAGAAGAAGCAGACTGACATATAAACAATAAGTATGATGATTTCCATTGATGATAGCTGCTCTGCAGAAAATGTGTAGTGCAGTGACCTGCAAGGGTGGGACTGCTTCAGTGGGGGTGAGGGCAACAGAGACAGCCTCTCCGAGAGGAGAAATTTGAGCTAAGACCCAACTGCTGAGAAAGAAATGGGCCACGTGGGGATCTGGGGAAAAGGTCATCACAGACCAAAAGAGCACCAGATGCAAAGGTCCTGAGGCAGGAACAGAGTTAGCAGTGGAGCATGTAGCAGGCTGTGTATCTCCAGTGCCCAGCACTGTGTCTGCCACAAGCGAGGACTTAGAATGTGTGGTTGCTCTTTGTAGGGAACTGAATGAGTTAATTAGCTTAGAGCTTATTAAACAGTTTTGACTGCAAAGGTTGACAGAGCCGAGTTGGAATTCTGGCCCAGCCACATGACTCTGGTCAAGTTGCCTAACTTCTCTGAGCCTCACGTTAGCTGCTATTCCTATGTAGGAATCATCTTTGGAATTCTTAACAATGATGCATTTACTAGAAGCCTTCATTGTTCATGCAGACATCTTCATGAAGGTTGGAATCCATTTCTTTTTAATGAAATATTTATTCATTTCATATGAATTAGGTTGTGTTTGGCTTGAGGCATACTTTGGAGGAATGTGTCAGCTCCTGGGGATCACTTTATTAGGAGCTAAATATCACAGGAAATGCAGGCTCACTCATGAATGGCTTGCAAGCGTCGGCCAGAGTAGATGATCCATTACTGACCAGCTTGGTGGACCTCATTGCTCATCTGCACTTCTCAGCATCTTCTCATAATGACGTCTCCTTCCATCCAGCAGCCAAGTGTTCTCAGGCCCTTTGCCCTTCTACAGAGTGTTTCCCAGCTCCCTTTACCCTGAGGGCACCAAGGGGGCCAGTGGCACAGCGCGGGTCCTGGGGTCCCTGTGCCTTGCCTTGCTGTGAAGTTTCCTGACACTGTGATGTCCTTCAGTGTGGGTGAGCAGGGGCATTCACTTATTTTTAAAGCACACCATCACCTCTCTTTGTTCCCCTCCACCTGCTTCCAGAAAGAGCTCCCCACCCCGAAGGCAAATTCTCCACGTTGTTTGTTTATTCCTTTCCTTATTCATTCGTTCGTAATTGTATACTTAGGATCCTCTTTTAAAACAGCTCCCCAGTGCTCTCAGAACAAAAGTCAACAGTGTTAGTCTGCTCGAGCTGCCACAACAAAGCACTGCAGAGTTGGGGGCGGAACAACAAAACTGATTTTCACAGTTCCGGAGGCTGAAGTCCAAGTCAAGGAATTGGCGGGGTTGGATTCTTCCGAGGCCGCTTTCCTTGGCTTGCAGATGCCATCTTCTCCCTGCGTCCTCACATGGTCATCCCTCTGTGTGTGTCTCTGTCCCGATCCCTCTTCTTACAAGACACAGTCATACTGGATTGGGGCCCACCCAAAGACCTCATTTTACCTTAATTACCTCTTTAAAGCCTCCATGTCCAAATACAGTCGCATCCTGAGGTGCTAGGGGTTAGGACTGCAGCATATGAATTTGGGGGACATACAGCTTAGCCCATGGCACCAACCCTTTAAACATGTCATTCAAGCCATCTGTCACCTACCCCATCACTCACCTCTGTCATCTCATCTCAGTGACATCAGCTGTACAATGTTGCAAGTGAATACCAGCAAGCTTTGGCCAACACGGGCTAGAACTCACTGACAAGCGGCAGGAGGACACTGCTTCTCAGCTCCCCATGGGCAGGGCTGCTTGGCTGGAGCACGGCTGGGACACCGTAGAGCTGTGCTTACCAAGGGGGTGCCCCATGGTGCAGTCTCTCTGTGTACGCTGACTGAGGAAACGTATTTTGGAATCAAGTAACAAGCTGTTTGAGCTTTGTGTGCTCACACTCTTTAAGGGACTACGGAGAAATGCCAAATGCCAGTATGGTGGCTACAGTGGCTCCCTAGGCTGGTAGGAAGTTGAACTGAGGTACTGAATTCTGATCCTGGCTGGCTCATTACCAGATGTTTTACTCGAGGTTCTCTAGTGAAACAGAACCAATGGGGTGTAACTATATATATATATACACACACACATATATATGAATACATATGAATATATATATGAATATATATATGAATATATGATATATATGTATATATGTATATATATGAATATATATGAATGAATATATATGAATATATATATGAATATATATGAATATATATATGAATATATATGAATATATATGAATATATATATGAATGTATATGAATATATATATGAATGTATATGAATATATATATGAATATATATGAATATATATGAATATATATATGAATGTATATGAATATATATATGAATATATGAATGTATATGAATATATATATGAATATATGAATGTTTATGAATATATATATGAATATATATATGTTATTGGAGTTTGATTGATTTCGTTGATAAGATGATTATGGAAGCTGCCAAATGCAAATCTTTAGGATGAACAGTCAGGCTGGAGACGCAGGAAGGAGCTGAGCTGCAGATCAAGTCTGAAGGGCGTCTGCCGCAGAAACCCTTCCTCTCCTGGGAAGTCAGTCTTTTACTTCATTCAGGCCTTCAACAGGTTGGAGGAAGTCCATCCATATTACAGAGGGCAATCCTGTCTTCAAAGTCTACCAATTTAATATCAACCTCACCCCAAAACACCCGCACAGACACATTCAGAATGTTTGACCACATATCTGGGCACCATGGTGCAGCCCAGTTGACACAGAAAACTAACCATCACACCAGACAACCATGAGCCCGTTCCTGAGGCCCTTCTTGGGCCGCTTTGCACATCTCCACAATGTCCTGTGCCCTTCAGAAGAGAGATGGATGCTGATCACACAACCATAATGAACCGCATACTCAGTGCTTACCATGGAGCCTTTATAACTGCCCATTAAGGCAAATACCACTCTTATCCCCATTGTACAGATGAGGAAGTTGAGAAAACTACCAGTGTGTCAACACGTGCCACGGCATGTCTCATCTCTCTGAACTTCCACAGAGGCTGTGCCCTCTCCTGGTAACCCCCTTCCTTCTCCCCCTCCCCACACCTCTGTCCTCATGAGACCAACCCTTGGTGACTGTGCTAAGGTTCAGGTGCTACCTTTTCCGGATTGCCTTTCCCAAATCCCATATCTGGTTTAGGATCCCCCTTCTGGGGTCCCTTAGTCCCATGTGCTCACCTCTCCCGTGTGTTTTCTAAATAGTAATGACTCATTCATTCATTCAGCCACAGTTATCAGCTAGGTGCCTGCTATGTGCCAGACACTGAGGATGATGCAGTGAACGTAAGAGAAAAATCCCTGTTGTCATGGGGTTCACAACTCAGTAGGGGGAGTGGACAATGGATGCACGAAGCAGGAAGCATGTCCTGTGATGGGAGCACAGCAGAGAGGGAGGCTGGGGTGCTGGGGACGGCTTTGCCCCTTCACACAGGGAGGTCAGAGTTGGCTTAGTTGGTAACATGACCTGTGAGCACAGCCTGAAGGAGGCAAGGGCCCAAGACCTGTGGATGCCTGAGAACAGCATGGCAGGTACAGGGAAGGAGCAGAGGTCGCTGTGGGGAGTAGGAGGGGAACTGAGGCCAGCCCACTTAGGGCCTGGGGATCCACAGTGAAGGACTTTGGCCTTTACTCCTACATATTGTCTGATTATCCCATTATACCTCGGGTTCCCAGGGGAGAGTGATGTCCTCATGGCTGACATGGTACCAGGCCCATGGCACGCACCTAATACATGTTTATTGAGTGAAATACTCATCCAAGTAAGTATTTTTCTTGAGACCAACTTTTGATCCCTCCAATGAGACCACCATTGATGAGAGCCCACATGGGATTTATGTGCTGTGAAAAGTCATAATTTGTATATCAGTTGTGGACTCAGCAGCAAGGGACAAAAAACCTGCCTCATGGTGGCTTAAACAAAGAGGGGCTTATTTTTCTCACATAACAAGAAATCTGAAGGCAGGTGGCTCCATGATAGGAGGTTCAGCATCTCTGAGACTTTCTTGGCCTCATGATCACAAGGGGCTGCTGTTGTTCCAGACATTACATCCGTGTTCAAGGTAGGAAGGACAGGAAGAAAGTTGGAGAAGAGAAAAAGGTGAGACCATCTGTAGTTATTCTCTTTTGTACAGAACGCAAGACTTTCCCTAGAAACCTCTAGCAAACTAACATCTCCTTGGCTAGAACTGTGGCTGTTGCTGGCTGTAAGTGTGTATAGAACGGATCACATTGCTTTCTTGAAGTAAATGGTCCTGCTATAAAGGAGAAAAGGGGAGAGTGCATATTGGGTAGTAAAAAGCTTCATCCGCCAAACATAGTCTTCTTTCAGCGAATTATTTGAGCAATATAGTAGCCAGCTTGATCATCTCTTTAGTAACCATATTTAATTGTTTTTCTTCCCCCTACCCCCACCCACCCCAAATCGGTCATTTCCCAGAATCTTGCCCCTGCAAGCATAACCAGCATCTTTTAATGTCACACTGTAGCTGTTTATTCATTCAACAGTATTTACTGAGTGCTTCTCAAGCTGGGGGATGGTAGAGATGGGCAGCACAGAGAAGAACTAGCCCAGTGTCTGCCTCAGGTCCCGTTGATGGGGTAGAGTCAGACCCGCAGCTGCCCAGTAAGCAAGATGAGAAGAGGGCAGCCCAGGCTCACTATGAAAGGATCCTCGAGACTTTGCACCCCATAGTCCTGAGGTTCCAGCACAGCTCTAGCCTCTCTGTTCTGTACTCCTCTGTCCTCCTGGAGCCTGGGTTGCCTGAGCTGCTAACCAGCGATTAGAGCCCTGACCATAAAGGACACTGTGAAGACACCGAACGAGGACTTTCTTGAAGATTGCAGTGAAATCATTCTCAACTCTGGTTGTACTTCAGCCTTCCCTGGGATACATCTAAAAAAATACAAAATCCCAGGGCCTCCTAGAGCTTTGGGTGTGCTGCAGAATCGACATTGTCAGCGCCCGGAATATACTGTAAAGTCAGGACTGTGACCACCGCGTGCAGGTGTGTTGCAGGTTCTCAGTATGCTCCAGCCACCTTCTCCACTGACTCAGGATCCATTCCCAAATTTCTGATGCTCAGTGTGTTTGGCATGCCTTTCTTACAGCAAATCAGCTGAAATCCGTGCTAGCTAGCATTTATTTATTTGTCCCATTAAGTTGTAATTAATAATGATGACATCAGGTCCTAATTGAGTTAGACTAATGAGGAATGTTAATTGGGTGCTTGCCTTTCAGTAGCAGCTTGGGTGGCTTTGGCCAGATTGCTTGCTGTCACCTCATTAACTGTGATTTCCTGTGGAAAAAGGCTCTGAGCAGCCCTGCCAAGGACCCCAAACTTAGGCGAGGTGCCACTTGAGACCTAGCTCTTCTATTTTGAAGTTGAAGGTTCCCAGGACCTGGATAGAGTTTGCTGTTGGTGACAAGTGTTCAGCTTCCTTCTAGAACACCTGTTGTGAGCTTGTGAGGCCAAAATGCTACATCAGTTTCAGCAGATCCCTCAATCACATGGTTGTCATGGGATTTTGAGCAGGGAAGAACGGAAGCCTCTTCCTACACTGTACACATGGAATCACTGAGGACCACTGACCTGCTCTGGGCCATGTGGGACATGATAGACCGAGCATGTATGAAATTCAGCTGCTTTGAGGATTCAGACTTGGAGGTCAGGGCCAGGGAAGCATTGAGGTCAGGCAGTAGCGGGTAAGGAGTGGGACAGGAGAAGGCTTGCAGGGAAGGTATTCCAGGCAGAGTACGTGAAATATGCTAATGTGGAGAGTCATGAGTGAAGGTGACACTTTCACATGTGTGAGCCCCTGAACAGGAACTGAGTTGGCAAGGCCTCTGTCTGCAGGGTGCTTGGAGTCTGACTGCCAGATAAAAACGGGGATTTATAATACAGTGTGTCAAGCCTTACAGTAGAAACAGGATTTATGGCAGCTTAGTGGGAAGGGCACCGCATACAGCTTCAAGGATTAAAGGGAAGTTTCTGAAAGATGTAAATTGGGTGGCAGTAGGTCAGGGAAGGAGGTAACAAGGGCAGGAGAGGTTGGTGATAGAGAAACTCTTCAAAGAAATTCTAAAGAGTTTGAGATAGAGTGAAGGCTGTGTGTGTGTGTGTGTGTGTGTGTGTGTGTGTGTGTGTGTGTAAGAGAGAGAGAGAGATGTTGGAGGGGACAAGGTCTTTGAATGCCAAGACCTTGACCTCAAACATTTTCTGAAGGCAAAAGAATGCCCTTGCAGGCTTTAAGTCTTTGATTTTTCAGACATTCTCACCAGGCAAAAGGATATCTGCAGAGACCAGAGCAGAGGTGGGGTAGCCAGTTTGGAAGCTATCAGTAAATTCTCCCTATTTCTGAAATTCCAAACATTAAACCTTAAACTACCAGAAATCACTGTATTTACAGGGACCCATGGAGAGAGGACACTTTGCGAGAGGCTAAGGGTTTGGTTCCAGGCATCAGTCTACCCCTCACTCCACCAGCCTGTGTTTCCTGCTCCTCCGCATGGGCCACATGCTATGGCTGGCTCTTCCCACTCTGTCCCATGGAGACCCGACTGTGGACCTGGTAGGGCCGGTTCTGTAGACCCATTTCACAGTAGAGGAAACTGAGGACTACAGAGTGTTTGGCCAGGTTATTTAGCCCCTGGTGGGTGGCAGTGGTGGACCCTTATAGATTGTGATAACTTCCTAAACCAGGTAGCTTAAAACAGTGGAAATTTATTATCTTACAGTTTCGAAGGCCAGAAGTCTTGAATCCAGCTGTGGGCAGGGTAGATTCCTTCTAGAGGCTCTGAAGGTGGGTCTGTCCCATGCCATCACCCAGCTTCTGGTGCTGCTGGCCAGCCTCGGCATTCCTTGGCTTGTAGATTCATCACTCCAACCTCTGCATCCGTCCTCACATAGCCTTCCGCCTGGATGTGTCTCCTCCCCTTCTCTTCTCTTCTAAGGACGCTTGTCATTTGGTTTGGGCCCGTCCTAATCCAGGTTGATCTCATCCTGAGATCCTTAACTTAATTACATCTGCAAAGACCCCTATCCAAATAAGAGCACTGTCTTAGTCCGCCTGGGCTGCTATCACACATGCCGCAGACTGGGTGTCTAAAAGAACAAAGATTTATTTCTCCCAGTTCTAGAGGCTGCAAGTCCCACATTAAGGTGGCAGCATGGTCAGATTCTGGAGTGGGCCCTTTTCCAGGTTGCAGGCTGCTAGCTTTACACTGTATTATCACAGGGTGAACAGCAGGATCTCCGATGAGCAGAATGAGGCTCAGAGAGGGTGGGCGACTTGCCTATGGTCACACAGCAAACAGCTGGAATTTAAGCCCTGCTCAGGAGTAGCCCCTGAGCTCAAACTCTCTGTGACTCTGTGACTCCCTGGAAGACCCACCCGTTGGAGACCCACTTGTCTCCACTCAGTGCATTAGATTTAGCTTAGCTCTTTGTTTTTTGTTTTTTTCTCTTTTAGCCTCTATCTCCTGGTCAGGTTAATTAAGCTGTTGTTACCAACCCTTCTTGGTCAGTGAGGAAGCAAGTCCAGAGCGGCTGAGGTTTGTGCACAGCCCCACTCAATCTGCAAGAGGGCTAGGCCCAGAGCCCAGTTTTCCTGACTCCTGGTGTAGCTCTCTTTGCTCTGTGTTCCTGAGAAACAGAATTTTTCTGAGGTGCCTTAGATAGCATGAGGTCTTAGCCCTGAATTTACCGAGGAGGTAGTCAAGGCCCAGATGATGAATGGATGCCAGCCACACTCAGGTCTCTGCATCAAGCTGGCCAAGACCCCTGATCCTTGGCCTCTCTTATTTGCAAATCAAAACTTCCAGGCTGCATCCAATATCCTGTATCAACCGCCTGCTTTTGCTTGTATTGAAAAGTCAAACTTCCAAGCTCTATTGAAATCATGAGTTCTCCTTTGAAAGCCAGTTTTAATTTAATTTTGGAGAGTCTCTTCCAATTCCTAAAATGTCTCTGAGCTGAGGTGAGAGCTGTCCCTTGAAACCCAGAAGCGCCATGGATGTCTTTATCTGAAGGGACGCAGCCCCGGGGACGCTACACAGACTGTCTCCCAGCCTAAGCTTTTCACAGCGATGCAGCCAGCTGACAGCCAGGTCCCAGCCCCGCAGAGGCAGTGCCTGCTGTCTCTTCTGAGAAGGCGAATGAGAAGTGAGAGAGACCACAAATTCTAATTAGTGGGATTATCCTCCCACGACATGTCTGGCTTCAGACATGGGTCTCAGAGCCTGGTGCCCGGGCCTCCAGAAGTCTTTGCTTGGATTCCCACAAAGCCAGGACCCCTGAGGTACGTTTGCACGTCATACCTTTGCCTCCTTGCATTTTATATTCTCACGTTCACTACTGGAAATGGGTGTTCTGTGGGCCTTCGACCTCATGCCGTAAATTTTACTCTGTGGAAAAAACATCTTTTTGGAGATTTCATGCAACGTGCTATCTAATACATTGAGATGCAGTTGACATTTATCGTCCCTCAGTGCCGCCTGGCACTCCCACTTCCTGCTCCTGTTTGGTTTCACCCCAGTGGTGCCGGGTGGGTTTTGCTGACTCAGTTCAGAAATATGCGGAGACTGAGGCCAAGAGAGGCACAAAGAACCAAAGCTGGAGTCGGAAATCAGGCTTCTGCCATCGTCCTGTATCTGCCTTGAATAGATTTGCAACGTGTCAGAGCTGAGTGGGGTCAATTTCCAACAGAAGAGAGGCTGTGACACCAGGAGAAAACCCCGAGTTCCTTCGCTGGGTCCTCAAGCCAACAGCGTTATTGCCGGCGTGTCCCATTTCTCAGGAAGGCCACACTGTGGGTGAAAAGTGACAGCTGGGGAGGCAGAGAGCCTGGGTTTGAGTTGAGCCTCGAGAAAGCACTAAAACCTTTCTAGGCCTCACTTTCCTCTCTCTGTGAAGCGGGGATAGTAATAGTCATTGTCCTTGATGGAACGGTGTCCCACCCCTCCAAATTCAACTCCTCCTGGAACCTCAGAATGTGGCCTTCTTTGGAAATGGCGTCATTTTAAGTGTAATTAGTTAAGATGAAGTCATACTAGATGAGAGTGGGCCTAAGTCTACTCTGACTGGTGTCCTTATAAGAAGATGAATGACACAGAGACGTAGGGGAGGATGCCATGTGACAACAGAGCCTAGGACGGAAGAGCTGCAGCTGCAAGCTAAGGGCACCAGGGGTTGCTGGAGCTGCCCAACTCTGGAAGAGGCAGAGGAGGATCCCCCCAGGAGCCTTCAGAGGGGGCAGGACCCTGCTGACACCTTGGTTTTGGACTCCCAGCCCTCAGAACTATGAGCCAATAAATTTCTGTTGTTTAAATCCCCCAGTTTGAGGTACTGTTACAGCAACCTGAGGAACCCACACAATCCCTTATCGAGGTGTTGGGAAGATTAGCCCATACAATCCTTGCTAACCGTCCAAGGAACCAATACAGTCCCTCCTCGGCGTGTTGGGAAGACTAGCTCATACAATCCTTGCTAACTGTCCAAGGAACCAATACAGTCCCTCCTCGGGGTGTTGGGAAGACTAGCTCATACAATCCTTGCTAACTGTCCATGCCACATGTGCATGTCAGCCCTGCTCACTTTTCCTGCTGTGCTTGCTGTGTCTCCTCGGCTCCACGCCCTCCGTTACAGGATTCCCTTTCCCTCAAAGCCTCTTCCTTCACCCTTACCATCTTCCCATCCTTTAGAGCTTGCCCCCTGGTTTTGATCCTGCGGAGAGCCTTCTCTGACAGCTCCCATCCTCCCACCTTGCCCCCAACTGCCCCCAGGTAAGGCAGTCGCTCAGAAGTCCAGGCCTCATGGATTTGAACCCCCACCCTGCCACTTGGTGGTTTGTTGAACTCTGAACAAGTTAATTAGTACACTTGGGGCTACAGCTCCCTCATGCTTTATCCATAAGGTTCTTATAGGGATTCAGTGAGATGGTCAAGGAGATGATTTGCTCAGTGTCTGACCTGCAGTAAAGTGCTCAATACAGGACCACTGTCATCATAGCTGTCCCCAGCTTCTCCTGTGCTCCCCCAGAACCCATGTGCCTGAGTTTGGGTTTCCCCAGAATCAGGCTCCAAGGCAAAGATTTGAGGACAGGGCATGGGAGAGGCAGAAAGAACACAGAGAAGGGTAGGAAGGAAGACAGCCAGGAAAGGGTGTGCTGTGTTAAGCTTGTTACCCCACTGTGGGGCTAGGCAAACTTACAAACTCCGGGAGCCAGTGTAAACACTGGCATCAGCCTCATCCCAGGTGACGGGCAAGGGAGTGGGGGTACTGATACTCCCGTTTCTAACAGTCGTGGATCGAATGTTGCTCTGAGGACATTAATTCCCTGGCTTGGCTGGTCTGCTACATGGGCAGCAAAGTGGGCCCTACTGGCAAAAGAGAGTCCTCAGGGAGAGAAATGCAGGACTGGTGGATGGAAGTCAGGCAGGTAGGTGCAGAAGTGGGAAAGGTGAGGAGATTCAGGTGGGCACAGACGGAGTCTGCGACACTCGTGCACGCCACACATCTCAGGGTTATAGTCACTGGTGCTTTTTGCATTTATCTATTTTCCTCGTGGGCTGTGAGCCCCTTGAGGGCAGGCCTGCTTCTTCCATCTTCTGTGTTTGCATCTCCTCTTTCAACACTTAGTACATGGCCAGTGCTCATGTCAATGTTTAATAAATGGATGAATCTGGTCCAACTCCTCCATTCTGCAGATGCAGAGAGGTTGTGCCTAACTTAGCAGAGCTGCTCCCCTAGCAGATTTCAAGAACAGGGACGTGAATCCAGAAGTAAAAATGCAGTGCGGGGTGACATTTCTCCTTTGTCTCCCTTTTCGATTGTTGGCCTGACTGTTCTCTCCTTTGGCTGTCGCTCAGGTATGCATCGTGCAGAAGCGAGACACTAAGAAAATGTATGCAATGAAGTACATGAACAAGCAGAAGTGCATCGAGAGGGATGAGGTTCGGAATGTTTTCCGGGAGCTGCAGATCATGCAAGGGCTGGAGCACCCCTTCCTGGTCAATCTGTGGTGAGTGTGGCTCCATCCAGGGCTCCTGTGGGTTCCCCTGTGGGGAGCCAAATGCAAATTCGCCTCTGCTAGAGGGACTCTTCCGCATTGTAAAGGGAAAGGGATGCAATTTTCTGGGTTCAGTTATTCTTAAGTATTTTGTAGAGTACATTTTCTGATGAAGTCTATAGGCATATGTTTCATTTTCATTTTAATTCTGTCCTCTTATCTGATGAATCAGAGTTGAAAATAAATGGAGAAGTGTTTTGCGTATTTGAGAAGATACGTGGAACGTTATAAGAGAATGCCGAAGATAGGCTACTAAAGGGAGTGGGGAGCTCAGTGTTTCAGAAAGTCACAGCCATACAGCTGATGGCAGGAAGGGCAACTGGAAACCAGTATTCTACTTCAGTACAGATGGCTGCCCATCACGGACGTACCAAATTCGGAATTCTCTATCCTGCCCCCAAAACCTGCCATCACCCATGTTTCAGAACTTTCACTCCAACCCGTCCTTGGCTATTATCTTCACTTTAAATGTGCATCCTAGAAACACATCCTGTTGGTGGTTCCCTGCCTCTGTGCTTTTGCGTGTGAAATATCTTCCTAAAACACTCACGTCCCCTTCTCCAGTGTCCCCTAACCAACACCTGTGCATTCCTGGCACCCAGCTTAGGAAACCCTTAGGTCAAGAGCCCTTGAAGACCCACAGGCCAGCTGAGTGCCCCTCGCGACCTCAGTCTTCTCCTGTGTTTGACCTAATGCCATCTTTATCACAGTGAACCCAGGTTATTGGGTTACTTATCTGTCCTCACACAGAAATTGCTTGTTTCTGGGTAGTCTAACACAGTATCTGACACATTGGAGGGACTTAGCAAATGTTTCCTAAGCTGGATTGTGTTGAAGGGGAGAGGGAGGACAGGCCGCTTTAGGAAACAAATTCTGACCATTTCATTCAGCGGATCAGTTGACCCACTGACCTTAAGAGTTGGGATGGCCACCCTGGAGGGGTAAGTCTAGCTTTGCACATACTTGACCACCACTGATTTCAGTTGCCCTGCACACTTAGAAGCACTTTGAACATTGGATGATAGGAGAACAAAGAGGAACACAGATTGTCCCATCTGAGAAAATCAAGGTGTGCGTGCCAGGTGCCACAGACATGGGCATTGCCATGGAGAAAACCCAAACCAAACCTTGTCTGCTGGAGTCTCAGTATCCACCGAGAGTTCTTCGTGTCTCTGTGCAGTGATCTAAAAACTTTGATTGTTTGGGAGAAATAAACCCCGTCATGTTTTGATTGCTATGCAAGGGAATTTTCTAAAGTAAATCTTTAATCCGAACAGCAATATGTGTTCTTGGCAAAATATAGAAAATAAAATACGTCAGAAAACAAAAATTACCCAGAAGCTCTTCAGACTCAGATTAAATTTTGGTGTGTAATTATTTTTATACTCCTTTTCTTGTATTTTTTTTCATATCAATGACATATAACTGTATGTGTTATTGATATATAAACATTCAGAGAAATTTTGTATTCCATTTTCTGAATTAATATCTGGCGGGAGCGCTACCTCCTTGTTACTGCAAACTCTTTGTAAATCATTTTTAATGGCTACATAATATTCCACTAAGGAAAAGCACAATAAGCCATCTAATCGAACCTTCATTCTGTCATGTGGGTTACTTGGGCTGTTTCTAATTATTTTGCCAATGTAAATACTGCTGAGATGATTATCTCTGAACCTGAAGTTTTTCAGGTGGGACTCCTTAAGGTGGACTAAGAAGATCAGATGCCTAGTGGAGCTTGTATGATGTATGTTAAAGGAAAGGAATGTGTTGGAGTAGCCTTTACTTAGGCACCTTTTTTTATTTTTATTTTTATTTTTATTATTATACTTTAAGTTTTAGGGTACATGTGCACAACGTGCAGGTTTGTTACATATGTATACATGTGACTTGTTGGTGTGCTGCACCCATTAACTCGTCATTTAACATTAGGTATATCTCCTAATGCTATCGCTCCCCCGTCCCCCCACCCCACAACAGTCTCTGGAGTGTGATGTTCCCCTTCCTGTGTCCATGTGTTCTCATTGTTCAATACCCACCTATGAGTAAGAACATGCAGTGTGTGGTTTCTTGTCCTCGTGATAGTTTGCTGAGAATGATGGTTTCCAGCTTCATCCATGTCCCTACAAAGGACATGAACTCATCATTTTTAATGGCTGCATAGTATTCCATGGTGTATATGTGCCACATTTTCTTAATCCAGTCTATCATTGTTGGACATTTGGGTTGGTTCCAAGTCTTTGCTATTGTGAATAGTGCCGCAGTAAACATACGTGTGCATGTGTCTTTATAGCAGCATGATTTATAATCCTTTGGGTATATACCCAGTAATGGGATGGCTGGGTCAAATGGTATTTGTAGTTCTAGATCCCTGAGGAATCGCCACATTGACCTCCACAATGGTTGAACTAGTTTACAGTCCCACCAACAGTGTAAAAGTCCTATTTCTCCACATCCTCTCCAGCACCTGTTGTTTCCTGACTTTTTAATGATCTCCATTCTAACTGGTGTGAGATGGTATCTCATTGTGGTTTTGATTTGTATTTCTCTGATGACCAGTGATGATGAGCATTTTTTCATGTGTTTTTTGGCTGCATAAATGTCTTCTTTTGAGAAGTGTCTGTTCATATCCTTTGCCCACTTTTTGATGGGGTTGTTTGTTTTTTTCTTGTAAATTTGTTTGAGTTCATTGTAGATTCTGGATATTAGCCCTTTGTCAGATGAGTAGGTTGCGAAAATTTTCTCCCATTCTGTAGGTTGCCTGTTCACTCTGATGGTGGTTTCTTTTGCTGTGCAGAAGCTCTTTAGTTTAATGAGATCCCATTTGTCAATTTTGGCTTTTGTTGCCATTGCTTTTGGTGTTTTAGACATGAAGTCCTTGCCCATGCCTATGTCCTGAATGGTATTGCCTAGGTTTTCTTCTAGGGTTTTTATGGTTTTAGGTCTAACATGTAAGTCTTTAATCCATCTTGCATTAATTTTTGTATAAGGTACAAGGAAGGTGTCCAGTTTCAGCTTTCTCCATATGGCTAGCCAGTTTTCCCAGCACCATTTATTAAGTAGGGAATCCTTTCCCCATTGCTTGTTTTTCTCAGGTTTGTCAGAGATCAGATAGTTGTAGATACATGGCATTATTTCTGAGGGCTCTATTCTGTTCCATTGGTCTGTATCTCTGTTTTGGTACCAGTTGCATTCTGTCTTGGTTACTGTAGCCTTGTAGTATGGTTTGAAGTCAGGTAGCGTGATGCCTCCAGCTTTGTTCTTTTGGCTTAGGATTGACTTGGCAATGTGGGCTCTGTTTTGGTTCCATATGAACTTTAAAGTAGTTTTTTCCAATTCTGTGAAGAAAGTCATTGGTAGCTTGATGGGGATGGCATTGAATCTATAAATTACCTTGGGCAGTATGGCCATTTTCACGATGTTGATTCTTCCTACCCATGAGCATGGAATGTTCTTCCATTTGTTTGTATCCTCTTTTATTTCATTGAGCAGTGGTTTGTAGTTCTCCTTGAAGAGGTCCTTCACATCCCTTGTAAGCTGGATTCCTAGGTATTTTATTCTCTTTGAAGCAATTGAGAATGGGAGTTAACTCATGATTTGGCTCTCTGTTTGTCTGTTGTTGGTGTATAAGAATGCTTGTGATTTTTGTACATTGATTTTGTATCCTGAGACTTTGCTGAAGTTGCTTATTAGGTTAAGGAGATTTTGGGCTGAGACAATGGGGTTTTCTAGATATACAATCATGTCGTCTGCAAACAGGGACAATTTGACTTCCTCTTTTCCTAATTGAATACCCTTTATTTCCTTCTCCTGCCTGATTGCCCTGGCCAGAACCTCCAACACTATGTTGAATAGGAGTGGTGAGAGAGGGCATCCGTGTCTTGTGCCAGTTTTCAAAGGGAATGCTTCCAGTTTTTGTCCATTCAGTATGATATTGGCTGTGGGTTTGTCATAGATAGCTCTTATTATTTTGAGATATGTCCCATCAATACCTAATTTATTGAGAGTTTTTAGCATGAAGGGTTGTTGAATTTTGTCAAAGGCCTTTTCTGCATCTATTGAGATAACCATGTGGTTTTTGTCTTTGGTTCTGTTTATATGCTGGATTACGTTTATTGATTTTCATATGTTGAACTAGCCTTGCATCCCAGGGATGAACCCCACTTGATCATGGTGGATAAGCTTTTTGATGTGCTGCTGGATTCGGTTTGCCAGTATTTTATTGAGGATTTTTGCATCAAGGTTCATCAAGGATATTGGTCTAAAATTCTCTTTTTTGGTTGTGTCTCTGCCAGGCTTTGGTATCAGGATGATACTGGCCTCATAAAATGAGTTAGGGAGGATTCTGTCTTTTTCTATTGATTGGAATAGTTTCAGAAGGAATGGTACCAGTTCCTCCTTGTACCTCTAGTAGAATTCGGCTGTGAATCCGTCTGGTCCTGGAATTTTTTTAGTTGGTAAGCTATTAATTATTGCCTCAATTTCAGATCCTGTTATTGGTCTATTCAGAGATTCAAATTCTTCTTGATTTAGTCTTGGGAGAGTGTATGTGTCGAGGAATTTATCCATTTCTTCTAGATTTTCTAGTTTATTTGCGTAGAGGTGTTGATAGTATTCTCTGATAGTAGTTTGTATTTCTGTGGGATCGGTGGTGATATCCCCTTTGTCATTTTTATTGTGTCTATTGGATTCTTCTCTCTTTTCTTCTTTATTAGTCTTGCAGTCTATCAATTTTGTTGATCTTTCAAAAAACCAGCTCCTGGATTCATTGATTTTTTGAAGGTTTTTTTGTGTCTCTATTTCCTTCAGTTCTGCTCTGATCTTAGTTATTTCTTGCCTTCTCCTAGCTTTTGAATGTGTTTGATCTTGCTTCTCTAGTTCTTTTAATTGTGATGTTAGCGTGTCAATTTTGGATCTTTCCTGCTTTCTCTTGTGGGCATTTAGTGCTATAAATTTGCCTCTACACACTGCTTTGAATGTGTCCCAGAGATTCTGGTATGTTGTGTCTTTGTTCTCATTGGTTTCAAAGAACATCTTTATTTCTGCCTTCATTTCGTTATGTACCCAGTAGTCATTCAGGAGCAGGTTGTTAAGTTTCCATGTAGTTGAGCGGTTTTGAGTGAGTTTCTTAATCCTGAGTTCTAGTTTGATTGCACTGTGGTCTGAGAGACAGTTTGTTATAGTTTCTGTTCTTTTACATTTGCTGAGGAGTGCTTTACTTCCAACTATGTGGTCAATTTTGGAATAGGTGTGGTGTGGTGCTGAAAAGAATGTATATTCTGTTGATTTGGGGTGGAGAGTTCTGTAGATGTCTATTAGGTCTCCTTGGTGCAGTGCTGAGTTCAATTCCTGGATATCCTTGTTAACTTTTTGTCTCATTGATCTGTCTAATGTTGACAGTGGGATGTTAAAGTCTCCTATTATTATGGTGTGGGAGTCTAAGTCTCTTTGTAGGTCACTAAGGACTTGCTTTATAAATCTGGGTGCTCCTGTATTGGGTGCATATATATTTAGGGTAGTTAGTTCTTGTTGAATTGATCCCTTTACCATTATGTAATGGCCTTCTTTGTCTCTTTTGATCTTTGTTGGTTTAAAGTCTGTTTTATCTGAGACTAGGATTGCAACCCCTGCCTTTTTTTGTTTTCCATTTTCTTGGTCGATCTTCCTCCATCTTTCTATTTTGAGCCTATGTGTGTCTCTGCATGTGAGATGGGTTTCCTGAATACAGGACACTGATGGGTCTTGACTCTTTATCCAGTTTGCCAGTTTGTGTTTTTTAATTGGAGCATTTAGCCCATTTACATTTAAGGTTAATATTGTTATGTGTGAATTTGATCCTGTCATTATGATGTTAGCTGGTTATTTTGCTCGTTAGTTGATGCAGTTTCTTCCTAGCCTCGATGGTCTTTACAATTTGGCATGTTTTTGCAGTGGCTGATACCGGTTGTTCTTTTCCATGTTTAGTGCTTCCTTCAGGAGCTCTTTTAGGGCAGGCCTGGTGGTGACAAAATCTCTCAGCATTTGTTTGTCTGTGAATTATTTTATTTCTCCTTCACTTATGCAGCATAGTTTGGCGGGATATGAAATTCTGGGTTGAAAATTCTTTTATTTAAGAATGTTGAATATTGGCCTCCACTCTCTTCTGGCTTGTAGAGTTTCTGCCGAGAGATCAGCTGGTAGGTTGATGGGCTTCCCTTTGTGGGTAACCCGACCTTTCTCTCTGGCTGCCCTTAACATTTTTTCCTTCATTTCAACTTTGGTGAATCTGACAATTATGTATCTTGGAGTTGCTCTTCTCGAGGAGTATCTTTTTGGCATTCTCTGTGTTTCCTGAATTTGAATGTTGGCCTGCCTTGCTAGATTGGGGAAGTTCTCCTGGATAATATCCTGCAGAGTGTTTTCCAACTTGGTTCCATTTTCCCTGTCACTTTCAGGTACACCAATCAGATGTAGATTTGGTCTTTTCACATAGTCCCATATTTCTTGTAGGCTTTGTTAGTTTCTTTTATTCTTTTTTCTCTAAAGTTCCCTTCTCGCTTCATTTCATTCATTTCATCTTCCATCGCTGATACCCTTTCTTCCCGTTGATTGCAACGGTTACTGAGGCTTGTGCATTCGTCACGTAGTTCTCGTGCCGTGGTTTTCAGCTCCATCAGGTCCTTTAAGGACTTCTCTGCATTGGTTATTCTAGTTAGCCATTCGTCTAATTTTTTTTTTCAAGTTTTTTAACTTCTTTGCCGTTGCTTCAAACTTCCACCTTCAGCTCGGAGTAGTTTGATCTTCTGAAGCCTTCTTCTCTCAACTCGTCAAAGTTATTCTCTGTCCAGCTTTGTTCCATTGCTGGTGAGGAGCTGCGTTCCTTTGGAGGAGAAGAGGCACTCTGATTTTTAGAGTTTCCAGTTTTTCTGCTCTGTTTTTTCCTCATCTTTTTGGTTTTATCTACCTTTGGTCTTTGACGATGGTGATGTACAGATGGGTTTTTGGTGTGGATGTCTTTCTGTTTTTTAGTTTTCCTTCTAACAGTCAGGACCCTCAGCTTTAGGTCTGTTGGAGTTTAATGGAGGTCCACTCCAGACCCCGTTTCCCTGGGTATCAGCAGCAGTGGCTGCAGAACAGCAGGTATTGGTGAACCGCAAATGCTGCTGCCTGATCGTTCCTCTGGAAGTTTTGTCTCAGAGGAGTACCCGGCCGTGTGAGGTGTCAATCTGCCCCTACTGGGGGGTGCCTCCCAGTTAGGCTACTTGGGGATCAGGGACCCACTTGAGGAGGCCGTCTGCCTGTGCTCATATCTCCAGCTGCATGCTGGGAGAACCACTACTCTGTTCAAAGCTGTCAGACAGGGACATTTAAGTCTGCAGAGGTTACTGCTGCCTTTTGTTTGTCTTTGCCCTGCCCCCAGAGGTGGAGCCTACAGAGGCAGGCAGGCCTCCTTGAGCTGTGGTGGGCTCCACCCACTCGAGCTTCCCAGCTGCTTTGTTTACCTACGCAAGCCTTGGCAATGGTGGGCGCCCCTCCCCAAGCCTCGCTGTGGCCTTGCAGTTAGATCTCAGACTGCTGTGCTAGCAATGAGCGAGGCTTTGTGGGTGTAGGACCCTCTGAGCCATGTGCGGGATATAATCTCCTGGTGTGCCGTTTGTTGCGCCCATTGGAAAAGCGTAGTATTAGGGTGGGAGTGACCCGATTTTCCAGGTGCCGGCTGTTACCCCTTTCTTTGTCTGGGAAAGGGAATTCTCTGACCCGTTGCACTTCCCAGGTGAGGCGATGCCTCGCCCTGCTTTGGTTCACGCATGGTGTGCTGCACCCACTGTTCTGCACCCACTGTCCGGCACTCCCCAGTGAGATGAACCCGGTACCTCAGTTCGAAATGCAGAAATCACCGGTCTTCTGCGTTGCTTACATTGGGAGCTGTAGACTGGAGCTGTTCCTATTCGGCCATCATCTTTTTTTTTTTTTTTTTTTTTTAAGATGGAGTTTCACTCTTGTCACCCAGGCTGGAGTGCAATGGTGCAATCTCGGCTCATTGCAACCTCCACCTCCAAGGTTTAAGTGATTCTCCTTCCTCAAACTCCCAAGTAGCTGGGATTACAAGCGCCTGCCACCACACGCAGTTAATTTTTGTGTTCTTAGTAAAGACAGGATTTCACCACATTGGCCAGGCTGGTCTCAAGCTCCTGACCTCAGGTGATCTGCCCACCTCAGCCTCCCAAAGTACTGGGATTACAAGCATGAGTCACTGTGCCCAGCCTTAGGCACCATTTCTTGATCCTCTGTTCATGGTCCTCAAGACACCAACAGATTAGTGACAGATGCCCTTTGGTTACATGACAGGGCTGGGTATATAAGAAAATTATCTGCAAATGTCAGCCTCTGGTGGCTTTTATTTTATTTCTATCATAAGCAAGAAAGGGGTGAGCCTACTGCTTGACTTTGGAGTCACCCCTCAGACTCTCTGGGCCTCAACTTCCTCACTTGTCATAATGACATTATAATGCCTTGTTTACCGCTAGGAGTGTTTTGAGAATTAACTGAAAAGAAGACATGAAAGTATATTTTCTGTAAGTAAAAATATTGTTCACCGTAAGAGGTTATATATGTGTGTATGTGTATTAGTTCACTCTTATACTGCTATAAAGAACTGCCCAAGACTGGGTGATTTATAAAGGAAAGAAGTTTAATTGACTCACAGTTCTGCGTGGCTGGGGAGGCCTCAGGAAACTTATAATCAGGGCAGAAGGCAAAGGAGAAGCCGGCACCTTCTTCACAGGGCAGCAGGATGGAGTGAGTGCCAGTGGGGAAAATGTCAGATGCTTATAAAACTATCAGATCTTATGAGAACTCAGTATCACCAGAACAGCATGGGGGAAACCACCCTCATGATTTAATTGCCTCCCACTAGGTCCCTCCCATGACATGTGGGCATTATAGGGATTACAGTTCACGATGCGACTTGAGTGGGGACACAGCCAAACCATATCATTCTGCCCCTGGTCCCTCCCAGATCTCATGTCCTCACATTTCAAAGCACAATCATGCCTTCCCAACAGTCCCCCAAAGTCTTAACTTATTCCGGCATTAACTCAAAAGTCCAAGTCCAAAGTCTCATCTGCGACAAGGCAAGTCCCTTCCACCTATGAGCCTGTAAAATCAAAAGCAAGTTAATTACTTCCTAGATACAATAGGGTACAGGTATTAGGTAAATATACCCATTCCAAATGGGAGAAATTGGCCAAAACAGGGGGGCTACATGCCCCACACAAGTCCAAAATCCAACAGGGCAGTCATTAAACCTTTAAGTTCCAAAATGATCTCCTTTGACTTCATGCCTCACATCCAGGTCATGATGATGCAAGAGTTGGGCTCCCCAGGCCTTGGGCAGCTCTGCCTCTGTGGCTTTGCAGGGTACAGCCTCCTTCCCAGCTGTTTTCACAGGCTGGCACTGAGTATCTGTGACTTTTCCAGGTGCATGGTCCAATTTGTCAGTGTATCTGCCATTCTGGGGTCTGGAGGACAGTGGCTGTCTTCTTACAGCTCCACTAGGCAGTGCCCCAGTGGGGACTCTGTGTGGGGGCTCTGCTCCCACATTTCCCTTCTGCATTGCCCTAGCAGAGGTTCTCCATAAGGGCTCTGCCCCTGCAGCAGACTTCTGCTTGGAGATCCAAGTGTTTCTATACATCCTCTGAAATCTAGGCAGAGGTTCACAAACCTCAGTTCTTGATTTCTATGCATCCATATGCCCAACACCACATGTAAGCCACCAAGGCTTGGGGCTTGCACCCTCTGAAACAACAGCCTGACCTGAACTTTGGCCTTTCTTAGCTACAGCTGGGACACAGGTCACCAGCTTTCAAGACTGCACAAAAAACAAGGCCCTGGGCCTGGCCCATGAAACTATTTTTCCCCCATAGGCCTCTGGGCCTGTGATGGGAGGGGCTGCTGTGAAGGTCTCTGACATGTCCTGGAGACATTTTCCCCATTGTCTTGGTGATCAGCATTTGGCTCCTCATTACTTATGCAAATTTCTACAGCCGCCTTGAATTTCTTCCCCGAAAATGGGTTTTTCTTTTCTGTCACGTTTTCAGTTTGCACATTTTCCAAACGTTTATGCTCTGCATCCTCTTGAACATTTTGCTGCTTAGAAATTTCTTCTGCCAGATACCCTGAATCATCTCTCTCAAGTTCAAAGTTCCACAGATCTCTAGGGCAAGGGCAACATGCTGACAGTCTCTTTGCTAAAGCATAGCAAGAGTGACCTTTAATCCAGTTCCCAACAGGCCTCTCATCTCCATCTGAGACTACATCAGCCTGGACTTAATTGCCCATATCACTATCAGCATTTTGGGCAAAACCAACAAGTCTCTAGGAGTTTCCAACTTTCCCACATCTTCCTGTCTTCTTCTGAGCCCTCCAATCTGTTGCAACCTCTGCCTGTTGACCAGTTACAAAGTTGCTTCCACATTTTTGGGTGTCCCTATAGCGGTGCCTTACTGCCTCGGTACCAATGTACTGTATTCATCAGTTCTCACGCTGCTATGAAGAAATATCTGAGACTGGATAATTTATAAAGACAAGAGGTTTAACTTACTCTCAGTTCTGCATTGCTGGGGAAGCCTCAGGAAACTTACAATCATTGCAGAAGGCAAAGGAGAAGCAGCCACCTTCTTCACAGGGCAGCAGGATTGAGTGAGTGCCAGTGGGGAAAATGCCAGATGCTTATAAAACCATCAGGTCTTGTGAGAACTCACTCACTCACTATCACGAGAACAGCATAGGGGAAGTTGCCCCATGATTCAAATACATCCCACTGGGTTCCTCCCATGACACATGGGGATTATGGGGATTATAATTCAAGATGAGATTTGGGTGGGGACACAGCCAAACCATATCAGCTATATCAGATAAATAGGTGTATCTATCACTTATTTATATAGTATCCACCTATTATCATATATACATGCCTATATGTATGATGCATAGATGATAAATACATAGATGATAGACAAATGATAGATGATATATTAGATAGATGATACATAAATGATAGACTAGATTAACAGATGATAGATATAGATGATAGATGATTAATAAATAGATGATAGATAAATAGATGATTGATAGGTAGATTGATAGACGATGGCCCTTCAAGCTACAAGTTAAAAGGAGAAAGGTCACCAGATCATTGGTCAGTACTCAGAACTTTGCACACTACAGGGGTCAGGAGTTATTTTGTTATGAAGGAGAAAAACCTAAACTTGCTTAAGCACAAAAGGGAATTGGCTTTTATAACTAAAACATTTAGTCTGAGGGCTGATGTTGGCCTTGCACTGCCTTCTTTTGCTTTCCCCTGTGTTAGCTTTATTTTCAGAGCCACGAGTCACATTGAGCCCTGGCGGGTCCCATTTCTCCTGCCAGCTGAACAGCCCCAGCAGAGGCTGAGGCTTGTGGGCAGTGACAGACCTGGCTCTGGTCACACACCCATTCCTGACACAGTGGAGGACAGTGCAGGAGGTTTGTCCCATTGAGTCTCATGGACAGGCAATGAGGGAAGGGGCTCTCCAGAGGGAAATTCAGAGCTGTTTCCAGAAGAAAACAAGTAGAGTCTGTGTGGCCCCAGGACTGGTGCCTGCTGCCCACATGCCATGTCCTTGTCCAGGAGACTCCATATGAGCCCTGCTCATTTCTCAGAGACAGAAAGCAGGGCCCCAAGCAGTTTGCTATCTTGCCTGAACCATGTGATTTGCAATTCAGACTCAGACAGACTCACCATGTCCTAATGCTTCCAGTTCTTACAGGTGGCTGGCCACTAACATCTCCTGGGCACTTGATATGTGTCTTACTGAACTTCTTTAATTCTCCCAACAGCTATTTTCATTTCCTACCCTTATCCTACCATTTTTGGTCCCATTTTACAGGTGGGACAACTGAGTCATGTCACTAGTAAGTGGAGGAGATGGGACATGAAGCCAGGCTGTCTGGCTTCATGGTCCACTCTGGTCACCTCTCTATCACAGCTGCTGTGATGGGGCCCTGGCCCCTCCCTGCTTGGTACCACACCCTATCTCTTCCCTGATGGATCTCTTCCAGCTGTGCTTCTCTTTGGTGGCCTCTCTCTCCCCAACCAGAAGAGGACACAGTGTGGAATTGCCTGTTGGGGTCATAAGGACACCACCGCTTTATATTAATGATACATCAGCTTTTCATCGCATTACATGGAGGGTGAATTATTGCAGCCTTGGAAACCCTGACTGTACACCTTCTCGTTATTCTTTTTTGCTGACGTGCTCTACAACTGGTAGAGGCAAAGGCCTGCATTGATTAATTTTCATAGCAATTTTTGCCTCTAAAGAACGAATGATTTGTGCTCCTAAGCCTGTGATGACCCAAGTGGAGTTGTCAAGTGCAATATTTTCACTTGTTGTATTGCAAAGCTGTTTTACTCTCTTGGGTTTAAGACAACGAAGGCAAAGGAGAGAGGGAAAGAAAAGCTGCACCCCAGAGAGTGAGGGTGTCCCATGAGTGGGAGCCCTGGTGGGATGGGTGTGGGAGAGGAGGAAAGGTGAGGGGAGAGAAAAGCAGCATGAGTGTTTCAACACTTTGAGGTCTGACCTCCCAGGTTCTCATCCTAGCTCTGCCTCTAGCTGGCTATGATGCTGCTATGGACCAAATTGTGTCCCCCTGCCTCAAATTCATATGTTGAAACCCTAGCCCCCAATGTCACTGTATCTGGAGACAGGATCTGTAAGAGGTAATTACAGCTGAATGAAGTCATAACAGTGAGGCATTAATCTGATAGGACTGTGGTCTTATAAAAAGAAGAGAAAGATGGAGAGTGAGACACACACACACACACACACACACACACACACACACACAGAGATCTCATTAAGGATGCAGCAAGAAAGTTGCCTCTGCTGGCACCCTGAGTTCAGATATCCAGCTTTTAGAACTGTGAGAAATAAATTTCTATTGCTGGAGGCCCCCAATCTATGGTTTTATGTATGGTAACCTAAGGTGACTAATAAAGGTCTCCACTATTACTGCCATTACAGGCATACGTCGGAAATATTGCAGGTTCAGTATCAGAACACAACAAAGCAAATATCACAATAAAGCAAGAAACACAATTTTTTGGTTTGCAGTGTATATAAAAGTTGTTTACGCCATACTGTAGTCGATTAAGTGTGCAATAGAATTATGTCTAAAAAACAAGGTACGTACCATAATTTAAAAATACTTTATTGCTAAAAATGCTAATGATTATCTGAGTCTTCAACAAGTTTTAATCTTTTTGCTGGTGGAGTGTCTTGCCTTGATGTTGACTGATCAGAGCAGTGATTGCTGTGGCAACTTCCTAAAATAAGACAACAAGAAAGTGTGCCACAATGATTAACTCTTCCTTTGACGAAAGATTTCTTTGTAGCATGAGATGCTGTTTGATGGCATTTTACCTGTGGTAGAACTTCTTTCAGAAATACAGTCAATCCTTTAAAACTCTGCTGCTGATTTCTCAACTGAGTTTATGTGATATTCTAAATCCTTTGTTATTGATTCAGAAATATTCATGGCATCTTCATATGGAGCAGCTTCCATCTTCAGAAACTACTTTCTTTGTTCATTCATAAGAATCAACTCCTCACCTGTTCAAGTGTGGTCATGAGATTGCAACAATTCAGTGATATCTTCCAGCTCTACTTCTAATTCTAGTTCTCTTGCTACTTACACCACATCTGCAGTAACTCCCTCCACTGAAGTCTTGAACCTGTCAAAGTCACCCCTGAAGGTTGAGTAAATTTCTTCTAAACTCCTGTTAATGGTGATATTTTGACCGCCCATGAATCACAGATGTTCTTAATGGCATCTAGAATGGCAAATTCTTTCCAGAAGATTTTCAATTTACTTTGCCCAGATCCATCAGCAGAATCATGATCACTGGCAGCTGTAGCCTTACAAAATGTCCTTTTTTTTTCCTTTTTTTTTGTTTTTTGAGACAGAGTCTCGCACTGTTGCCCAGGGTGGAGTGCAGTGATGCGATCTCAGCTCACTGCAACCTCTGCCTCCCGGGTTCAAGAGATTTTCCTGCCTCAGCCTCCTGAGTAGCTGGGACTACAGGTGGCCGCCACCATGCCTGGCTATTTGTATTTTTAGTAGAGATGGGGTTTCACCATGTTGGCCAGGCTGGTCTCGAACTCCTGACCTCAGGTAATCTGCCTGCCTCGGCCTCTCAAAGTGCTGGGATTACAGATGTGAGCCACTGCGCCCAGCCCCAAAATGTACTTCTTAAATAATAAGATGTGAAGGTCAAGATTACTCCTTGATCCATGGGCTGCAGGATAGATGTTATGTTAGCAGGCATGAAAACAACATTCATGTCTTGTACATCTCCATTAGAGCTCTTGAGTGACCAGGTGTATTGTCAACAAGCAGTAATATTTTGAAAGGAATCTTGCTTTCTGAGCAGTAGTATTGTTTTCTCAATAGTGAGCTTAAAATATTTAGAAAACCATTCTGTAATCAGATGTGCTGTCTTCCAGGCTTTGTTGTTCCATTTATAGAATACAAGCAGAATAGATTTAGCAAAATTCTTAAGGACCCTGGGATTTTTTGAATGGTAAGTGAGCATTGGCTTCAACTTAAAGTCACCGACTGCATTAGCCCCTAGCAAGAGTCGGCCTGTTTTTTGAAGCTTTAAAACCAGGCATTGGCCGGGCATGGTGGCTCACGCCTGTAATCCCAGCACATTGGGAACCCGAGGCAGGCAGATCACCTGAGGTCAGGAGTTCAAGACCAGCCTGACCAGCATGGAGAAACCCCATCTCTACTAAAAATACAAAATTAGCTGGGCGTGGTCGTGCATGCCTGTAATCCCACCTACTTGGGAGGCTGAGGCAGGAGAATCGCTTGAACTGAGGAAGCAGGGGTTGCAGTGAGCTGAGATTGCACCACTGCACTCCAGCCTGGGCAAAAAGAGCAAAACTCCATCTCAAAAAAAAAAAAAAATTAAATTAAAAAATAAAATAAAACCGGCCATTGAATTCTTTCTAGATGTTAAAGTCCTAGATGGCATCTACCTCCAATACTTGTACGAAGTGAGATGGGGGATGGCCAGTGAGTGGAGCATTCAGAACACACACAACATTTATTAAGTTCGCCTCCTTATTTAAGTGTAAGGCTGTTTTGTTTAATTGAAAAATCTGTTGTTTGGTGTAGCCACCTTTGTCAATGACCGTAGCAAGATATTCTAAGTAACTTGCTACAGCTTCTCCATCACACTTTCTGCTTCACTTTGCATTTTTATGTCCTGGAAACAGCTTTTTTCCCCTTTAAACCTCCTGAACCAACCTCTGCTACCTTTCAGCTTTTCTTCTGCAGCTTCCTCACCTCTTTCAGCCTTCATAAAATTGAAGAGAGTTGGGAACTTGCTCTGGATTAGGCTTTGGCTTAAGGGGATGTTGTGGCGAGTTTGATTTTCTATCCAGACCACTCAAACTTTCTCCGTATCAGCAGTTAGGCAGTTTCTCTTCTTTATCATTGTTATGTTCACTGGAGTAGCACTTTTAAGTTCCTTCAGTAACTTTTTCTCTGCATTCAGAACTTGGCTAACTGCTCGGCAAAAGAACCCCAGCTTTTAACCTATTTTGGCTTTTCACATGCCTTCCTCACTAAGCTTAATTATTTCTGGCTTTTGATTTAAATTGAGAGACATAGGAATCTTCCTTTCACTTGAGCACTCAGAGGCCATTGTAGTGTTATTGCTTGGCCTAATTTCAGTATTGTTGTGTCTCAGGGAATAGGGAGACCCAAGGGGAGGGAGTGAGGTAGGGGAACAACCAGCGATGGAGCATTCAGAACATGCACAACATTTATTGATTACATTTACCTTCTTATATGGGTGCAGCTCATGATGCCCCAAAACAATTGTAGTAGTAATATCAAAGATTATTGATCACTTTGGGAGGCTGAGGCAGGTGGATCCCTTGAGGTCAGGAGTTCCAAACCAGTCTGGCCAACATGGTGAAACCCTGTCTCTACCAAAAATACAAAAGTTAGCTGGGCGTGGTGGTGCATGCCTGTAATCCCAGCTACTTGGGAGGCTGAGGCAGGAGAATTGCTTGAACCCGGGAGGCAGAGGTTGCAGTGAGCTGAGATCGCACCACTGCATTCCAGCCTGGTGACAGAGCGAGACTGTCTCAAAAAAAAAAAAAGAAGAAGAAGAAGAAAAAGAAAACAAAGATCACTGCCATAACAAATACCATAATAATGAAAAAAGTTGAAATATTCCAAGAATTATCAAAATGTGACAGAGACACAAAGTGAGCACATGCTGTTGGAAAACATGGCACCGATGGATGTGCTTGATGCAGGGTTGCCGTGCACCTCCACTTTGTGAAATATGCAGGATCTGCTAAGTGCTGTCAAGAGAAGCACAGGAAAATGAGGCGTGCCTGTGTTAGCACTTGTCCTTTGAGGCTGGCCTCTGGCTGGTTGAGCACCTGAGGTGAGGTTGCTCCCTGTTTCCGTGTGACTACGTGTTCTCTCCTTCTCCTCCAGCGTCAGACGTGAGGACACGGCCTTTTGGAAAATGTGTCTTGCGTTTTTAGCATTAGACTGTTATCCTGATTGAATGTTAATGGGTCAGTAGTTCATTCATGTGTTCGGACTGCATTTTCAAAATCCATTTCTACTTACCTAATTGGCTGTATTTACTAGACTCACTGTTAATCTGTTTTGTTTAAAACCGGAGGAGGGAGGCATCTGTCCCTGTCTATTGCCTAAACAACCGAGAGAATGAATGAACATTCTCAGGATGAGAACAGATGTCAGAAGTTAGTTTAAATGGCTCTCAGGGCAATGTAGGTTTCTAGAATCATTTTTGAGTTGCAATGGACTGAGTCAGTACACGGATATCTACCTGCCAGTCTAAGCCAAGAAACAATCACTTAAATCAGAGGCTACATTTTAAGTGTTGAGAGCTTTGATTAAAATAAAACTATATTAAGTATTTGAAGGCAGAGCCGATCTGGCTGAAGTAGTGGAGGGCAGGGAAAGGGACGTGGGGGAGGACAGAGACTGGAAGGCATCAGGGAAACCTTTGACAAAGCTTCTCAGCCTTATAAACAATTGCTAGATGCTGAGCAGTGTCATTTCCACAGAAGCAATTGTCCCTAGCCTGAACTGTTGCTATAGGCTCCTAACTACTGTTTCAATGCCCAGCCAGTTACCCATCACCCACGTGCCCTTCACAGGACAGGTCTTATCAAAGCGTAAGTCTGTGCCTACCACGCCTCTGCATAAAATACCACAATGGCTCCCGAAGCCCTCAGAATGAACGTCTTTCTGTGATCTAGCCTGTAACACTATGTACAGTCTCATCCCCTGACACCCACCCCTACTACCATCTTGGGCCATTTTTGTTCTCGTCCATACTAACTGGTTTGTGGGTGATCTGTCATACATCCTACTGTTCTCATCTCTCCAGGCCTCTGCTCAGGCTGTGCCCTCTGCCTGGAACACCGTCTGTTCTTCGGTCACTGCGAGAACTCCTGCTCATCCTCCACAGGAATTCATTCATTAAGTCGCTATTCACTGGGCTCTTATTGGGTACCAGGCACTGTTCCAATTTCTAAGGGTGCAGTGGTGAAGACAGTCAGTATGGCTCCTGTCCTCTTGGAGTTCATAGTCCAGGCCTCACCTCCTCCATCAGCCCTCCTCGGGACACCAGCCCCAGACAGTGGTGCTTTCTCGCAGATCCTGTTATGGCATAAAGGCAGCTCTGTCACGGTTATCTGCTGGGGTGTGTGTTTCCTCCGTGAGCAGTGGGCCGCTTGAGGAAGGGGACCATACCTTATTCATCTCTGTCTCCCTAGCATCTGACGTTCAGTAGATTAATTTATGTAGTGCTGTTAAGGGCCCCTGACATGCCAAATGCTGTGCTAGACCCTGGTGGCAGAACTGTGAGGAAGACAGTTCCTCCCTGTCTTACAGGTGAGAGAAGACAGATGCTAACCAGCAGTCGCTTATCTCGCTTGCTCTCTTCCCTCCATCTGGGATGGTTATCGTGCTTTGGTGTCCTGGGTTAACTTAAAAACTATAGAGATTTCAAACACCCACCATGCCCTGGAGGGTTAAGTGATATCCTGGTCCATCCCCAACACACAGAGATGGAGAATGTCCCTGGGGTTTTCCCAGTTCCAATTAGCGATGTCTTCATCAGTCTCCAGCGCCTCCTCGACATACCCATCCCCATGGTAACACCCATAAATAGAGGGTTAAGAGGCGAGGCTCTCCTATCTAGAGTCCCTCTCTCATTCTTGACTGTTCCAGCATTTGTAGCACCATGGAAACTTCATCTTATGCTTTAAAGATACCAGGTGTGTAATGTTTTCTTTGTAAGTGACATGAGTTTGTTATTCTTCAGGGGGCAGGATTGGCAGCTGTGAGTGTGGGTCACAGGATGCACCTGCCCGCACTCCGACACTCAGGGGGCCTGTGCTGAGCTGTTCAGAGGGCTGCATGAGGAGCCAGAGGACACGCAGTACAAAAACAGGAATTGGGGAAAACACAGCTGGGCTTGGGGGATTGGCTGTGGTGTGTCAGGCAGTTCCTGCAGGTGAGTGAGGGAATCCGTCCAGTAGTCAGAGAAGCCATGGGGTTTACCCAGGGTCACGTGGAAGAGCCAGGATTCTTCCAGACCTGTGGGCTGTGTGTGGGGTACTCCGCTTCTCCCGCACCACAACACAGCACCTTCTTGTGCCCGTTTTCCTGACTGCTCTTCATGCTTTCCCAAGGGTCTTCTGAACCAGGACTCTCTTGGTCCATGGGGAATTAGTAAATTTATCCCACACCTATTCAGTAATAGTAGTACCAGTACCATTTGTCCATCACCTACAGCACATGGCTCTTTGCATATTTTATCTGGATTAATCCTCAGAACCATCGTGCAAGGTGGATGTTACTGTCTCGTTTACAGCTGGAAAAGCTGAAGACTAGTGGATTAAGTTATTTGTGCAAAATATATAGCCAACAAGAGTCAGTACTGGGATTAAAAGCAATGGTGTGCTGGTAAATGCTTAACAACCAGCTCTCCAGGATGGGGTGTGTCGGGGCAGGGTGGCAGGGGCCGGGCGGGGGAGGGGGGGGACAAGCCCTGTTTGCCAATTTCCATGGTGTAAATAGTTTCTCATAATGGTTGATTTCAAACTAACAATATGGTGTCAGCCAGCCTGCAACATTTCTGAAGATTTAGCATTTGATTATGATGAGCTAGTATAAGCCGGCTCCCGCACAACTCTGCCAGACTCAGATCTAACACCAAAGCCTATGCTCTTTCTAAAGCCAACTTCTGTGAGTTAGGCCCAAAGCTAAGCCTCAAAAATAACAAGATGAGTAAGTGATGGATGCTACTCTGAGGGAGAGGAAGGAAGCGTGGTTATTATACTCAACAATGTAGTAGACGTGGAAAATGGCCTTTCCTCTTCCTAGGTGTGTACCCCTTGAAAGCCTCAGTTTCCTCGTGTAGGGCGCGCCTACAGCTCCCTCCCTTTCATGCTTTGTGAGCTTCAAATTAAAGGAGACCCCGTGCATGAAAGCCCTGTGGAAAAGATAATTTGCTGGAGCAGCATACATTATTATTCTTCCTTCTGAGAAAAACCAAAGTGTGAATAATATCCTATAAATTTGCTGGAGAGTTCATCACGTGCATGAAATTGCTAGTGGGAGGTGGCGGCTGTGCAGATGGAGGCCACGATGCTCGATGACCGAGCAATTTTATGTGAAGCTCACATCCCAAAGAGCCGCAGAAATAGCATTCGCATGTAATACATTTTAATGGGAAGTATTCACCTGCTGTAGTGAGCTTAATTAAATTGGAAACTGTGGTGCCCTTGATCCTCAAGTGTTTGAAAGTCACATGGCAGCTCCCCATGGTTTCCCTGACGTCAGGCGCACATGCCCCTTCTCCGACCCACCTCCCACCCCTGCTAGGTCTTTGCACTCACTGTTCTCTCTGCCTGGGTGATTTTCTCTGGAAATCTGCAAGGCATACCCCTTCGCTTCCTTCAGATCTCTGTCTACTGTCAGCTTACATTTCAGGTCTTTCTCGGACCTCTTAAAATTGTAAGCTGCTCCCTACCTTGGCTGTCCCTAACCCACTTCCTGTGTGGCTACACTTTCACCTGGGAACACAATATACATTTTAATTATCTTGTTTATTTTCTATGCCCCTTTCTCCCCCTACACACAACTAGAAGAAAGATGTCTCTCCATGAGGATGATAACTGCCATCTTTTTTTTTTTTTTCTAAGAAGACTTTAAGAAAAACTGGTGTAACATGGACACAGGGCAGGGAACATCACACACTGGGGCCTGTCAGGGGGTGGGGGGCTGGGGGAGGAATAGCGTTAGGAGAAATACCTAATGTAAATGATTAGCCAATGAGTGCAGCAAACCAACATGGCACATGTATACCTATGTAACAAACCTGCACGTTGTGCACGTGTACCCTAGAACTTAAGGTATAATTTAAAAAAAAAAAAGAAAAACAGATGTAAAAGTTCACAGCAAAATTAAGAGGAGATTTCCCATGCACCTGCTGCCCCCACCCATGCAGCACTTCCCCCACCACAGTGGTATAATTTTTACCTTTGATGAACCTACGGTGGCACATCACTATCACCCAGGATCCATGGTATACATTAGGGTCTGCTCTTGGTGTTATACATTCTGTAGGTGTGGACAAATGTATAATGATGTGTATTCACCACTGTAGTGACATACGGAGCAATGTCACTGCTCTAAAACCCTCTGTGATCCACTGATTCATCCCTCGTTCCCCTCCACCCTGGCAACAACTGATCTTTTCAGTGTTTTCAGAGTTGTGCCTTGTCCAGAATGTCACATAATTGGAATCATACAGTGTGTAGACTTTTCAGATTGGCTTCTTTCACTTAGCAATATGCGTTTTAGTTTTCTGTATGTCTTTCATGGCTTGATAGCTCATTTCTTTTTAGTGACAAGTAATATTCCATTATCTGTACATGCTACAGTTTATTTACCTGGTAGCCTACCGAAAGACATCTTAGTTGCTTCCAGGTTTTGGCAAGTGTGAATAAACCTGCTTTAAACATCTGTGTGCAAGTTTTTCTGCAGACGTACATTTTCAACTCCTTTGCATAAATACTAAGGAAAATGATTGCTGGATTGTATAGTAAGAGTAGGCTTAGTTTGGTAAGACATTGCCAATCTGTTTTCCAAAATGGCTGTGCCATTTTGGATTCCCACCAGGGAGGAATGAGAGTTCCTGCTGCTCCCTCCACATCCTCGTCAGCACTTGGAGTTGTCAGTGTTTGGATTTTGTTCACTCCAGTAGGCGTGTAGTGGTATTCCGTTGTTTCAATTTGCATGTCCTCTGCATTTTTACCACTCTATTCCCAGCATTCAGAACCATGGCTGGCATCTAGTAGTTGCTCAGTAAGTAGTTGTCGAATGAACCAATTGAAAGAATAAATGTCCTTGTCTTCCCCACAAATCATATGTGGAGAGCGTACATGATCAGCTCACTTGGTTACTCACTCACACCGACCCACACTGAACTGGAAACCAGAATCAGAATAGAACACGTTAGTCCTCTAAACCCAAAAGAAATGCTTTTGCTAGCCTGTACATTGACTAAAAAACTGGGATTTTGACCTCCATACCTCTGATTCAGGGTAAGTTTGTGAAGGGAAGGAAAGGAAGTAACCTTGTATATGTTGGTGGGTAATGGTGATGATTTTCATAGCTAACATTTATTAAGCACTTATGGGGTATCTGACACTCTGCCAAAATTTCACAGGCATCATCTCATTCGTTCTTCACCAGACCCCTGTTAGGCTGGAACTTTGCTTCTCCATTTTGCAGAGGAGACAATTGAGGCAGAGGGAGGTTAGAAAACCTGTAGAGGAGTGGGCCACGTGCTTGACTAGTGCGATCAGAGTGCCCTGTGCCAGGACACCACACTGCATTTGGTGTCATGGGTTCATTTATTCAACACATTAAGCACCTACTATGTACTGGGCACTGTCCTAAGTACTGGTGATGTATGCAGAGCAAAAGAGTCATAGCTCACCCTGAAGAGTGCCCGCTTTCTCATTCTGGACACGGAGATCGGCAAAACTCAAATCATTATAAACAGAGCTATAATTCAGAATTCCGGCCGGTGTGAATAAGGATGCTCACAGGAAACGCTGAGACTGTGGAGTAAGAGGAACCTTGCCATCCCTTGCAGACATCGGGGCGGCTGTCTGAAGAAGTAGCACCTCTTGGGTTTTGTGACATTGGACACTCGGAGCAGGTCTCCAAGGCAGGTACTATTATAGATGGGGAAACTGAGGCTCAGAGAAGCTAAGTGATTGTCCAGGGCCACATAGTTTGCAGGAAGCGGGCCTGCAATTCATAGCCAGCCTTTGTGACTCCAGAGCCTGCACTCTCTACAACGTAACACTGCCTGCACTTTTCTTCCTGATGCAATCAAAGTTGTTTGAAATTGTGAGGAATTTCAGAGGGAAAACTGAGCCCAGCCAGTGGCATCTTATCTGCTAACTCGAATTTTGACCTTTTCCTTCTCTGGCCCTCTGTTTTCTCTGCTGTGAAGTAAAAACCTTAAACTCTGGTTTTCCCTGGTTTCCATGGTGCCATAGGGGGTCCAGGAAGTTCCTTAGGGTCACTTGGGGGCTAATGGGGTTGAGTTTGTGGACCAGGCCTCTGCCTTGCCTTATCCTGCATTCCTTTTTTTTTTTTGAGACAGAGTCTCGCTCTGTCACCCAGGCTGGAGTGCAGTGGCGCCATCTCGGCTCACTACAAGCTCTGCCTCCCGGGTTCACACCATTCTCCTGCCTCAGACTCCCCAGTAGCTGGGATTACAGGCGCACACCACCACGCCTGGCTAATTTTTGTTGTATTTTTTTAGTAGAGACAGGGTTTCACCATGCTAGCCAGGATGGTCTCAATCTCCTGACCTCGTGATCTGCCCACCTCGGCATCCCAAAGTGCTGGGATTACAGGTGTGAGCCACCGCGCCTTGCCTCCTGCATTCCTTTTTTAACTTGTTGGTGTTCTACATTTGATTTCATTTAAGGAAGGGTTTCTGCTGCTCAAACATTTTGACAGCTGGTAGCCTAGATAGTCTCTCCTGCTCAGCGAGTCTGAAAGTTGACCACCCGCAGCCTGCTTCGTCGGCTGAGAATTGGGCCCAAGCACAGCCAACTTTGATGAGTGGAGATAGATCACTCAGACTATGTGATCAAATCAAAAAAAGAATTACGGGCTTAACAAAATAAATTGCAATTTGTAGAATTGAAGGCAGCACATGAATGGTTAAAGAAAAATGTCCTATTCCAAATCCATATTAACTACTGTGCTCCCAGGTCCATGACCGGCACGGGCTGAGGGAGGGGGAATACAACAGGGGCATGGCACATGCTCCCTGCAACCCCACTCACCTTCCCTGTCCAACCAGAGGCTGCACAGTGCCTCAGGGCATCAGGACTCATGCCCAACTGTAGAGACATAGAAAACAGCACGGAGTGAACATCCATTGCCAGGGAGGCATGCTTCACTGATAAACGGCCGCCTGGGCTTCTATTGTGGAGAACACTTTGAGATGCCAGCACCGAATGACAGGATCAGTTGAAGGATCACATTGCAAGGTCCTGAGTCCAAAATGATGACATTTTCTTAGAAAACCTATCACAAGGGAATGTTGTGGATTTGAGACATTCCTCGTGTTATTGAATTCCCAGCAAGACCCCCGCTGTGTACAACTCCAGGACACCTTGTGCAACACAGCAGCCTGGTCCTCGGGGCCCTGGAAGATCAAGCTCAAGACTTTTCCACCCCAAAGTAATAGTGGTGCTTTATTAATAAAAACATAGCAGAAGGTGCAATTTATTTAGAAGACACTAGCCCCAGGCTGTTCTGAGTTCATAACATTTACACACACACGCTACAGAAAGTCAGATCGCTAACGGAAATAGTGAAGCTGACTCACAGCATCAGTTTAAATGTGATCACAATAGGATATTATTTTTAAATGAAACAATTTTTTTCCAGCTTTATTAAAGTAGGATTGGCCAATAAACATTGTATATATTTATGGCATCCAACGTGATGTTTTGATATGTGTACACACTATGAAATGATTACCACACTCAAGCTGATTAACCCATCCACCACCTCACACAGTCACCTTTTTTGTGTGTGGTGAGAACACCGAGTTCTACTCTCGGCAAATTTCGAGTACACAAGTCGTTCTTACCAGCTGTTGTCACCATGCTGTACATTAGAGCCCAGGGCCGCCGCCTCCTGTAACTAACAGTTTATAGTGCCCTTTGACTGGCATCTCCCCTCCACCCAGCCCCTGGCACCCTCCGTTCCACTCTCTGCTTCTATGAGCATGACCTTTTTAGGAACACACATAGGTGGAAGTGCCCAGTCCGGCCTTCGGATCGCCTCTTCTTCCTCCTGTCGGCAATGGGGGGATGGTCCCCAGTGCCTCCCAGTGCCTTCCCTCCCTGTGGCCCATGAAGAAGAGGAACCCCGGCCACTGCACTTTATAAGGCCTGGCTGCCCATGCCTGGGGGAATGAGGGCAGAGAGTAGGGTGACGAGGTGATAGCTCCGGGGTGGGCCACTGTCCTCTCGTGCCTCCTGAGCTCTCTCTGAACCTGACCCTTAAGAGCATGTTGGAATCCGCTCTCAGCTTGTGTCACTGCTGCTCTGCAGGACTGGGCCTCATCTCCTCTCCCTCGCCCCTCATCCTCCTTGCTCGGCAGATCATGAACCTTCTTCCCCTGCAAATGTGAATGAAAGGGAATGCCGTGAACCGGTACCTCAGCTTAGTAGATGAACACACTGAGGCCCAGAAAGGTGGAGTACTTCCCCCAGGATCCTTAGGCCTTTAGCAGAGGAGTCAGTATTTCAACCTATCTCTGTCTGACTCCAAGCTTGAGCATCTCCCACCATGGACCTTGCCTCCCAGGCGCCGTGGAAGCCTCTGCGTCATGCAGCCTGCAGAGATGGTCAGCAGGGATAACAGGTGTGCCAGTTGCTTCTCCTCCGGCTGTGCTGCATCCTGGAAGAGTCGGTGCCAATGTCCTGGCCCCTGCTCTTGCAGAACAGCCCATAGCCTCAGAGGCTTCTTCACAAGTGAGATTGGGTTTTTATTTCCAGCCACATATGTGAAACTAGAAGAAATATCTTGGAAGGTGATGACACGAGGGCCATTGTTCCCAACAAATGTGCGAGGATTTCAGAGTGTTTGCTGATTCAGAACACAAGTGCGTTTGCGGGATGGTGGACACATTGAACTGAAAGCTTACAGAGACTGCTGCATTCAGGAACCCACATCCTTCAGAGACATCTGTGCTGGGCACCTCCTTCCAGAAGCAGATATCCTTTCCCTACTCCGCTGTCTTGGCAGGGCGTGCGTTCTCATGCTCCTGCACCTCTCAGGCTTGGCTTTGCACATGTTCTATCTGAGCATTCTTAAAGAGGGTCCACAGTTTGTTCATTTCAGGGAGGCCGTCCCAAACCATCTGGACTTGTCCACTCATAGGCCTTCTCCCTCTCTCACTTGCCTGTTTGATTTCAGCACAGCCCCTTTTCATCTCTGATGTTAATGTGTTTTCTTACTTCTTTATAGAAATTTTTTCCATCCTCAGAAAAAAAATGTGAGCTTTCTGAGACCAATGGTCCTGTGTATATTGTTCTCTGCTGTGTTCCCCTAAATAGTATCTGGCACATGTAAGCATTTGATCATATGTATGTTATGTTGAATTAGATATTTGTACTTGGTCCATAGCTTGGGACTTAGTATGTTCAGAAGTTCAGAAAGAACAGGGTGGAAGAAATGAGGAGCCATCTGTCCTCTCATTGGGCGGAGATTCTCAAGGGTAGGGACCTTGCCCTTTGCTCATCCTCATCCTCAGATCCCAACACAAGACAGTGCCCTTTGCATGGGTGATATATTACCCCATAACATGCTGAGTTTACTGTGAAAATGTATGCGCCAGAGCAATTGAAAGATGAACTTCAATGCGTCGATCTTAGGAATTCTCCTTAGTTTTTATTTTTAATTATATTCTCTGTAATTCATAGTAGAATTGTGTATTAGGCAGTTCTCTCACTGCTATAAAGAAATACCTGAGACTGGGTAATTTATAAAGAAAAGAAGTTTAATTGGCTCATGGTTCTGCAGGCTGCACAGAAACTGTAGCTGCTTCTGCTTCTGAGGAGGCCTCAGGAAATTTACAATCATGGTAGAAGGCAAAGCGTTACCAAAGATGTCTTACATGGCAGGAGCAAGATGAAGGAGGAGAAGTGCTACACACTTTTAAACAATCAGATTTCATGAAAACTCATTCACTCACTATCACAAGGACAGCATCTAGGGGTGGTGCTAACCCATTCGTGAGAAGCTGCCCTCATGATCCAATCACCTCCCACCATGCCCTGCCTCCAACATTGGGGATTATAATTGAACATGAGATGTGGATGGGGACACAGATCCAAACCATATCAAAGTGTGTGGTTTTTTTCTTTTTGGGATTGTTTGCTTTTCTAGACAGGGTTGTCTCATTCTGTTTTTTCAGGCTGGAGTGCATTGGCGCAATCGTAGCTCAACTGCAGCCTCCAACTCCTGGGCTCAAGCAGTCCTCCGGCCTCAGACTATATTTTCTTTGTGATTGGCAGGACATGTACCTTTGATTTGCCAATATATTCTTCAAGATAGGGCTATGGCTGTTTGCTCACATAGAAGTAAGGAAATGAGACATTTATAAAATGTATCAGATTTGTGCCTGCTGCCTCCTCCCCTTCCTCCTCCTTAGGCCAGCAACCTGCTGCTCCTGGGCACTTTTCAACCAGTAAAAGAATATTAGAATGGGCCGGGTGCAGTGGCTCATGTCAGTAATCCCAGCACTTTGGGAGGCCAAGGCAGGCAGATCACCTGAGGTCAGTAGTATGAGACCAGCCTGGCTAACATGGTGGAATCCTTTCTGTACTAAAAATATAAAAATTACCCAAGCATGGTGGTGGGTGCCTGTAATTCCAGCTACTTGGGAGACTGAGGCAGGAGAATCGCTTGAACCTGGGAGACGGAGGTTGCAGTGAGCCGAGATCACGCACTCTACTCCAGCCTGGCGACAGAGTGAGACTCCGTCTCAAAGAATATTGGAAAGTGATTACCTGTGTTCTAGATGATAATTCTGTGACGTCCTGGAAAAGAAAGTTGGGAAGGCTTAACAACATCACAGTGACCTCACTTGGTCATATGTGCACCACCTTCCTGTCTGAGAACCACCTGCACTATTATGGACTTGACCTTTTTATCAACTCACTTGAACTGGATTCTTAAAAGTTGTTATGACCAGTGTAAGTAAAAAACAATCTTCAGTTGTCTTACATAGATGGCAACCCTAAACATACATATATATGAAACTTACATGGCATCATTAAATTCTAACCTTACACTGTTACCTGCCAAAGTTATGGCCTGAGACCGGGCCTTTCATTGTTTAAAATGGAGATTGACAGGGAGTAGGAAAGTGTCAAAGACAGGCTAGCTTTAAACTAAGACTTTCTCCTCCATATGATCAAGATGGAAATGCAGGTGGAGAGGGAGGGAGTGGTGTTCTTGCTCTGCGTTCCACAGGCACCTGGGATCGTCTCATGGGTAGCACAGGTGGTGCACAGCCTACATGCTCAATGACACTGAATGCTGAGGGCCTGCGTGGGCTGATGCCACCCCGCGAGGTTCTCTTCTTCTTTCCTTTTCCCTCTCTTTCCTCTCCTCTCTTCTTTCTTCAGTTTTTTTTTTTTTTTTTTTTTTTTTGGTGGTGGGGGGCCCACCTCATAGTTTTGTTCTGAACGTATGTAAAACCACTAACAGAAATATTTTAAAATTCAAGATAAGGGCCGGGGGCAGTGGCTGACGCCTATAATCCCAGCACTTTAGGAGGCCACGGTGCGTAGATCACGAGGTCAGGAGTTTGAGACCAACCTGACCAACATGGTGAAACCCCCTCTGTTCTAAAAATACAAAAATTAGCTGGGCATGGTGGCGCACGCCTATAATCCCAGCTACTCAGGAGGCTGAGGCAGAAGAATTGCTTGAACCCGGGAGGCGGAGGTTGCAGTGAGCTGAGATCGTGCCACTGCTCTCCAGTCTGGGCGGCAGAGCGAGACTCTGTCTCAAAAAAATAAAATAAAATAAAATAAAATAAAATAAAATAAAATAGATAAATATTACTACTAGTGAGAAAACAAAAGGAAGAACACATGTAGGGGATGAAAATTCAGCCAGGAATAAATCCAGATCTAGGTGAGCACAGCACTCCACGGCCCTAGACAGCTGCAGCATTGCTGTTGGTCATGACCATCTGTGGTGCAGTCAGGGTGGGTGCCATGGCAGATATGATGCCCCGTCCTCTCCTTTCAAATCTCTAGAAGCATCAGGTATCCAGCCTGCCAGGACCTCAGTTGGTTTCTTCCAAGCAGGTGGGCTTTAGAAATGGTCTTCACCTTCAGGTCTTTGGGCCCAAGAGCTGTACCAAATTGGGACTCAGAAACTCAGATGTCTGCAGGGGAAGGCAGGTGACAAATGAATGAAGAAGGACAATAGGGAGGGACAATAGGGAGTGATGGAGACTGTGGCTAGCAAAGAGCTCACCTTGGCACATCATCACTCTGTGGGAAGTGTTCAGGGTGGGGTTTGATGTGGAGCTGGTAGGAGGTGCCCAGCTCTGTAGATCACTCATGTCTGGGTGACTCTGTGCTAACTTGTCATCCTCTTGGAATCACTTTGCTGCAGAGCATGACTTGGTTGACTGATGGTTTTCAAGCTGAACTTGATTGGAGTTCCTTTAGCTGCTGCAGCAAGAGTCAGGGAGCATGTGCAGTGGGCACCTCTTACGACCACCCAGTCCTTCAGTCTGTTCCTCATCACTCTGTATCAGTTTTTTTCAGAGCATATGTCACCATTGGGAATTATCTTTTTCATTTATTTGCTTAGTTCCTTATTTATCTCCACTAAAATGAATGCACTATTTCTGGGCTGCCAGATTTCATCACAAAGAATTCATTCAAGAAATATTGGTAGAAGGCATGAATAATTGAATGAATAGTTGAACATAGTCTGCTTTTGCAACAGTTATACCTCTTAACTAGTTCCCTTGTTTGGTACATTGATAATCTTTGGATGCTATCCTTTTATTCATGTTTTCTTAAGAGATTTTTATCTTTGGAAGTGATTTTGAATTTTATCAGAAGCTTTTTGAAAAATTATAAAAATGCTCAGATGTTTAGGTTCCTTGCTCTTCAATTATGGTTAATGACATTATTCAATTTATCAATAGTGAGCCATCCTGCCTGGAATAAGCCCCATTTATGTTTCATGGTAAAACATGTTTTCTGTTGTTTTTTTTTCCAGCAAATAATAATGATAATAATGAAAATATTTAGAATTCACTGCATTTTTTTTTCTGCATGTTAGTTTTTCTTCAAAATGCTTGAAATGTGCTATCTCATGCCATAGAAACTACCCCCTATGATGAACTGTTCTTATTTCATCAGAGTAGGAACTTCACAAAATCTATATAAAGTGAGGGCATGTTGCCTAACAATGGATACTTCTCAAAGTTAGCTATTATTATGATGAGCAAACTTTGTCTGCATCCCTGATTATCTGCATAGAATATAAATGTCTAGATGTCAGCCAACACTCTATCAAAAAACTTTTGAAACATACTGTGAAATTGCATTTCAGAATTTATACCACTTGACACGCCACCTGTGGAAATGCCTCTTTGACCGCCTTTTCACCAACTAATTTGTAATCTGATGGGGCATGGTGGTGGGAAGGTGGTAGCTTATACTTGTTTTAATACGTGTGCCTTTGATTCCCAATAATACTAATAATTTTTTTCAGAGGATTAATGGTCATTTGTTCAACCAATGCTTTCTGCATGAATGTTCGAGTTGGGTACTGAAGGACAAGGGGAGAAAGCTGCTATGCTTCGCCATCTGGGGGAGTTGGTCTGTCTGGTAGGAGAGAAGGGTAGAAATGGACCCCTCTCACTCTCTCTGCAGCATATTTAGGCCCACGGCCCACATGGAATCCTGGTGATCCATGGGGTGGTGATGCCACACTCCCTCTTTAGGCAGGATTTCAAGAGGCAGATAAAGGAGGAAGGCGGCACCTGGCAGACGGCTAGACTTGCACAAAGGTCTGGGAGCTTGGCCTTCATGCTCTACTGCATCCAAACATTGTGTCCTCATGTCACATTTCGGTGGCACTGGTTGTGTGGCAGTCACAATGGCAGTTCTTTGTGTCAGGCTGACTTAAAATCCCTGCTGCGCACAGTGTTTATACAGAGGTGGCTGATCCTGTCTTTCCTTCCTAATTATGTACTTTTGTATGAGGTGCAGTGAAAGGAAACATCAGCCTAAGCCACTCTGACAATTTCCATTTTGTCCACACCCTTCAGGTCTGTACTGAAGGTAATGAGATTTCTGATGAAGCACAACTCATTCCCAGGTTTTGCATGTGGAGGTTAATCTCGGGGAGTCCTAGGCATTACAGAGATCCTTTACAGGACATTATAAAGCAGATTGGTGACCGAGGCTGCCCTTCTCAGCCACAATTCCAGCTAAAGGTACACATAAAATGAGTATTACTTTAATTGAACATGCACGGTGGTTGTTTGTACAGAAGCAAGCCAAGCAAGGCAGGCTTGTGCATCAACATTGTGCAGAAAGTAGAAGGACTAATAAGGTGTAGCCAGGAGTGGTACTGCAGGACCACAGGGACCTATTGTAATGAATATGTTAAGTGCTTGTCATTAGCATATCTTTGTTGCTATGTGACCATGAATTCCTGAATATTTGAAAACCTATTGGTGCCTTATGTGGCTTTGAACTGTTGCCTTCAATCTTGCTTACATTATAAATCAGCTTTGTGAATGCTGTTTTTTTTTTTTTGCATCTCTGAATCACTGCATGTTCCACATTAGTGAAGCCCACCTTGATAAGATTGTATTCTATGTCTTTAAATTAAATTTTCTTTTCACTTCTCTTTGGTTTTCTAATTTGACTAAGGTTTAAAATGTTATTAAGTTAGTTAACCTCACTTTGTGCTTCATAAACTCTGGCCTTTTTGTAGCCTCCAACACCAGATGGTTTCTTATAATTGTCCAGGTCTTTAAATGTGCTGTACATTTTCCTAAATGTTCTCCCACCCCCGCCCACCTGGTGAACCCCCACTTACGCCACAAAACCCTGCCCTCTGCTCGTCTGTGAAGCCTTCCCCACTCCCACCTGAGGAATGCCATTTTTGAATTGAGTGATTGAGGGAAATACTGCTTTTCCTGGGGAACTAGAATGCTTCATACTTTCTGATAATGAATATGTTTGTGTCTGGCTGTGTCAGTCTTCTTCCCTCTGGTTGAATGGAAGCTCAGGGCTAAACCACTTTAGCGAGGTCATGAGGTGCTGTAGGAACAAAGGCCCCACCACAGGCAGCCTGAATGTGACTCTGGGGTCACTAGCTGCCAGGCCTCAGACAATCTGTTAAGTCTCAGTTTCATCATCTGTCAAATGGGAATAACGTCTAGTTCTTACACTCAAAATGTGTGTTATTGAATCAAGCAATGCCCAATTACTCTTAACAGGTTGAAGTATCTCAGTATATACACTGCCTGCTTTGTTTTTGATCTGCACTCTTCTGCTCTTTTTTTTTTTTTTTAATTGCCTTGCTCTCTACTTGACATTATAATTCCTTGGTCCAAAATCTCTATTCTTATTTTTATCCTCATTTTGTTTTCTATATTTACAGTGTAAGCCACCTAAAGTCATTTGCTGAACTGGCCGAGATATACTGAAATAAGTGACTCTATTTTTAAAATGGTGTTGAAAGTCCCCAATGTTGTTTGCCAGGGAGTCGTGGCTCCCAGTTGCTCCCACATGCTCCCCTTCTCCTCCAGGTCCAGGACAGTAGAGCAGGCCCACAGGGATCGTGCGGCAGATGGGAGGGAGAGCACGGCTTTATTAGTATATTGGCAAAACTCTCATGCCTCATTGCACTGTTCTGCCAAAAGCAGGTTTGAAAAACTAGGCTTAGGCTCAAGGCCAAAATGGAAACTTCTTCCTCCAGCTTAAATCTAGTTGCAGGGATCCAGGGACCCAGATGTAGCTATAGAGACAGGAAAAGTCATGGCAAGTGGCCACTGAATGTACTCACCCAAACAGATTTCACCAAGCATCACATCAATGGGGAAGCCTTACAGACTCCAGGTCATGGGTCCCCATTCCTCAGGTTTCCATTAATCTGTGACTAAGGTTCAGGCATCAGTACTTGGAAAGCTCCCCAGATGGTTCCATGATGTAGCCAGGGTTGAAACCTTGAAGCCACTGAGCCCCTCAACAGACAGGTGGTACTTATTGGATGGGCGGAGGAAGCAGAGGCCAGGCCTCTCAGAACCCTGTAAATGAAGAAATAGCTGGCAAGAAAATGCAGCAACAAATGGATTTTTAAAGCAGTTGCCCCACTCAGTAGTAAAACATGGCTCAGCAATGGAAAGTCAGGCTCTGATCAGTTGAATGGGTCTCTCTTCCTTTGTTTTGGGAGATGTGAGTGAATGAGAAGGAGAGAGATCAATTATGTTCTTAGCAATATTCTGGAGTGAGGAGGGGCAAAGGATCTCTCCTGTGCCGAAAGTCAGTGTTGCTCACAGACAGTCCTGTGTCCTTGTCCCTTCTCCTGTTTCTGGGGGTGTAGTGAGCATCCTGCAGCCCCATTTGCCCTGGGAGACCTCAGCCCTGCAGGTTTCCATGGGGCCGGACAGGTTCGCGCAGGACTGCCACAGTATAGGCACAACCGTGGAAGCTTCCAGCTCAGCGTCTTGCTTCAGGAAATGTTTCTTTTGATATCCATACTCAGATCAGTGATTGAGGGATGAGTTGCACTCCCCAGCTAATTGTATCCCACTCTGAAAGAAAGGAGAAGAGCAGAAAAAGGAAGCAAAGTGCTCCGGTTCAGGACATGTATTAGTTTGTTCTCACACTGCTATAAGGAGCTACCTGAGACTGGGTCATTTATAAAGGAAAGAAGTTTAATTGACTCACAGTTACACATGGCTGGGGAGGCATCAGGAAACTTACAATCGTGGCAGAAGGTGAAGGGGGAGCAAGGCACATCTTACATGGTGGCAGTAGGAGAGAGAGCCAAACACTTTTAAACCATCAGATCTCCTAAGAACTCACTCACTGTCTCGAGAATAGAATGGGGTAAACTGGTCCCATGATCAGATCACCTCCTCCCACCAGGTCCCTTTGTCGAAACGTGGGGATTACAATTTGAGATGATATTTGGGTGGGGTCACAGAGCCAAACCATATCATTCTGGCCCTGGCCCCTCCCAAATCTTATGTTTTTCTCACATTTCAAAACACAATCACGCCTTCCCAACAGTCCCCCAAAGTCTTAACTCATTCCAGCATTAACCCAAAAGTCCAAATCCAAAGTCTCATCTGAGACAAGGCAAGTCCCTTCTGTCTATGAGCCTGTAAAATCAAAAGCAAGTTAGTTACTTCCAAGATACAATGAGGGTACAGGCATTAGGTAGATGTTCCTGTTCCAAGTAGGAGAAAATGGCCAAAACAAAGGGGCAACAGGCATGCAAGTCTGAAACCCAGCAGGGCAACCATTAAATCTTAAAGCTCCAACATAGTCTCCTTTCACTCTGTGTCTCACATCCAAGGCATGCTGTTACAAAGGTTGGGCTCCCAAGGCCTTGGGCCGCTCTGCCCCTGTGGCTTTTGAGGGTGTAGTCCCCATGTGACCCCACCCAAATATCATGGCTGCTTTCACAGGCTGGTGTTGAGTGCCTGCAGCTTTTCCAGGTGCACAGTGCTGGCTGTCAGTGGATCTACCATTCTGGAGGAAAGTGGCCCTTTCTCACAGCTCCGCTCGGCAGTGCCCCAGTGGGGACTCTGTGAGAGGGTCTCAACCCCATGTTTCTTCTCTGCATTGATTGCCCTAGTAGAGGTTCTCCATGAGGGCTCCACCACTGCAGCAGACTTCTTTCTGGACACCCAGGCATTTCCATACATCCTCTGAAATCTAGAGAGAGGTTCCCAAATCTCAACTCTTATCTTCTGCACACCCACAGGCCCAATGCCACATATAAGCTACCAAAGCTTGGGGCTGGCACCCTCTAAAGCTGCATGGCAGCCCCAGGTGTCATTGGTTCCATCCCCTCATGTCTGTAATTTCAGGAGTACCCTCTGGGAACTTTGGGTAAAATGTAACTATTGATGTGCATCTTGGAAGTGGATGACTGGGCATGGTGCCACATAAACATGGTGGGTGTCAACAGAAATAGCTTATTTATTAATATTAACCTCAGCTTAGAACACCTCCTGTGGGCAACAATACCTTGGTTTGGGAAGCAAATTCACAGTGTGGAATTATGGAAAGGGCTTGGATGTTGCCAGATGGGAAACCTGAAATGAAATCCCAGCTCTTCATCTTGGAAGCTTTGTGATCTTGGGCAAGTTAACCAACCTCTCTGGCTTCAATTTCACTCTTCTCTAAAAAGATGAAGGTATTTCTTGTTGCTGTAATGAGTAAATAAAATAATGTATAAATAGTGCAGCCTACTTAGGACACAAGTGCTTAACAAAAGAGCATCCCCCATCTCATCTTTCTCAAATGCACCTTTTTAGATTTTCTTTTGATGATTTCCCTCCAGAGGAATTAAATTACTGAAATTTTTGTTTCTGACGTTCATTCATTCATCTTCTCATTCATTCATTTAATAAACAATTTTTGCCCATTCTATTCCCCTTCCCTCAAATGCAGCTCTTTCCCCTCCACACCCACTGTAGCTGTGTCTCCTTTACATGTCTCTTTTTTCAAAAAGCAGCTGACCACCCATTTCCTGGCCCCACCCCTCCCACATTCTTCCAGCACATGCTCCTGTCTCCCTTGTAGTGCTGAGCACTGCTGTGACTGTACAGGGGTTGGGCCCTGCTTTTGATTAGTGCCTGTTTCTTATTGTGAGTTCCAAGAGGACATGTTCCTTTTACTCTGTTATGTCCTCAGTGCCTACCATACTGCCTGATACGGCGCACAGTACTCAATCATTATTCACTGCAACCTAGAAGTTCTCCTTCCTAATTTTGTTGTCATTCCTAATTTTTCTATTCCAACCCAAATGCCTCAGATCATTCCTTTGCTTCCGTGTGCTCACCTCCCCCAGCTTCGTTATGCTTCACCTCCAAGAGCGATCACTTAAACCTACTTCAGGGGCCCGCCCTTGCACTCCTGCAGAGATGCAAGTGCCTGGGAATTCACACACCCCTCCCAGGTGGCCCCATAGCCAGTGACTGGTGGGCCCAGAACTGTGAGAGCCCAGCTGTCTTGCATTGAGGTACGAAGTCATAATGCATTCTCCATAGCACAAAGTCATAATGCATTCTCCAGAGCACCTGGTTTGATCAGGCTGAGGCTGGGTCTTGCTTGACACCACACTGTAGCTTCTTTTCCCTGCTGGTCTTCAGGAAGCACTCCTTAATAAATTGCTTGCAGATGAAGCCTCATCTCAAAGTCTGCATCTGGAAGAACTCAACTAAGAAAGCTGCACTTTCGAAAGAGCAGAATCGTGGGTAGAATTGTATTAATAGATCTCTCGAGCTGGCTGGAGTCCTACAGGTTAACTAGAGATCTCCATGATTCATTTATTGAACATGTGTTCTGTGCTGGGACTGTGCTGGGCTGCAGATGGGGAAACTGAGGCTCAGATAAGGGAAGTGGTTTGTCTGGGGTCACAGAACATGTGAGGGACAGTGACAAGACAACAGAGTGTCCTGGGGTTTTTTGTTTGTTTGTTTTTGTTTTTTAGGTTTTTTTTGTTTGTTTTTGTTTTTTAGGTTTTTTTGTTTTGTTTTGTTTTGTTTTGTTTTGAGACAGAGTCTCACTCTGTTACCCAGGCTGGAGAGCAATGGCATGATCTCGACTCACTGCAATCTCCGCCTCCTGAGTTCAAGTGATTCTTCTGCCTTAGCCTCCTGAGTAGCTGGGACTACAGGTGGCTGCCACCACACCTGGCTAATTTTTGTATTTTTAGTAGAAATGGGGTTTCACCATATTGGCCAGGCTGGTCTTGAACTCCTGACCTTGTGATCTGCCCGCCTCAGCCTCCCAAAGTGCTGTGATTACAGGTGTGAGCCACTGCTCCCGGCGTGTCCTGGGTTTTAAGCAAAATATAGTCTCAGCTCTGGTTCTTCATCCTCCCTTATGGACCACTCGTGGGGAGGGGCTCTCAGGGCTCCTGCCTCTTTGCCTCTTGATGGCTAATTTTTTCTATCAACTTGACTGGTCTACAGATTGCTGCAATAGCTGGCAAAATCATTTCTGGGTGTGTCTGTGAGGGTGTTTCCAAAGCAGATTAGCATTTGAATCAGTAGACTGAGTAAACAAGATTACTCTCCCCAGTGTGGGAAGTCATCATCTAATCCCTGGAGGGCCCGAGTGGAACAAAGAGCAGGAGGAAGAGCACATTTTCCCTCTCTTCTAGAGCAGGGACATCCACCTTCTTCTGCCCTTGGACTTTCAGAGCTCCAGGTCCTCAGACCTTGGGACTGGGACTTATATCATTGCCTCTCCTGGTCCTCAGGCCTTTGGACACCACTGGGACTTATGTCGTTGCCTCTCCTTTGCCCTCAGACTGAATCACAACACTAGCTTTTCTGGTGTCCAGCTTGCAGATGACAATGGTGGGACTATGGAGGCAGTACAATCTCCATAATCCTGTGAGCCAATGTCTATAGTAAATCTCTTGTATCTATGTATCTCTTACTGTTTCTGGTTCTCTGAAGGACCCTAACTAATACACCTCCCCTCCCTCATTCTCTCCAAAGACAAGGCAAGGTCCAGGGCACACAGAGACAGGGAGGAGGGGTTGTTCCAGTTTTCACTGACAGCGCTGTGGGTGTGTGGAGCCTGAGGGCCTCCCTGGCTGGCTTCTCTCAGTCTCCCCAGGCTCTGGCTGTGGCAGATACGGTTTTCCATCTTGGTTGAGCTGTAATTTCAGAGATTTGGGGTTGAAGGGGTAGCAGTGACAGAGGAGTGAGTGAGTGAGGTGGCAGAGGTTGACAGTTCTAGACCAGGCGCGCGCGCGTGTGTGTGTGTGTGTGTGTGTGTGTGTGCATTTAGGATTGTTTGAACTGTGTAAGCCTGGGATTGGGCAATGCCCATGTTCTATACTCTGGGCCTTGGGGAGATATCTGTTCTTGCCTTGGGGGAATTCTCTTTCACCGATTCTCATCTCCCATCCTCCTTGCATCTCAGGTTACTGGGACAAAAGGTTAGGGCAGGATCCTGGGCCAAAGGAATGGAAGATACTTTAATTAGTCCACTTGGGCTGCCTCTACCAAGGTCAAAAGGAATATTCTTGGCACCAGGTGCCCTAGCCCAGTCCAGTCAATGTGGGGCCAAGACTTTCCAGCTGGAAGTTGAACCAAAAATCTTTATAGTACTACACCAACAGATTTGGTCTAGAGTGTCCCCTTTGCTATTTCCTTCTCAAGCCTGTGACAGTGATAGAGAAGTAGTTATGGGTCATAGTCAAATATCTTTCTATGTCATCATACCCAGCAAAAAGGCAAAAACCACAAATAACCCTTAGAAGCTAATGAAAGTGATGACTGTCTTCTCTTAGGATAATTAATCAGAATCTTCCTTTTCACTCCTGATTCCCCTCCACAGTAGGATGGTCCTAGGACAGGCAGTGGCTTCCATGGGAGGGTATTTGCAGGAATATCCCACTAAATATTCAACTTTAAATATCCTCCACTGTTTCCCACTGCTCTGGAGAGCCTCCATACCCCTCGGAAACAATAACGTGGTCAAGAGTTTATGGCGGTTATTGCATGGAGAGATCACAGCAATCCCCCAGTCTTGAGCTAATGACAGAGGCGTGACTTCTTCCAACAACAGTCATTACCTCTCAGTAGTGGTGGCTGCTGGCTGGCGAGAGAGTGCCTGGCAGATGGATAGGCCGATGAATGGAGGCCTCAGTAATTGAAATGACGAATGATGAGTCATGCACACACAAGCAGAGTGGGAGTAGCTGCGGAGGGGGATATGAAAAGGCCCATCTGCAAAACATTTCCATAAACCCAGATCTGTTTCTGCTGAAGTGAGACAGCATCTGCCAGAACCATTCTGCACCCACGAAGACAAAGACACATCCAAGAAGGAGCCTGCCCCGGGGTCTGGGAGAGAACAAGTTCAGGGCTGGGGTTTGGGCCTGGAGCACCTCCATCTTCTCTCCTACTTATGCAAATCATTATTTTCTCTTTAACTCCTTCTGTATCATTCTTCCCACCCAAAGTGCCATTCCAGACTCATCCTGTTCTTGACCCAATTGTTTCTGAACTGCTTTAGATGCTTCTGGGCTTTATTAGTCTTTGTGGGGTCAGCAAACTATGGCTCATGGGCCAAATCTGGAGTGCCATACATTTTAGTAAGTGGAGTCCTGTTGGAACACAGTCACACGCCTTCATTTATGTATCTTGTGTGGCTGCTTCTATGCTGCCATGGCAGTGTGGAACAGCCGGGACAGAGACAGGATGACCCACGAGCCTGAACGAATTCCTTCTGAACTGTATTCCTCTGCATCCACCCTAACACTGTGATATGGTTTGGCTGTGTCCCTACCCAAATCTCATCTTGAATTTTAGCTCCCATAATCCCCATGTGTCATGAGACGGACTCAGTGGGAGCTAATTTAATCATGGAGGCAGGTTTTCCCGTGCTTTTCTCGTGATAGCGAATAAGTTTCATGAGATCTGGTGGTTTTATAGTTTTATAAAAAGCAGTTCCCTTGCACGTGCTCTCTTGCCTGCCACCATGTAAGACGTGACTTTGCTCCTCCTTCACCTTCTGCCATGATTGTGAGGCCTCTCCAGCCATGTGGAACTGTGAGTCCATTAAGCTTCTTTTTCTGTATAAATTACCCAGTCTCAGGTATTTCTTCATAACAGTATGAAAATGGACTAATACACCCTGTGACACCTGTCCCAGTCCGCGAGGGTGGCAGAGACCAGAGAGGGAAAATATTATTTTCTCAAAAATGCAGTCTCAGATGCAGTCTCAGACACTTTCTTAATGCTCCAGCATTTTTTTTCTTAAGAAAGTGTCTGAGACTGCAGCTGAAAAGAAGAAGGGTCCCTCATTGGCAAAGAGGACTGTGATCACTTTTTGCTGCCTGCTTTGAGAGTTCCAAGATGAAGTTGCATGACCTGTGTCATATGTTTGTTTTTTCTCTTCTGGACATTTCAGTTTATTACTTTTATTTTATTTTGCTTTTCCTCTCTTTTTAACATCCACATTTCCTTCTCTGTACATTTATTCACAAAGGAAACATTTTCTGGTTTGATGTTGTGTTACAGGCATGGCTGTATCTATCAGTCAGGATGGGCTAAGCTATGCTGCAGTAAAAAACAACCCCCAGTTTTCAATGGCTTAAAAGAACAGAGGTCTCTTTCTTGTTGGATATACTACAGTGTGTCCAGCCTGGACTGGGAGAAGGCTCTGCTCACCAGGTGATTCAGGATTGTAGGTTGATGGTACCTCTTGAGCCCTGACCATGTGAGGGCCTGAGGGAAAGGGAACTCAGCCCAGAAGTGGCTCACACCCATTTATTTTCCCCATCAGTTAGTTACATGGCTTCCTCCAGCCACAGGGAGTCAGAAAATAAATTTCTACCCCTTGCCTAGAAAGGAAGGAGCGCCGGATATTGCTGAGTAGAATGATTGATCATCAAACACTGGTGCTATGGAAGTAAATAAGAACAAACCATGGTCTGGGCTCTGGAGGAGAACCAAGTCTCATATATGATTTATTGAGTTCTTACTGCATATACAACACTTTGTAGTTGTTATGGCATTTGATCTTCACATTAGTCATGAGAAGTTTTCTAACTTCAATTTCAGGGCAGAAAACTTAGTCCTGGCAAAACTAAATGACTTTATTAACATCACTCAGCTGGTAGGACTTGAAGGCAAAATTCTGGCTTCAAAGTATGAGCTCTGTATGGTACCCCAAGGACTCATATCTCCCTGCTTGAACCTTGGATTTCCACCCATGTCATCCTCAATGCCACTGATAAACACGGTAGTCTCGGGGTCTCTTAGATATTCTGGGTAGGGAAGAATTCAATGATCGCCCCATGGTGGGAAGGGAAAAGATGAGAGATTAATTTGGGTAAATCCATTCTGGCTTGATTCACCCAAATCAAGCCCATCTGGTAGATATGATTATTTTGTCTTGTGTCAGATAAATGATCACGATGCCTGACAAGCAATCTTCATAAAACTTCATTCTTTATAAACCTTTTCCCTGCTCAGTGGGCTTCATCAGTGATTCCTTATTGCCTTCAGGAAGAAGTCTAGTTTTCTTTGATTTTCAAAGTCCTGCCCAGTTGGGCACATGCCCCTCTCATGGCCCCTTTTCCTTGTCCAGTGTGCTCTGTCTGGAGCTTCCATCCCAGCTGCCTCCCCCTCAGCACTTCTGCACATGGAGAGATTCAGGTAACAGAAAATTGTGAGTATGGACTAACATATTAACAGTAGGGTGGGTGAAGAGGGAGAGATATCGGAAGACTTATGTGTCAGGAAATAGAGTTTACATTTCTTTTTTTTCTTTCTTTTGAGACAGGGTCCTGCTCTGTCACCTGTGCTGGAGTGCAGTGTCACAATCACAGCTCACTGCAGCCTCAAAATCACAGGTTCAAGTAATCCTCCCACCTCAGTCTTTCAGGTAGCTGGGACCACAGGCATGTGCCACCATGCCTGGCTAATTTTTTTGTATTTTTTGTAGAGATGGGGTGTTGCTATGTTGCCCAAGCTGTTCTCAAATACTTAGGCTAAAGTGATCTTCCTACCCTGGTCTCCCAGAGTGCTGGGATTATAGGTGAGAGCCACTGTGCCCAGCCTAGAGCTTACGATTTCTTGAATGGGGCAACCAGTGGTCAAAATTCTGAAGACAGTGAAAGGAAGAATAGTGTGCAAGAGAGTAACTCCATGAAATTGCTTTATCCCCTCAACTGAACTGAATTGATAATGATGATGTTAGAATCCCAGCAGCTGCCATCTACACCAAGCACCTCTGTGCTGGTCTCTGTGTTAGATCCCTCATGAACATTATCTCACCTAATTATCATAAAGTGCCTGGGCCTAGGAAGCGTTTATAATACCACCATTGACATTTGAGAAAGTAGGTTGGATACTTTAACAACCTTGTCCAAAACTGCAACATCGAAAAAAAACAGAATCAGGATATGGCCCCCCAACTGTCTACTTCCAAAGCCTAGATTGTTTCCTCTATACCACTGCATCTTCAAGGGCAATAGATTTCCTGTTGCTGACACAGGGATTTAGGTCAAATATGTGAATTTCTAGAGGCCAACTGCCTGATTTGGATGTAACAGCACAATTCCTGGAAGGCTTAAATTGTGCGTCATTGAAGCTCTTCCATTGGAAAGTTGAAATGTCAAACACACACCCACAGCTCAGCACATATGCAATTCAGGAGCCATTTCCTTGAAACTAGCATCTTGTTACAAAGGCATAATGTTGAAGACTGAATCTCCAGCCTGTGTGTGCTACATGTCCTCTTCCCCTTGTCTTTCTCCTCCTCCTCCTCTTTCTTCTTCTTCTTCTCCTCCTCCTCCTCCTCAAGGCTTTCCATATGAGGTCTCTCACCCACTGTTCACACCTTACCCACCTGACCTTCTGCCCTTCCCCATCTCCTCGGGCCATGCACAACAGCCTGGGCCTGGTGTTCCCAGTCTTCTTGCCCTTCTTTGTCCCTTTTCGTCCATCCATCTCTGCACATTCACAGCATAGCTAGTCTTTCATCAGTATCACAGATAATTCATTTTCCTTGAAGACTTTTCTTGTCCTGCCCTCACCGAAGACAAACCTGCACTGTTGTACTTTGTGTCCTCTTATGGTGTGCATTATGAACTCTACTTGTGGGCTTATGTCTGTGATTCCCTTACTAGACTTCAAATTCCATGAAGGCAGGGACCAGGTGTGAAGTCCACTGTTATGAGCCCTGCCCTAGAGAAGGCATTGGCAGGCATTCAAAAACAGATAAATGGGCATTTAATCTATTTTAAAATCTATTCCTTGGAACACTTACAGTATAGTTGCAAAAGTGTTTTCTATCCAAATATTGGTGAAGTAAATTAAGTTTTAGAAATACTTTTTTTTTTTTTTTTGAGACAAAGTCTCCCTCTATGCCCCAGGCTGGAATGCAGTGGTGTGATCACAACTCACTGCAGCCTTGACCTCCTGGGCTCAGGTGATCCTCCCACCTCAGCCCCATGAGTAGCTGGGACTACAGGTATGCACCATCATGCCTAGCTAATTTTTAAATTTGTGTAGAGATGGGGTCTAACTAGGTTGCCTAGGCTGGTCTCAAACTCCTGAGCTCAAATGATCCTCCCACTTTAGCCTCCTAAAGTGCTGGGATTACAGGTGTGAGCTACCATGCCCTACCAGAAATACTTCTTATATCCCCTGTCTTGAAGAGTCCCGTGAATAGTGGCATACCAAAAGCTCTGAGAATTCCTTCAGTAAAGAACTTCATTTTCACTTTTTAAACTAGTAAAAACCAAACTTATTTGTCTATTAGCATGCTTTTCCACAAATACACATTACTCCTCAGAACTCTTCCCTAGGTGTGCTGTAAGAAATTAAGAAGACAAGGCCTTCCTGGTCCAAGGCTAATGGAAAAGATTTGTAATTCTGGGAGAGAGAAATAGGGAAAGAGTGGGATCTTGAGCTTCCTGGCAGTACAGCTACCACTTGGGGAGAAATAGCAGTATCAGGAGCCCCCAGAGGTAGTCTTGTCAACAATGGGATGACCAGAAGAGTTACTTCTACAAGGAAAGAGCCAAACCACTGGAGGTCCCCAGGAGGACCAGGGGGAAAGCACTTGTGTGTGAGTCTGGGACTCTGTCCAGGGAGGTAGGACTAGGGGAGGAGGGGGGATGGAAGCTTATTTGCTTGCGGAATAAGAGGCTGTGAAATGTGGCCCATCTCCTCCCTGCCAGCCTTCTCTCTTCTGTTAACTCACCATGTGCAATGACCCCATGAGGTCAGCATCATCCTCTCTGGGGAAGAAAGAACAAACACAAACAAGCAAACAAACAATCTTGCTTCACAGAGTAAAATGCACATTTGTTCATTTGAAAAGTAAACAAACTCGCATTTTACACTGTGAATCACGCAAGCTCTAAAATGATCAAGCGACAAGTCTCTCTGATTTTGTTTTTACTTCAGTAAATGGGGCTTTTATAGTTCATTTTATAAACTGCTATTTATTGGGTATTTGCCATAGTATTTTATCTTCATGACAACGTTGAGAGTTAAGACTCACCAATGAAAACTGAAGCCGAGGGACTAACGGTAATTCATTCAACACTCGTGCAGCAAATAATTGTTTAGCTCCTACTGTGTGCCAGGTGCTATTACAGAGCAGGACACAGGCGATTTTATTTAATGGTCTTTTTACTTACTAATCTTTATTAAGCATTTACTGTGTGTCAGGGACCGCTCTGATGTTTTATACAGGCCATCATTTTTAATTTTCACAATTAGTAAGCAAGTAGATGTGATTATTATAGACATTTAGAAGGTGGGGAAACAGAGGCATAGCATGCAGAAAAACATGTCTAACATGACACAGCTACCAAAAGTCAGAACCAGGATTCAGACCCGAGCAGTCAAGGTTATTTGTGCAAGTAATATTCAGATGTGACACCTCTCAAAACAAGCAATTTTTCCCTACTGTCTGTGGGCTTACTGTCAGCCTTTTAAAGAGCTCTCAAAATGTAAGTCATGACTTTCTGCACTGAGGTGACTATGTGGATCATGTGAAGGGTACGAAAACCGGAGATAAACCGCAGTCCCCACAAAGGTTTTCCTGCAGAAGCACCCCATGGCTGCTTAATCAAAGCAAACTGGCACCTCGTGAAGTCAGAATGCCCTCCACATCCTGTGATTTCATCCAAACTTTCCAATTTTGTTATGTTAGCAAAGGCCACCAGGCAATTTCTCCCACATTTGTCATCGTCCCTTAAAACATTATATAATTGGAAGTTGCTGTGTTGGTGAGGGTAGGATGACATTTTATGTGCATTCAATTTGGACATAAGTGTCATATTTGCACGAGGTTGGGGCTGCTGGCTGTAAGTATAAAATTTCATGAGTGATGAGTTGGCCTGCAAGAGATCTCGATGAGTGAGAGGAAACACGCTTTTTATGACCCTGGCGGAGATAAATCAATGATCGCAGGCAGAAGGTCGACATCGTTTTTTTAAAATCAAGTGTCTGCTCTCTGCGCTTTCTGGTTCTGTCTCTACAGAATATATTCTCTGCATCCTATGTTCTAAAACTCAGATAAAACCTGATCAGCATGAATTCACTTAGTTGTATTTAAATAATATATACGTACATATAGATAATCTCGAGGAGCTGTTGTGCATTAGCACTGCTGTTTTCAGGACACTTTTAACCCATTATTGCTTTTCACTGTGATTTAATTCTGGGGCTGTTCTTCGATTCCTTCTTTTCCCTCATCCATCACCTCATTGAGTCCAAGAACAAATGCTGTTGGCCCTGACAGCTTCTGATTCTTCTACTCCTGCCACCAAGCTGCCATCAATCCTGTCCTGGGTTATGGTGGAAGCCGACTAATGATCATTTTGCTTTCATCCTTGTCTCATACAGTCTATTCTCCATACAGCTGCTGGGCTGAACTTCAAACAAGCTTAAGTCAGGCCATGCCCCACTTGTTCAAAGCCATCCAGAATGAAATCCAGATTCCTTTCTGTTGGGATTGGAGCCTAATAACTAAAACCCCACTTCCTTTTAGCTTCTCCAGCTTAGACACAGTTGAGAAATAAGACTAGAAGTGAAGCAGATAGAGATCAATCTATCACGTTTATTACTGGTGAAGAGGTTATTGATGAACACGGTTTGGGTGGCTTAGGAAATGGATTTCTTATATGCACCTTGATTAAACTTTTTCCCCTTTAGTAAAAACCTGCTTCTTTAAAATCACAAATACTTCCTTCTTAGCGAAGCTTCTTGTCTCATTTCTGATTGCAGCCCTCCCACCTATACTTAAGCTGTTTGCTCCTTTTTAAGAAGGTTGCCTTTTCCCTTATTGATTTATGGGGGGATTTATATGTGATGAATATCTTCTTGTAGTTTGTAGCTTGTATTTATACTTTATGGTGACTTTTGGTTAAAAAATGTTTCAATGAGATTAAATTACCAATTAAATTAAAGGTAGTGATTTTATGTCTGCTTTGAAAAACCGCTCCCAATCTTGAGGTCGCAGTGATATTTTCCTAAATTTTCTTTGAACAGTTTGAAGCTTGGCTTTTACCTATTTAAATTCAGGATTCTGTGCATGGTATGAGGTTCTGATTTTTGTATATGGTGACTGATATTGTTTGGCTCTGTGACCCCACCCAAATCTCATGTTGAATTGTAATTCTCATGTTGGGGGAGGGACCTGGTGGGAGGTGATTGGATCATGGGGGCGGGTTTCTCCCTTGCTATTCTCATGATAGTGAGTGAGTTCTCATGATATCTGGTTGTTTAAAAGTGTGTAGTGCTTCCTCCTTGGTTCTCTCTCCCCTGCTGCCATGTGTAAATGCGTTTACTTCTCCTTTGCCTTCCGCCATGATTGTAAGTTTCCTGAGGCCTCCCCAGCCATGCCTCCTGTAACAGCTTGTGGAACTGTGAGTCAATTAAACCTCTTTTCTTTATAAATTGCCCAGTCTCGGGTAGTTCTTTATAGCAGTGTGAGAACAGACTAATACAATAATGTGTAGGTCCAGGTTCATTTTGTTACTTATAGACAACTCACTATTCCAGCATGATTTATTGTAGACATTCATGGTCCCCAGGCACCTTCAGTGCCATCTATCATTTCCTTCTCTGGGTGGGTTTGTCTGTTCTGTTCCAATGCTCTATTTGTCCAACCCTGCACTACACACACACTATCTTAATTATTACAATTTGATAATAACACAAGAAACTTAAGAAGTTAAAAATCACTCATGATCTCATAATCTAAGGACTATCTCTGTCTCAATTTCTTTGGCATTTCCTTTTAGTCTTTTGCTTATTTTCAGAAGATACTGTATATACAGATTTGAATTTTCATTTTTCCTTAACATTATATTTTGGCACATATTGTCAAATGCTCCAAATTTTTGTTTTATTGTGAGAGAGGTATGAACAAAGTGTTAAAGTTTTAAGAGGAAGCAAGAGAGCATTTTTATCTTGGGAGAAATCTGAGATTTTGTGTCTCCAGACTATGTATTTTACGTAGGTATTTTCTTGTTGATAAATGAGCTGTGACAATACATGAAAAGAGATGGATCATTGCTTTTAAAAAACCGCACAAAGACATTGGGAATTGATGGATATATTGAAAATCTAAACATTGCTTTTCAAGTTTTTTAGATGGGAGCAAGCCATTTGCTAAATGGGATCTTTATTGAACTATTTCTCTGGGAACAAACAATGACATAAAAATATGTAGAATCCTTTCCCTTCTGCAGTGGGCCCAGAGCTCTGAGAACATAGTGTTTTAACTGGGTTCTAAGTCAGAAAGGAAATTTCTTGGAATCTGCAGGGACAGTGATGTGAACTGCAATTCTCAACAGTTAGTTGATGTGTTGCTTATGGTTGGTTGGGAGTTTAAAGATCTTTAGTCACTTCAATCAGATATCACATCTGATTTTTATCCCTAGTTTTACTGCAGGACTTCCAACATCATTTTGCCTCCAAATGAACCTATTCAGTCAGCTTCAGTTAAGAACTGGAGGGTAAACGCAGAAGGGGCACCTTTCACATGAGAACAATTTCCTTTTGATTTCCAATAGAGGCAGTGTCTCCTCTTTAAGTCTCCTGGAGACAGGGGCTTCTTTGTTCTGTCAAATGGCTTCCTGTTTGGAATTAACTGGGTTTTTTATTTACAGTCATTTATAAAATCCTTATTGCTTGGCTTCTGCTGGGACGAGATGGGGGAGTGTTAATGATTTTTGTCATATTTATGCAACATTAGATGTTGTTTAAACCAAAGCCACTCTGTGCTTTATTATAATCCTTTAAACCCTCAGAGCAGGCAAAATTGTGGAATCTCTAAGAGTCTTAGAGATGGATGGGAACTTAGACACAGCTCACCTTGCCTGACTCAGGACTCCCTTCTCCAGTGTTCAAGTCAATATCCATTGAGTGCTGCCTCTTGGCCAGAAGATGGACCTCCACAATTAGGTGCCTGTGGTGGTCTGCTCACTTTACTCAGTCTGTTTTGTTATAGAACTTTTTTAATTGTGAGAAAATCCTGCCTGTCCCTTATCCAAAGTTGGCCTGCAAAGAATGTCTACCCATTGATTCTAGTTTTGCTTTTTGTGGTTGCAGAGTGAAAGTCTTATCTATTAGACTGTGAGTGCCTTGATATTCTAGACTAGTGGTTCTCAAACCTCAGTGTGCATGAGAATCACCTGGAATGCTTGTTAAAGACCAGATCACTGGACCGCACCTCAGAGTTCCTGATTTAGTGGATCTGGGTTTGGAACTAGCGGACTTGCATTTCTAACAAGTCTCTAGGAAATGCTGATGCTGCTGGTCTGGGGAGCCACACTTTAAGAACTGCTGTTAAAGACCAAGATAATCCCTTTATCTTGGTACCAGGCACTTTGTTAGGGGCCAAGGATGAAGAAACAGACACAGCAGACACAGTGCTTACCCTCATGGAGCGTATGGTCCAGTGGAACTTACTGGACATACAAGCAAAGAAGTGAAGTGTTTGTTATGACAAACAGCAGTTGAGAAGCTCTGAGAATATAAAGTAGGAGAACTTATCTGGCATCAGGGTCTGAGTCAGGGAAGCTTTCTTGCAGAAACCTGAAAAATAGATAGGAGGAGTTTGTACGACTGAAAAGAGGAGGGTGGGCAGGGAGAGAAAGAAGCTCTAATGAGAACAGCATGGATGAGGACACTGCAGAGGGAAGATGGGCAGTGCAGTCTGTACAAGGCACAGAAAGACAGCCAGTGTGATGGATGTGCAGAACACAGCGGGGAAGGCTGAAGGAGCTGGAGGTGCCTTCTGAGCTAGCTTAAGAGGGTTGGGTTTGTACTTCCAGGTTAATAGGAAGCCATTAAAACCCCACCAGGTTTTAAACCAGGTGTGGTGGGTGTGATATGAACAGATTTGTTAGTTTATGAAATAAAGTCTTATTTGGCTCTGTTTCCAGTGACTATCATTGTAAGTATAAGTGCATGGAGGAGCTTAAGTGCTCTTTGCCTTGTGTATAGTGAGTGCTTGATAAATATTAATCACCTCACAAGGTGTGTATGTGAGTGTGTGTTGAACAAGGCAGCATTTTAGGCATCCATGTGTAGGTGTGTGCCAGTGACACAGGAAGTGAATACCTTAGGCTCAGCAAAACCGAACTTATGTGGTAGCATGGACTGCCAATGCTCAGCTTCCTTGAGGCCAATTATGCATTGCCTTGTGGGTAACACCATGGCTCTGGGCCCCTTATACAATACATAATTTGAATTATAGACTAAAATGATTTAGAGGAGGCATAATTTTTCATTATTTCAGGCTTAGAGGCAGGATTATGATTGACTGATGTAATTTAAAGTCCATAAAAATACCACTGACCTGTAGAACTGAAATATTTTCAGTTCTTCCTTGCCAGGAGGTCATTCTGCATTTTATGAGAAAGGAAGTCTGCAGAACAATGAAGGTGAAGGAGGCGGTGGGGGAGGATGCATTAAAAATGACATTGACCACAGATTTTGCTGTTATTGAAGTGATACAGGAATGCCAGTCCCCTTTTAGCTCATTAGCAGTTTTTGGAGAACATTGAGATTTGGAAAGAGAGAATGTACAAGTATGTTTAGGGCATTGGTTAACATATGGTTTCAATTACAAGATTTGGCCTTTGTATTTATGGGGAGTTGCTTAGGGCAGAACAAATATCATAGTCATACAATGTGGCATCCAAGAGCCATCTGACTTATTGTTTTAATAATTTGGAGAACGTAAGATCTCACCAACAGTGGGACTTGTCTCTTAAGTCTAATGTCTGGACTTGGGGAAGAACATTTGTCAGAGTCCCCAGTAGAAAGGGAGGAGGACTTGGGGATTTCTCATTCAGGAAGAGACAGTGGAAGGAACAAAAGTGTCAGCTTCAGTTAGCCCTTCATTTGAATGCTGGCTCTTGTTTATTGAGAAAATTAGTCTACCAGAACTATAGTGTTCTCATGCGGTGAAACTACTATGAACCTCACAGGATTTTGACACATAATGAAAATTATACATAGAAGGCCTCAGGCTTTCTAAGAATTCTTCTTAAAAGCTGTTATTATTATTATTACTCTTGGTATTTTTTTCCTGTATGATGTATCAGTGGGTCAAGTGCCTCATTACCAACCTTTCAGGACTCTTTAAATTGCTTACATCTATACACCTGCCATTCAAGATCCAGTCCTGGAAGTTATGCAGAGACACTTCTGCTGCATGCCACTGGTAACACAGGCTACTGGGCCGGCCAGACTCAAAGGGATAGTAAATTGATTCCATTTCTTGATGTGAGTAGTGGCAAAGAATCTTGCGGCCATCTTTCATCCACCAAGCTGATTTGTAGTTTTAAAAGATCACTCTGACTGTTATGTGGAAGATGGATTGAGATATGAAAGCAAGTAGCCTATTTAGGAAGTTTCTGTGATGGTGCAGGAAAGAATAACATCTTGGAATAGGCTTGTAATGAAGAAATGGAAAGTAGATACATTGCAATATATTTCAGATATATTTAGAGCTGACTAATGGATTGGTTCTTGAGGGTAAGACTGCACATTTCTTTGGCCAATTCCTGTAGTCAGGACTATAGCCTGAAAGGGGGAGGACATGGCTCCGGGACCCTACCGTCAAACTGCGTGCTTGGCTGGTTCTCATTCCAGACATGCTGGCCTCCTCATTCAAGTGCTAATTCCTTTTACAATTTCATAGGAGAGGTGAGGCGAGGTGGATTCCTTTAGCACCCGTTCTTGCTAGTCAGCCTTTCTCTGGAAAAGTTCTAAAAACTTAAACCAGTAACACATTCTTTTTCCTTTAAAATGCAGAGTAGAAGGTGGTTTCCTTGCTGGGCCAAGAAAACGGTCAAGTGTTCTCCTGCTTTTGGCGTGCTCTTGCCAGGCACGTGGCTTCTGGCTCTCCCGGCCGGCCTGGGAGCTGGGACTGGGCACCGCCTGCTCCCCTTTGACTGCCAGGCCCCTACTGGGCCTCAGGTGGCACAGGCCCCACTGAGCTTGTTTTCTCAGCCAGGCAAGGAGACTCATATTCCCAATGCTGCCCTCGGTACTCCAGACCAGCCCCAAATTGTGGGGCCTGGAGAGCCCCCTGGTTCACTTGGGTCCATTGATGGTGGACCTCACTGCTGTGTCTGTTGGCTCTGTGCCTTGTGAATGCTGCGTCTTTTTTCTGATGTCACTTAGCTTCTCCAAGGTGGAGTCTGACCAATGTTTCAACCCACGAGGGCTCTCAGCAGTCTGATTGAAGAATGGTTTTCCCCCTACACCCAGGAGGGGCCACAGTCTTGGGGCAGATGCTGGCCTCTGGAGGCCCTGGGTGGCCAGGCCCCCTCATGGGAAAGGACTGGGCATCCCTTTGGTGTGTGGAATTGGGACCTTCCAACTCCTTCCTGTAGAGGAACCCAGCAAACGTGGGCCTGACAACACTACATTTTTTTCGGGTTATCAGTTTAAAAGTTGGAAGCCCAGAAAAAGAGAAGAGCCTTGAGGAAGGTCAAGCTTTCCTTGTTGTGTTTTGCATGTTACTTAATTCACTCAGCTTGCTGAAGTTGGTGGTGTTTGTGAAGACAGACAGCAGAGGGTCACAGAGGTTGAGAACTTCACCAGGGTCACACAGCAGTGAGTGAGTATCAGGACAATCGGCCCAACTTCCGAGCTGATCCTCTGGGTGCCCTCCTCAGGGCAGTGCCTTTCAGGCCCTATGACCTTGACCCACAGTAAGAAGTCCCTGTTAGGGCTGGACTGGACCAGCACTTGACTGCGTACTTGTCATTGACAGCGGGGCTTCAGGAAGCAACCCCAGCTCACTACTCCACTGTGTGCACTGCCCCAGGATGCTGTCTTGTCTAATTCATTTGTCAGCATACGTTGGCCCTCAGGATCTGCAGGCTTATTTCTGTCACTAGCCGCTTTTTGGAGATTGTTGCTTTGGTGCAGGACTGGTAGGGAGCGGACCCTCTGGAACAGGACAGTGGTTGAAAGAATAAATGTGTCTGCAGGATAATTCATAGCTAAAGGCAGGATGGGAATGAACCCAAGTTTAAGGTTGTACAAACTTGCTGTAATTATAAGGCTGTGGGCACGTTCAATTTTATTGTACACACTAAAGCTTTTAATTTTGTTTGAAAGGAAAAAAAGACTGCAAACTCCAGTCTAAAGGATTTGAGGGATCCCTAATGTAAGTTTAGAGTCCCAACCAGAAGATGTACACCGAGTGTGCCTAGTAACCTTTAGAGCCATAGCATGTTCGAGAACTATCCAGGGTCCTGAAGCATTCACTCCGCTTTACCCATTTATCCATCCAGCAATCTCTGGCTTTGTGCCAGGCACGATGATACATACTAGTAGTATAAAGACCAGAAGGACAGGGTCCCAGCTCTCAATGAGATCACAGTACTTTTGTGATGATTGGCAAGAAATCCTAGGACAGTGTGATGAGTGCTAAGATAGAGAGTAGTAAACAAAGGGGACACCTAGGCCAGCATGAAGAGTTCAGATAAGGCTTCTGGATGAAATTGACCTTTGAACTGAATACTGAAGGATTAATGACAGGTGTCCAGGTTATAAAGAGTCAGGGAGAAGGTATTTCCTCCACAAACAGCTTGCAGTAACAAAATTATAAAATGCAAAAGGTCAAATGACTAGAATTGAGGCTGGAAAGGCAGGGAGAAGGTCACCAAGGACCTTGTATGTGAGCCTTAGGAATTTAGATTTCATCCTGCAGACAATGAGGAGGCACAGAAGGGTTTTAAGTAGGGAGAGAGACATGGGATTATGTCTGCCTTGTTAGCTAGCTCTCCATGGCAGCACAGAATTGAGTGGAGGCAGAAAGAACAGAGGCAGGGAGGTCGTGAGATCTCTGTTGCAGTAATCAACTAAGGTGGTGGCAGTGGGGATGGAAAGTATGAGGAGAATCATTTTCTCCCTCTCCTCTTTATCAAGTTGACTGCTCAGGAATTTCTGCTGAGAATTCTATTCTTTAAGGAACTTACTGGGGAAAGTTGCTACCATCTCTTTCTACCTCTCATAGCCTTATTTGGTTTCTGAGTGATTGAGTATCTAACATAACTTAGTGTCCTTTGCCTTTTAGAAATAATTGTCATATTGAAGTTGAGTGTTCCTCTGAGGGTGCCTGGACCTCTCAGTTCTTCAGAGATGTTCTTCCTGGGAGCAATTGATGTTCTTCTCTCTGTTGCTTCCTCCCTCCCCTAGATTGATGGGTTAAGAATCTGCTCTATAGATCCAATTCTTTTAATGTTCCCACATCCACTTCTGGAAGGCGGTAATAGGTGGCATCTCTACCTTCACAAGTAGAATGAACTATATTCTTCACACCAATTTTACAGCAATAAAATGCACTCAGTATTTTTAATGGGCACGCATTCCTGAGATGTCAAGAAAATAAAATTAGCAGGAGTTGGTGGCCAAATTCCTATAGGATATAGGAGATAGGGAAGAGATGGACTCCTAGATAATACCTCTGTGTAAGGCTTGGAATGATTTTACTGTTTGCTGGGATGGATAATACAGATGCTAATAAAGATAATCTGTCTTTTCAGGGAAGACATATTCAGGTGGGAGAGAAATAACTAACCTCAGATGTGAAATGGGGATATAGCAGATGCTGTCAGTGCTTCATGTCCATGTTCATGGTTGCTTTCATTCCTACTATGGTTTTAGTGTGTGCCCTCAAAAATTCAGGTGTTGTTTGAGACCATCCTAGCCAACATAGTGAAACGCTGTCTCTACTAAAAATACAAAAATTAGCCAGGTGTGGTCGTGTGTGCCTGTAGTCCCAGCTACTCAGGAGACTGAGGCAGGAGAATCACTTGAACCAGGGAGACAGAGGTTGCAGTGAGCCAAGATGATGCCACTGCATTCCAGCCTGGAGACAGAGCAAGACTCTGTCTCAAAAAAAAAAAAAAAAAAAAAATTCAGGTGTTGTTAATGATAGTATTAAGTGGAGCCTTTAAGAGATGATTAGGCCACCAGGTCTCCTCCATCACAAATAGGATTAAGGCCCTTATAAAAGAGGTTTCACACAGTGGTCAGCTAGCTTGAACTTCTGCCTTCTGCTATTTGAGGACCTAGCATTCCACCCCTCTGGAGGATGCAGCATCAAAGTGCCATCTTGGATGAAGAGAGCAGTCCTCACCAGACAAATGAACCTGCCAATGCCTTGGTCTTGGACTTCACAGCCTCCAGAACTGTGACAAAACTAATTTCAGTGTTTCTAAACCACCAAGGCTCAGATATTTTTTTACAGCAGCACAAACAGACCAAGACAGAAATTGGTACCAAGAGTGGGGTGTTACTATGCCAAATACCTAAAAAAGTGGAAGTAGCTTTCAAACTGGGTAATGGGTAGAGGCTGAAACAGTTCTGAAGTGAATACTGTAGAAACTCTACAGTATCCAGAATTGACTATTAAGGGCAATTCTAGGGAGGGCTCAGAATAAGAGAAAAACTGTAGCAACAGCTTCAGTCTTTATAGTGATTACTAAGTGGTCATGATCAGAATGTGGGTAGAAATATGGAGAGTAAAGGCTGTTCTGATGAGTTCTTAAGTGTAGATGAGCAATGTCTTATTGAAAACTGAAGGAAAGACAACGTTTGTTACACAATGACAAAGAACTTGGCTGAATTGTGTCTGTTCCTTGGGACTTCAGGGAAAGCACAACTTAAGAGTGATGAACTAGAATATTTGCTGGAGGAAATCTCTAAGCATCAAAGTGTTCAGAGTGCTGATAACTTCTCTTAATTGATTATAATAAAATGCAAAAAGAACCTATTTAAGGATAGAATTTATAACAGAAATGAAAGCAGAATGTAAAGATTTGGAAAATTCTCAGCCTGGCCATGTATACAGTAAAAAAATGTGGTTAGGAGAACAAAATCAAGGGAATGGTCAAGTGATCATTTGATAAGAAGATTAGTATGGATATAAGGCAGCCAGGTGCTATTCACAAAGATAATAGAAGAATGACCCAGAGATCTTTGGGATAGCCGTACCCATCACAGGCCCAGAGTGCCAGGGCCTTGAGGCAGAGTGGTTTTGAGGGAGAGTCCCAAGGCCCATGTGGGGTCTTAGAGCTCAGGACCATCTCAAGTCTCTGGTTCCCCACATTCTTGTACAGCACTCTTTGGTTACCATAGCCATAGCTTAAGAAGGCCCAGGTGCAGCTTGGACTGCTTCCCAGGAGGGTGCAGATGGTGAGCCTTGGCAGCATCCATGTGGTGCTAATTCTGCAGGTTTGCAGAGTGAACAAGCCATGGAGGCATTACTTTTTCCACCTAGATTTCAAAGAATGTCTCAGAGTCCTGAGACTCAGGCAAAGATCTGCTGCAGGGGCAGAGCTGCTGCAGAGAGCCCCTAATGAGGCAATGCCTAGTGGAATCATGAAGGCAGGTCTCCCCTGAAGCCCCACACCTGTAGAACCACTAGCACACAATGGCAGCCTGCGAGAGCTGTAGACTCTAACCTGTAAGATCTGAGGCATGGGTTGTGCCCAGCAAAGCTATGGGGGTGGGGTCCCCTGCAGCCAGCATGTATAGAAGGGGGACAGGGGTTCAAAGAAGATTATTCTCAGCCAGGCGCGGTGGCTCACACCTGTAATCCCAGCACTTTGGGAGGCTGAGGCGGGCGAATCACGAGGTCAGGAGATCGAGACCATCCTGGTTAACATGGTGAAACCCTGTCTCTACCAAAAATACAAAAACAAAATTAGCCAGGCGTGGTGGTGGACACCTGTAGTCCCAGCTACTTGGGAGGCTGAGGCAGGAGAATGGCGTGAACCTGGGAGGCAGAGCTTGCAGTGAGCCGAGATTGTGCCACTGCATTCCAGCCTGGGAGACAGAGCAAGACTCCGTTTCAAAAAAAAAAAAAAAAAAAGTAACATTATTCTCCAACTTTAAGACTTAATGTTGTTTACCTTTTGGGTTTTGGACTTACTGAGACCTGTTATTCCTTTCCTCTTTCCTATTTCTTCCTTTTGGAATGGGAATGTCTAGCCTATACCTGTCCCACCATTGTATTTTGTAAGCACATAACTTGTTTGATTTCACAGGCTCACAGCCAGAGGAGAATTTGCTTCAGAGTAAATCTCACCTTTGAATCTCACGCATATCTGATTTAGATGATATCTAGAAGAGATTCTTGACTTTGGACTTTAAAGTTGATTCTGGGATGAATTAAGATTTTGGGGGGCTATTGGGATGAAATGATTATATTTTGTACGTGAGAAGAATATGAATTTTGGAGTCCCAGGGGAGGAATACTCTGGTTTAAATGTGTTCTTTCCAAAATTCAGGTGTTGTGAGTGTGATGATATTAAGAGGTGATTAAGGGCTTACATGAGGGCTCCTCATGGGACCTCCCAATGCACTTAGCTCCAGCTTGTCAGAACCTGCATATCTTTTTTGGAGGGCTTCTCTTAGCCTACTAGAATGTTGTTTGATGCATAAAAAGCTGGAATTGCTTCTGGAGACACAAGTATAAATTTGTAAATCCTCCAGCTCTCTTGTAGCCCAATCAAGGATCCTCTGAGAAGTGACTCACTGTCCCCAAGCTCCCCCTTGGGATTTCTCTGGAGACTTGGCTTGATATCACATATTTGCTGCTGGTCTTTTCCTTCCTGGTTCCACTTCTTTACTCCCTGGTGGTTTTCCCAGGAGAGCTTGCTAATAGCTACTGTCAGACGAATCTCAGGCCTACTACTGGGGAATCAAAACAAAGATTGGGAATATCACTAATGTTAATTAATGACATTAATTGTATCAATTCATCATTAATTAATAATATTAATGACAAATAATATATGGTGATGTATTAATCATATCAACTCTGAGTATAAATCATATTAACTTATAGAGTTGATATGATTAATTAATAATACTTATAGAGTTGTGAGGATTAAATACAATGAGGCTTATAAAGCATTTTATTACAACACTTGGCAAATAGTAAAAATTCAGGAATTGTTAGCTAATTTTTATTAAAGTGGGATTTTAGGAATGCCTATTTAAAGTGTTCTCGGTCATTCATGCAGACGTGAAATAGGCATTTTAGAGCAGTGGTTTGCAAAATGTTTGTTCCAAGGACCTCTTATGCTGTTAAAAATTATTGAGGACCTCGAAGAGAATGTTTTTGTAGAATATATCTACCAATAATTACAATTTTATAAATAAAAACTGGGCCAGGCACAGTGGCTCACACCTGTAATCCCAGCACTTTGGGAGGCCAAGACAGGTGGATCACTTGAGGTCAGGAGTTCAAGACCAGCCTAGCTAGCTTGGCAAAACCCCATCTCTACTAAAATTAAAAAAATTAGCCAGCTGCCTATAATCCCAGCTACTCGGGAGGCTGAGGCAGGAGAATCGTTTGAACCCAGGAGGCGGAGGTTGCTGTGAGCCGAGATCACGCCATTGCACTCCAGCCTGGGTGACAGAGTAAGACTCCGTCTCGAAAAAAAATAAAATAAAATAAAACAACTAAATAAAAACTGAGGAATTTTGAGAAATTATTTATTTATAAATGCATTTTAAAATAGCTTCCCCTTATCAGCAGTTTCACTTTCCATGGTTTCAGTTACCTGCAGTCAGCCCGTCTTTATCTTCTGGTTGGGAAGGAGGGCTGCAGGCCCTCCCGGTGGCTGACAGGTTCAGAACCTTAGAGGGCTGGTGATTTGGTGCCATTTTCACAGCATTTAGCCAGCACTTTCTGTGCCTTGTCCTGTGTGCAAAATTCTATGGCCATTAGACAAGAGAAGCTTTATATCCTCTTAGCTGGAAGGGCTCAAGGAAGGAACAAGAGCACCTCTAACCAACGGAGTTTTAGAAATATTGTAGCACCAAACCAGAACATTTTCCATTTCCACATGGAAGAGGGAAATAGTTTGGTCTTTTGCTTAGTAACTCTGAAAATGAGTGCTTAGGAGGTGTGCTGCACAGTGGGAAGCAGGAGAATTTATCCAAAAAGCTTTGGGTTCCTGTTTTTCCCTCTCAAATATGGTCCGTTTCTTCAGACTTCTGTTCTCAAGTTTGTCTCCTTCCAAGAATCTGATAAAACCCAGGCATGTGCTCAGCACTGTGTGTGATAACTCTTAACATTGTTACAAAATGTTCTGCTTTTAAAATCGATTAAATAAGGACATTTTCAGTTGTGAAGGGATGCACTCAGGTTCTAAATGTGAAGAAGAAATATCATGTGTAAGCAAACCAAATCTTAAATGACATGCTTTTATGTTCTGAAGCTAATTGCTGACTAGGGCTACAAAAGTTGCTATTTTTTTGCAGATGCCATTATTTTCTTAAAGTTTTCATAATTTTTCTTTCCTCCACGTTGCATTTGTTTCAGTATGCAGTCATTGTATAATCCTTACACGTGGACATCCAGGACACAAGTATAGTAGCTCCCCATTTTTGCATGGTTTCATTCTCCATGGTTTCAGTTACCCACAGTCAACCATGGTCCAAAAACATTAAATGAAAAATTTCAGAAGTAAATGATTCATAGGTTTTAAATTGCCCACCGTTCGGAAAAGCATGATGAAATCTCATGCCTGCCCCGTCCATCCCACCTGGGACGTGAATTATCCCTTTGTCCACCGTATCTATGCCATCTGTGCTATCTGCTCATTAGTCACTTAGGAGCAGTCTTGGTTAGCAGATCAACTGTCAGAGTTTTTCAATCCTTATTTCCAAGTAGCCCTTACTTAATAACGGCCCCAAAGCACAAGAGAAGTGAAGTTGGCAATTTGGATATGCCAAAAAGAAGCCAAATATATGCCAAAGAGAAATTGTTAATCTCTTACTGGTTCTAATTTATAATGTACACTTTACCAGAGGTGTGTGTGTATAGAAAGAAACCTGGTTATATAGGGTTTGGTAATATCTGCAGTTTCAGGCGTTCAGTGGGGGTCTTGGAACATATACTCCGTGGATAAGGTGGGACTACTGTAACATAATGTTAACAGAAGTAACATTTTAACCAAAAATACTTATTTTTTTCAAAATGAAAATACAGGGAGGAAATGCCATTGTTTGCATTCTTGCAAATCTTTTTAATACCTGTTTTTATTGAAACCAGTATTCTTATATCTGCTTCATCATGCATTCAATTGCAATGTCATGTTTTGGTTGAAATATATGAAGAAAACCTAACTTCTGACAGATACATAGTTGAAGAAGTGAGAAATATTTTAATAGTTTGTTTTTTCATGTCATTTTGAACATTCTTTGATACCACACCAAAACTCAACAAGCAGTATCTTCTTAAAGATTATTTGAGTTACAGAATCCGAAATCATGTCAATGAGATTTCATTCTCTCTCACGTTAAAATCCTTTATTCTGTCTTGAAATTTAAGTGGTTCTTTTACCCACGCATGATTTTTGTAACACAATATATTAGTAATTTGAAAAATAGTCACTGACTTATTTAGACCTTCCACATATTGGCATATTCCATTATAAGATTTTTAAAATTTAATTTATTAATACCACCACTGAACTCATTCGGAAAATCTTTAAATAATTGAAAAGCTGTCTAATTCATATGAGACACAAATTTTCTAAAAGACGAATTTTCACTTGAAAACTCAAAATTTTATTGGCAACAAATACATTCTGATATTTTTCTTGAAATGACAGGCTTCTTTCATTCCTATTCAGGTTTGCAGGTCACACATTCTGTGAAGTAAAAATGAGGTAGCATGCAAAATGTGTCTAGTCCAGCTTACAACTCAATTGCAAAAGTGCTTTCTCCCCCCCTGGAGAGAAGTACTTTATATGTACTTTCTATTTTGTCAGACAGAATATTAAAAAGCATACTCAAAGGATGAAAATTCAGTAATTTTTTATCCTGATTCATCAGTGCCATTCTTAAGTGAAATTGGCTTTTATTTATGAATTTGAGGTAGTGAGAAATCCAATGACTACCTGGAAAGCAGTTTGGTGCCACTGCTTGAATTTGTGCAAAGGAGCCAGCAGTTTCGCCCATCACTGAGTTCACAGTATCTGGGAGAACATTTGTTTTATCATTTATCCTTGGAATAAATGAGATCCAGTATCTGGGAGAACATTTGTTTTATCACTTATTCTTGGAATATTCATGAATAATATTCCAAGAATATTCCAAGAATAAATGATAACTTTGAGATTAAAAAGTTATTCAGCACCTTGAGTATTTCACCACCAATGTGTTTGTGCAAGATATTCACATAAAAGGTCATTGGCGATTAGTTGCTGCTGATACCAGACAAATACAAGCAAAACTGCAAGTCCAGTCATATCTCTTGACTTGTCCATTTGTAAGACAAGAGTGAAATTCTACAATGAGCGATTGAGTCAGTCTTCATGTTTGCAATTAAATCTTTAATTGGAAGGGTTGCTATATGTCAATATCATTGGAAACTGGCCATGCTGCAATTTCTTCTGCTGACTTTTCACGCAACAGGGACACCCACATAAGGCTTCATCAGCCTCAGCCACCCTTTGAGCTTCGTCAGCCAGTGCAATGGATAGCTTATCCTGAATATGCTTCAGTGGCTTCTTCATTTATAGTTTGAAAAGCTGCAATAAAATTTTTTTGTCTTTTATGGATCTTGTTTTTTCTGTATTTAACATAGGGACTTGCCTTGGAGATAGTGCAGTTCAGTTCCAGACCACTGCAATAAAGTGAATATCACAATAAAGAGAATCACAATAATTCTTTGGTTCCCAGGGCATATAAAAGTTATGTTTAGGCCTGGTGCAGTGGCTCACACCTGTAATCCTAGCACTTTGGGAGGCCGAAAAGGGTGGATCACCTGAGGTCAAGAGTTTGAGACCAGCCTGGCCAACATGGCAAACCCTGTCTCTACTAAATATACAAAAATTAGATGGGCATGGTGGTGGGTGCCTGTAATCCCAGCTACTCGGAAGCCTGAGACAGGAGAATTGCTTGAACCCAGGAGTCGGAGGGTGCAGTGAGCCAAGGGCCTGCCATTGCACTCCAGCTTGGGTGACAAGTGCGAAACTCCGTCTCAAAAGAAAAAAAAAGTTATGTTTATACTCTACTGTAGTATATTAAGTGTGCAACAGCAATGTGTCTAAAATAACAATATATATACCTTAATTAAAAATACTTTATTGCTAAAATATACTAACAAAGTCAGCACATGTCTTTGGAAAAATGATGCTGATGGACTTGCTTGACACAGGGTTGCCAGATACTTTCAATTTGTAAAAAAAAAATGCAATATCTGCAAAGAACAATAAAATGAGGTACGTCTATATTTAGTTTTTTTTTTCCTTTTAAACTCTGAAAAAATTGGTCTCAAAATGATGCCACAACTTAAATAGTACCACAGTATTATTCTATAATGCACTGTTTGGGTTATAGCTATACTAGAAGCCCAGACCTCACCACTACGTAATGTATCCATGTAACAAAACTGCATTGGTACCTCTTAAATCTGTATACAAATTCAATGAGATAAATTATTAGTATCTATGATGCTGGAGGAAAGAAAATAGTTTTCTTTGTTTTCTGACCTGGTTTCTTTGGCATAGCTTCCTCTCCTCCAAAGTCAGAACTCCCTGATATGTCAGTTTCACCTTTTCCAGCACAGTTAGACATGGATGATATAGGTTTGGGCTGAGGAAGCACGTATTTTAGATTTTCTAAAGCTAATGAACTATCCTTCAAGGTGAGAAAAATACACTGTAAATAAATGTTTATTTATTTTAAAGTAAAATGTATTAAATTATAGAATAATGGTTTTAGGCAAATTTAAAATTATATATAATTTTCTGGAAGTTATCTTGAAATTATTTCCTAAACGAACACAAAACTAAATGGCAAAATGTGTTTCATTTTTGTGTTTCTAAGTGAGTATAAGGAAAATTATAGAATTTCAAAGGAACAATTTTTGGGGATGATAATGAGATTACAGAGATCAAGTAGTTACACTGAAGATGGCTAATAAGGACACAGTAGAAGTTCTGAGAACAATCTGAGATCATTTTTGAATATGCATGTTTATGCCCCAAACCTACTACTTTATCTTATTTTATTATTATTTTTTAAGATGGAGTCTCGCTCTTGTCGTCCAGGCTGAAGTGCAATGGCGTGATCTTGGCTCACTGCAATGTCCACCACCTCCCAGGCTCAAGTGATTCTCCTGCCTCAGCCTCCCAAAACCTAGTACTTTAGAAAACTCTAGCAAACAGAAGAACACTCAAGCATGCATTCCCTTTTTTTTTTTTTTTTTTTTTTTTTTTTTTTAGTGGAGTCTTGCACCGTCGCCCAGGTTGGAGTGCAGTGGCATGATCTCAGCTCACTGCAACCTCCGCCTTCTGGGTTCAAGCAATTCTCTTGTCTCAGCCTCCAGAGTAGCTGGGACTACAGGCGCCTGCCACCACGCTTGGTTAGTTTTTGTATTTTTAGTAGAGATGGGGTTTCACCATATTAGCCAGGCTGGTATCGAACTCCTAACCTCAGCTGATCCACCCGCTTTGGCCTCCCAAAGTGCTGGCATTACAGATGTGAGCCACCGCACCCGGCCACATTCCACTTTTACAAGACATTGTCCTATGTCATGTGGCCTGTGGAGAACTCCACTCTATACTCACGAGAGTATGAAGGTTTGGGCAAATAAAGTCTTTTTATTATGAAAATCATTTTGAACTTCTGGACACCCTGGAAAGGTCTGGGACAGCCCCAAAAGCCACATTTTGAGTGCTGATATTACCACACTTTGGGCTGGAGATGTGGTGTTGAAGCAGCGCCTGTGTGCATGTACATGTGGAAAACACTCAGTGCAGATGCTGGCATAGAGCACTCAGGAAACCTTAGCTGCTACCGTTACAGAGGGGAGATGAATCCACAGAAAATTTTCCCAGAACAAGAGGGGGTAAGAGAGAATAAGATGAGAAAAGTGCTCTGAATGGAACCTTCAGGACCTTCACTATTTATGGAATGAATTGGATGTCCCAGAGATGGGTGTGAAATTGCCAACAGACAATTTAGAGTCTATGGAAAAGGATACGGACACTTCTGCAGACAGTGACAAGGAAGAAAGTTATAACCTGCAGACGTAGGTATGGCTCAGGTGCCCCAGAGCTCCCCGTGGGGTTGTGCAGTGGCTCACATCACCTGCCAGAGTGAGGACCCCACTGCATGTGAGAAACTCCACATCACTCTCACAAGGATTTTATGCCTTCTTTTGATATCTTGCATCACTCTTGCTGTTACTTGTTTGACATCTGCCTCCTGGAGCTCCAAGAGGGAAGAGATCGTACATGTCTTCTTCTATGCTCTGGCTGCCTTGCCTCCATGCTGTAGACACTCAATAAATATCATTTGGCCAAATGAATGGATGGACTTGACTTTAGAGTAGCTCTTAGCCGGGTGCAGTGGCTCACACCTATAATCTCATCACTCTGGGAGGCTGAGGCGGAAAGATCGCTTGAGGCCAGGAGTTCGAGACCAGCCTGGCCAACGTGGCAAAACCCCATTTCTACTAAAAATACAAAAAAGTAGCCAGGCATGGTGGTGCACACCTGTAATCCCAGCTACTTGGGAGGCTGAGGCAAAAGAATCACTTGAACCTGGGAGGCAGAGGTTGCAGTGAGCCGAGATTGCACCACGGCACTCCAGCCTGGGCAGCAGAGTAAGCCTCTGTCTCAAAAACAGAAACACAAAACAAAACAAACAAAAAACAAAGAAAAGAAAAAGAAAGAGTAGTTCTCAATGGGATAGATGGAATGGTTGGGGTTGGAAAAGAAAAAAACTGATGACCAAGGGCTGAGGACCGATGGTCAGGGAGGAAGCAGAGGATACAAGGGTGACAAATCTTTTCAGAAACCTGACTCTGAAGAGTTGAAGAGAAAGAGATCAATAGCCCAGGAGGATCAAGGGACCACAGCGGGTATTTTTTGAGGTGGGGAGGAAGGATTAGCAGAGCCTTGTGCTGAGATGAAAGAGCCAATCGAGAAAGAGAGGACAAAGATACACAGAAGAAAGGATCCCATAATGAATGGTAAAAATTCCTTCCTTCATTGAGAACATACTAGCCGAGTGCCTGTCATGTGCCAGGGCTTGTGCTGGTTGCTTGGGGTGGAGTGGTGAAGAATAGAGGCACGTCCCTTCCTTTGCTGAGCTGACAGCCCAGCCCAGACATTTCTAAACAGGTGTGCCCTGGACCTTTTTGATAGTGAAGGCTATGGGGTCCTCTCTCAGAATAATGCTTTTAATTTTCTGTAATAGAATGCACAGAATGCAAAGGAAATCGATGATAGTCTATTAGATAACATTATTGAAATATTTAAAAACAAATTTATGATTTAATAATATGTGGACTTTGATTAATGTATTAAATAAGATCTAAGAGCATGGCAAAGTAATAATGACATATTTAGAAATATGTGTAATAACTATAATGTGATAATGAAAATATCTGCACTTTCAACTCTACCGAATCACAGACACTGCTAATGCAACTGTGATTTGTTTCTTTCACAATTGAGGGACACGATAATTTCAGTTGGATGTGAAAAAATACATCTTTATTTTCACTAAATTCCAAGTTAAGGGACTCCTTGAATTCTGTCTAGATACCTAAGGAGTCCAGGTCTAGAATCCCTGATGGGACATGGGATGTACTGCACCTGTTCCCTGGGCCTAGAAGGCAGACCCTTCAGGATGGTCAGGGGTGGTGCCAATGGTCGGTAAGTTGGGGAGCAGTGAGTGAGAGCATTTCCATGTGAAGCTGGAGATGAAGCCATTTGCTGAGTGTTTGCATGGCAGGGATGGTCTGGGTGCTGGACAGCTCTCCTTTGCCCCTTTAGGTCCACTCTACACCTGCTTCCTTCCTGCCCTGTGCCCCACACCAATAGGTTCTGTTTATACCTCCTTCTGTTTGGGACAGGCCAGTGGGAATACCAGCAGGATATTGAGGTGGGAAGGAGAATGGGATTGAGGCACTTATTCCCTAGCTCCTTGCATCTGAAGATCACAGCAGCTTTCTCCACACAGCTCCCTTTGTCCCTGGTAATTGTGCATCCTCTGTTACTAGTCCCAGGTAATGCTGTGCTACTTGTGGTTTCCCTAACTCTGCCCACATCTTTCTAAATAGTCCCTTTGCTAAAATAACCTCAGATTACCTAATATGATGCATCAGTCTGTTTGCTCTCATGACCTTGACTATACAGTTTGGGAGGCTGACAAGGACTTGTGAAGGTTTGGAGTAGCAGCAATGGGGAATGGACAGGTTTATGGGCAGTACCAAGATTTTGAATTAAGTTGGGGACCACTGACTTATGCTAAGGCAAGGTTATGTGGTATTCTCCAGTAGGGTTAACCTAGAGGATGTCATTTACCAATATCATGGGATTGACGTGTGCTGAGGAATTCTGTGGAAGTGTGGCAGAAAGGAAGTCATGAGCAAGAGAACAGTTGACATGATGAACCAAGGACTCTCAGGCAAATAGGATAGCTTGTAAAGAAAGGGGACAGCTGATATACTGGAATATAGCAGAGTGCTTAAAGGACTGGCAGTATCAATGAGGTCCAAGTTCAAGTAGAGGGGACGGAAAGGTATGAGGGAGTTAGAAGGATAGGAGCTGTGAAGAGTTCAAATTTAATATTTCAAGACTGGAGCAATTAAAGTAGATGAAGAATTCCAAAGTGTAGCCAAGGTAGTGGATAGTTGGAGTGAAGGAGAGAAGTTATTACTGGGGATGGGGACATCTAGTAAGCCAGAGGCCAGAGAGGTGGACAAGCCATTCACTTGGGAGGCTGGGGTCACACATGCGGGAGGAGGGACTTGGGATAGAGAGGAAAGCTGAGATCAGGAGGTGAGGTCCATGGAAACAACATGGAGGTTGGCAAGTGGCAGAAACAAGAAGTCATAACAGATAGTGCAGCCAAGCAGTGACGTCTCCAAGAAAAAGGGTCTCTATCAGGAAGGCGGAGGAGCAATACCTGGAAATGAGATGGCCGGAGTGTGCACAAGTGCCCCCTTCTCTGGACCTGATCTAACCTGGTCTTGCTCTCTGGACCTCCCTGGGACTCCCTCTTGCCCTGACCTGGATCTGCCCTGACTCCAGCTAAGTCTGACCTGACTTAGCTGACCTCATGTGATCTGATGAGGTTTGTTCTGTTCTGGACTATCATCCAGGTTCTTGACGTGGTTCATTTACAAATATAAATCATACTTCAGTAGGAAATGAGGTTAGATTATTGGAAGCGTTGTGTAGTACAAGTGGCCGCTCTTTTGAATCAACTCTGCTACTAACTAGCTTATGTACAAGTTAGATACTCTTACTGTTCTTGTTTTTTCTCATCTGTAAATAGGTATAATGAATAATAATTATGTCTGAAATGAGCTATTGTATACCAAGTGCACGTTGCACCTTGCCTGGCACGTAGGAAAAGTTTGGTAAAATGGAAGCTGTTTCTTAACCCCACATCTTTTACAGATACTGGCCTAGACAAGGTTAAGTAACCTTCATGAGGATGGAGACTTGTCTCTCTTGGTCACTGCTCTATTTCCTAGCTCAGTGTCTGGCACATAGAAAGGGCTCAATAAAAAATATTGATTAAATCTGTACCTATCAAAGCTCATAAAATAACTATATAGGCTTATGAACTCATTCCTTTTTATTTCTGTATTATAAGTGGAAAGGATGGATATGGGATAAAATGATTCTTTTCACTCTTACAGACTTTGTTGTTTATTTTTTCTGAGCACGTTTACCTGTGCTTTCGTGTTGGGGCCACAGCAATCCAATGACTTAGCCAGAGAGGATATTCCTATCATCTTTGAATGGGAAGAAATTGGAACAGAAAAGTTGCATTTCTTGCCCAAGGGCACTCAAAGCATAAATGGCTGAGTTGGGTCTCCCAGTTGGGATACATTTTTCTAAGAAATCTTTATGCCCAACGAATTTGAAATAATTTAGAAATACTTTCAGCCCACAGGTTGAATCAAAAGAATGAATGTTAACAACACATAATTAGAAGGAAAGGAGGTGCCCTTCCTGAGAACTTTCCATAAACCAAGCACAGTGCCAGGAATTTTTACATATGACAGTTGAGTTCATTATGATGTTAAGTAAACCAGAACATTTCGTTTCTCAAGCAGTCTTGCCATTGAGTGGGAAATGTGTGGATTTGGAGATGAGATAGACTTAGATTCATCCTTTACTAATGGATCACCTTGGGCAAGAAGCTTAATGTCTACAAACTTCAGTTTTCTGGTCTATAAAATGGTGATTGCACTGCCTGTTGCACATGGTGGTTGTACAAAATGCTGTGTACACTGCACATGTGTGCACACAGCAGGCACTGGGCAGCAGAGTGTGGTGGTCAAGAGCATGTTCTCAGGAATACATGATTTTGAATCCCAGCTCCATCATTTACTGGCTGTAGGACCAGGGGTAAGTTACTCAGCCACACTGTCCTCCATTTCCTCATGTTGGAAAGAGAATGACAATGGCGTGCCACTCCTACTGCTTTGGTGAAGATGAAATGTCTTAATATGTGGCAAGCACTTAGACTAGTACAAGGTATACAGATTATCCAAGATAGCCTGTCGAATTAGCAACTTTATCTGAGGATTTCAGATAATAGAAAGTTACACCTTAGCCAAATATATCAGAAATGTGCCTATCTTTAAAAAATTGGGATCCTACTTTAATAAATCCAAGTTACACCATGACTTGTTAAAGTACTTGTCATTGTGGAATGGAGGCTGCTCAGAACAGTCTGCTCCAGCCTCATTTTGCTAAAAATAGAGTCTTCGATTTGAACCTTTGAACCCAGCAGCACTTCAGATGCTTAGCAAGGCTAATAACGCTTAACAAGGTCTCCTGCACAACTTTCTCCTCCTGAAAGTGGGGATGCAGAAGTGAGGACAGAGAAGCCTGTAGACACATAGGAGAGGAGATGGTCTTTCCAGGGGGAGGCAGCTTCCTGCCCATCACTTACTAGCTCTTTAAAGGAAGCAGGGAAAACTGAGCTTTCCACATGGGGGACCAGCAGGAGGGGATGGGAGGGGATTAGACTTCAGGAAAACAAGGTCTGGCACAGCCAGAGCAGCCAGGAGGGGGTGGGTGTCTGCAGGGGCAGTGTCTGGGAGCATCTGGACTCTTACTGGCATGTCAATTATGGTGCATTGGTGGCAGAGCTGCCTTTCAAGGTAGCATAGCTTGCACGGGGAAAAGACCTAATTCTCAAAAAGCTCACCCTACACTGAGCTCCATGTGTCTCCCAGTCACTCTCACCATGTTCCAGCTTTACTTTTCTGAACTTCACACCTTCCACCTGGCACTCACTCAGATACGTAAAGACCTACAATCAAGCCTCCCCTCCAAGACTCTCCTTTTCCCTAGTGAATAGCCTTTGTTCTTTTTTTTTAAACTTACTTAAAAAACTTAAATACATACAGAAAAGTGCACTTATGATAAGTGTACGGCTTAAAGAATTTTCAAACATTGAACACACTCATGCCCAAACGGGAACAAGAATCAGAACATATTGGCACCCTGAGAAACCCAGGCTGTATTGCCCAAAAATTGCTACTCTTGTGACTTCCAACTGCATCAATTAGCTTTGCCTGCCTTTGTACTTTATATAATGCAATCATACAGTAGGTCTGAGACGTATATAAAGTACACACAGCACCGTGCCTGGCACACAGAACAAAGTGACAAGGGTCTTTGGCTTACTTTGTTCAACAGTGTGTTTGTGAAATTCATCCAGACTGTCACAGGCAGCTGTAGATTGCTTCCATGCGTTGCTATACGGTATTGTGTTGCATGAATACACCACAATTTATTTATTCATTCTACTGTTGATGGGCTTTTGAGTTATTTCCAGTTGGGGGCTATTAAAATTACTGCGGCTAGGGACGTTCTAGTATGCTTTTTGGTGCAAACATATACACCTTTCTGTTGGAGTTACACCCAAATGTAGAATTACTGGGTGGTAGGCTGTGCTTATGTGTAGTTTGAATACATGCTGTCAAACATTTTGCCAAAGCAGCTGTACCAACATCCACTGTTCTTTTCACCATTTGTCACTGATTTTGCTGCACAGGAAGCTCTCTGATGAACTTGGTTTGTAGGAGGAGAAGTGGGGCACACGGAGAAAAAAGATTATCTGGAGCCTCAAGGAGTTTGCCAGGTGGGAGGCTGAAATCCAGCTGGAATTAAGGCTAAAGTCTACAACCCCTGAAAGTCCTGAAAAGGTTGGCTAGGCTGGGTCATGCACCCATCCCTGAGCCACTCCCTGTGATGGGAGGGAGGCACCATCTGATTGGCCAGCTCAGCTCACGCCAGATTCCTACTGCTTTTCCTGGGTGGGACATTGTGATTGACAGCTGCCTGCAGGGGACTGTTGGGTGCATCAGATGAGGGCTTGGATGCGAAAATGCTCAGTGAACAAGGAAAACACTACAGATGTTCATTATTACTGTCATGCTTCCATCTCATTTATTGTTGTGAAGAGTTTTCATACTCGGGAGATTAATGAGAAAGAAACCCAGCTTCTTCAATGAGGTCTCCAGGCCCAGCTGGATTTTATTGTTGGGAAATAAAGAACTGGCAGATGTTTTCTCTGAGTCTTGATCAGAAATATGAAGACAACAAATCTAGGATGAGGGAAATGACTTATTAAAAAGAGAAATGGAAATCTGTGCAGGAAATGAATGTGAGGCTTAATGAGAATGGATCATTGCAAGGTGGTGTGTGTCCACAGAGATGCATATAGCCAGTGCCTTTTCATCAAGAACACACCATGACAAAGCAGCCTCCCCCCATCATGGCCACCTCTACCTGGCGCAGAGTCTGTGTTGGATGTCTCTACTGCCAGGTGTCATGTGTGAGAACGCTGGAGATTGACAGTGAGTTTTCTGGTGAAGGACCTAGGACTGTCCTTTTCCCCATCTGACTATTATTTTTCAAGCTTTATTTGGATGGATAAAATTGAAACAGAATCAGAATACCTTGGCCGGGATCACAGTTGGAGGCCCTTTTTGCCCCCTCTAGATTGTAGTTTTCTTATTTGAAAACGAGAGAGTCTGATTTAAAAATATCCAGGATTGCTCTTACGCTCACATTCTATGATTGTGATTCTTTGATGAACACGTAGGAAGCATAAAAAGTTGTATTTGTTTCCTAGGACTGCCGTAAAAGATGACCACAAACTGGGTGTCTTCAAATAACAGAAATTATGGATTCGCTCACGGTTCTGGAGACCAGAAGTCTAAAACCACGGTGTCAGCAGAGCTGTGCTTTCTCTGAAATCTGTGGGAGAGGCTCCTTCCTTGCCTTCTCCAGCTTCTAGTGGGCGGTTGTAGGAATTCCTTGGCTTGTGATGGGATGACTGTAATGTCTGCCTCCTTGCCTCCTTCTTCATAAGGCCTCTCTGTTTCTTCTCCTTTCTTCTTTTTTTTTTGGTCCCTTATAAGGACACATCTTAGAATCAGGACCCACCCTAATTCAGAATGATCTCATCTCAAGATCCTTAACTTAATTCCATCTGCAAAGACTCTTTTTACATTTTTCAAATAAATTCACCTTCTCAGATTACACATGAACATGACCTCCAGGGAGTCAACATTCAACCCGCTACAGAAGTTTTAAGTGACATCCTCTTAAAGGGATTGTTTAAACTGTGGATGGAAAAATCCATTTGTATCTTTTCGGGCTTAAATTCTGGATTCAAATCTGGCAATTTAAAATTTAGCCGTGAAAAATACAAAGGCCAGCGTTTAGAATCAGATCTGGTAGGTGGGCCGTAATAAATTTTTCATTCATTCATTCCTTCACTCACTCACTCACTCAACAATTGTGTTCTCAGAGTCCACTGCGTGTCAGCACCACAAGGCACAGATAAGCATATGCCAGTGTTCCTGCCCTCAAGGAGTTTAAAGCCCAGTGGGACTATGGATGAGAAAACAATTTAAAAGTAATACATTGAGTTCTGTAACAGCAATTAAAAGAGGTACTATGGAAAGTAGAAGAGGCATTCCTTAATGCTTTTAGAGAGATTTGGGAGGTGTCCAGAAGACACGACATTTATCTTACATTTTGAAGGATGAAGGAGTAGGGATTAATCAGAAAAGCCCTTTGGAGTGGGGATGCATTCCATGCTGCAGGAGCAGTGCATGGGAAGCCCTGAGGTGAGAGCGTAGTGAAGGCTGGTGTTACCGGAGCACAGTGTTCAAGAGGAGGAGAAGGGGGACAGGAGACAGAGAGAGGTGAGCAGGAGTAGGTGTTTGGGTTTCATTCTGGGAGGCCACTGGAGGGTTTGAACTAGCACAGAGAGATATTTTGTAAAGATTTCTCTGGCTGCTGGGCAAATAATGCATGGGTGGGAGTGAGGTTATCCCAGTGGAGGGATCTCTAGGGGAAGCCAAGCAGTCAATAGAATTGGAGGCAGGCAGGAGGTCGGCACCGTCTGTCCAGGTGATTTGTTCTCTACCTGCAGACCCCTGCTTGTGGCCTGAAGGTGAGGGGACAGTTGCAGGGACCAAGATTCAGCCTCTTGGGAGCAGTGTGGCTACAGTGAGGTAATGGGCTCTGGCTCTCCCTAAGCATGCGGGAGATGCTGGGTCTGGAGAGTGAGGCTTACTTCCAGGGCACCCCAGATACTGGCACTGAGTGTGCACCCAACTGATGCTGGGCAAGGCTGAGCCACAAGTGGTGTGCATTCTCAGAAAGTCCAGAGGCATGAGAGGGGTTGTGGAAAGAGACTCAGAGGCAAGTTTACAAGATGGTGTTGGCTGGCAGCTTTAATTATTTATATGGTTATACTAAATAAGAGTCAGAATTTTTTTTTTTTCTGGAATGAATGACTAAAGGTTAAAATCTGGTCCCTGGTCTCCAACTTCATCTGCCAACTTTACATCTGGACCCCAGTAATATGAACTACTTGATCGGTTCCAAATGCATCATGTACACTCTGCACCTTATCTCTGCCATTCCCTCTGTCTGGGACTCTGCATCCTCCGCAAGGTTAACTCACCTGGCCAATCATACAAGGGTTAAATTAACTGTACCTGACTATCATTCTTTCCCATCTCTCTCTCCCTTTTTTTCTCTTTCCCCCCTTCATTTCTCTTCTCTCTCTCTCTCTCTCTCTGTCTCTCTCTCTCTCATATTTTCCTCTTTATCCTTGGGTTTGACATGTTTGACTTCCATGTGCCTAAATATGATTTCTTTGTATTTATTCTCCTTGGGGTTCATGGAATTTTTTTACTCATCTCTTCAAATAGTTCTTCTGTAGTATTCTGTCATCCCCGAGACTCCTACCACACATGTTAAACCAATTGATGTTTTCCCGCCAATCTTGAATCTTTTTTTTTCTGCTTTTTTCACTTGTGTGTGTGTTTCAGTTTGGATACAACTCCTAAGTATTAATCTTTTGTCAGTTAGATACATTGCAAATATGTTCTTCAAGTCTGTGGCTTAACTTTTCACTCTTTTATGATACCTTTTGACATGTAGAAGTTTTAGGGTTCTTTTTTGTTTTGTTTTGTTTTGTTTCAGATGGAGTCTCACTCTGTCACCCAGGATGGAGTGCAGTGGCATGATCTCTGCTCACTGCAACCTCCGCCTCCCGGGTTCAAGCGATTTTTCTGCCTCAGCCTCCCAAAGAGCTGAGACTACAGGCATGTACCACCGCACCCAGCTAATTTTTGTATTTTTAGGAGAGATGTGGTTTCACCATGTTGGCCAGGCTGGTTTTGAACTCCTGACCTCGGGTGATCCAGCCACCTCAGCCTCCCAAAATGCTGGGATTACAGGAGTGAGCCACTGTTCCTGGCTTAATACAGTCAAATGTATCAATTTTCTGCTTTGATGATTGTGCTTCTTTGTGTTTTTCTTCCCTGATCTGCAAATTCTACCTCTGCCATTTGTCTTATTTCCATATTTGTGTGTATCTGAGCTCACTAATCTTTTTATTTGGTCTCTTTGTCTATCCTTCTATCAATAACTCACCATCTTACTAATTTTAGCTTTACAGTAAATTGTAAGTTCTTTTTGTAAGTCCTTCCATCCTGTTCTTCTTCAAGAAGAATCTTCTTATCAGGTTAATTACTGTTTTATTGTACACATTTTTACCTCATCTATTAAAATTATATCATAGTTTTTTTCTTTATTGTGCTAATGTGGTATATTTCACTGGTGGATTTTTTAATATTAAACCAGCTCTGCATATCTGTGGCAATCCCAGCTTGTTCCTGATGTACTATTTTTGTCTGCACTGCTGTTTTTGATTTTCAAGTCATGGATTTATTTTTGTTAATTATGTTTATAAATGAGGCTGCACTTATCTGGGTTTTGGTATCAAGATGATATACCAGTATAATAAAAAGATTTGAGGATCGTTGCCCCATGTACCATTATTTTCGTTTACAAAAACTTATGTAAATTGCATAATAATTTTCTTTAACATCTGTCCCTAAAAAAGGTATTTGTTGTTGGATCTGACCAGCACCTGGAGTGCAAACAACTGAGGGCAACTTTACATAAATTGTTGAGCCAAGATCATGCAGGTGGAATCCATTGGAATTCCAAAACTATAAGGTCGTAGGTAGGTCTGTGGTTATAAATTATTTTATTTTATTTTATTTTATTTATTTTTTTAATTATTATTATACTTTAAGTTTTAGGATACATGTGCACAACATGCAGGTTTGTTACATATGTATACATGTGCCATGTTGGTGTGCTGCACCCATTAACTCATCATTTAGCATTAGGTATATCTCCTAATGCTATCCCTCCCTGCTCCCACCACCCCACAACAGTCCCTGGTGTGTGATGTTCCGCTTCCTGTGTCCATGTGTTCTCATTGTTCAATTCCCACTTATCAGTGAGAACATGCGGTGTTTGGTTTTTTGTCCTCGCGATAGTTTGCTGAGAATGACGGTTTCCAGCTTCATCCATGTCCCTACAAAGGACATGAACTCATCATTTTTTATGGCTGCATAGTATTCCATGGTGTATATGTGCCACATTTTCTTAATCCACTCTATCATTGTTGGACATTTGGGTTGGTTCCAAGTCTTTGCTATTGTGAACAGTGCCACAATAAACATACATGTGCATGTGTCTTTATGGCAGCATGATTTATAACCCTTTGGGTATATACCCAGTAATGGGATGGCTGGGTCAAATGGTATTTGTAGTTCTAGATCCCTGAGGAATTGCCATACTGACATCCACAATGGCTGAATTAGTTTACAGTCCCACCAACAGTGTATAAGTGTTCCTATTTCTCCACATCCTCTTCAGCACCTGTTGTTTACTGACTTTTTAATGATCGCCATTCTAACTGGTGTGAGATGGTATCTCATTGTGGTTTTGATTTGCATTTTTCTGATGGCCAGTGATGATGAGCAGTTTTTCATGTGTTTTTTGGCTGCATAAATGTCTTCTTTTGAGAAGTGTCTGTTCATATCCTTTGCCCACTTTTTGATGGGGTTGTTTGTTTTTTTCCTGTAAATGTGTTTGAGTTCATTGTAGATTCTGGATATTAGCCCTTTGTCAGATGAGTAGGTTGCAAAAATTTTCTCCCATTCTGTGGGTTGCCTGTTCACTCTGATGGTGGTTTCTTTTGCTGTGCAGAAGCTCTTGAGTTTAATTAGATCCCATTTGTCAATTTTGGCTTTTGTTGCCATTGCTTTTGGTGTTTTAGACATGACGTCCTTGCCCATGCCTATGTCCTGAATGGTATTGCCTAGGTTTTCTTCTAGGGTTTTTATGGTTTTAGGTCTAACATGTAAGTCTTTAATCCATCTTGCATTAATTTTTGTATAAGGTGTAAGGAAGGGATCCAGTTTCAGCTTTCTCCATATGGCTAGCCAGTTTTCCCAGCACCATTTATTAAATAGAGAATCCTTTCCCCATTGCTTGTTTTTCTCAGGTTTGTCAAAGATCAGATGGTTGTAGGTATGCGGCATTATTTCTGAGGCCTCTGTTGTGTTCCATTGATCTATATCTCTGTTTTGGTACCAGTTGCATTCTGTCTTGGTTACTGTAGCCTTGTAGTATGGTTTGAAGTCAGGTAGCGTGATGCCTCCAGCTTTGTTCTTTTGGCTTAGGATTGACTTGGTGATGCGGGCTCTTTTTTGGTTCCATATGAACTTTAAAGTAGTTTTTTCCAATTCTGTGAAGAAAGTCGTTGGTAGCTTGATGGGGATGGCATTGAATCTATAAATTACCTTGGGCAGTATGGCCATTTTCACGATATTGATTCTTCCTACCCATGAGCATGGAATGTTCTTCCATTTGTTTGTATCCTCTTTCATTTCATTGAGCAGTGGTTTGTAGTTCTCCTTGAAGAGGTCCTTCATGTCCCTTGTAAGTTGGATTCCTAAGTATTTTATTCTCTTTGAAGCAATTGTGAATGGGAGTTCACTCATGATTTGGCTCTCTGTTTGTCTGTTATTGGTGTATAAGAATGCTTGCGATTTTTGCACGTTGATTCTGTATCCTCAGACTTTGCTGAAGTTGCTCATCAGCTTAAGGAGATTTTGGGCTGAGACGATGGGGTTTTCTAGGTATACAATCATGTCATCTGCAAACAGGGACAATTTGACATCCTCTTTTCCTAATTGAATGCCCCTTATTTCCTTCTCCTGCCTGATTGCCCTGGCCAGAACCTCCAACAGTATGTTGAATAGGAGTGGTGAGAGAGGGTATCCCTGTCTTGTGCCAGTTTTCAAAGGGAATGCTTCCAGTTTTTGTCCATTCAGTATGATATTGCCTGTGGGTTTGTCATAGATAGCTCTTATTATTTTGAGATATGTCCCATCAATACCTAATTTATTGAGAGTTTTTAGCATGAAGGGTTGTTGAATTTTGTCAAAGGCCTTTTCTGCATCTATTGAGATAATCATGTGGTTTTTGTCTTTGGTTCTGTTTATATGCTGGATTATGTTTACTGATGTTCGTATGTTGAACTGGCCTTGCATCCCAGGGATGAAGCCCACTTGATCATGGTGGATAAGCTTTTTGATGTGCTGCTGGATTCAGTTTGCCAGTATTTTATTGAGGATTTTTGCATCAATGTTCATCAAGGATATTGGTCTAAATTTCTCTTTTTTGGTTGTGTCTCTGCTCAGCTTTGGTATCAGGATGATGCTGGCCTCATAAAATGAGTTAGGGAGGATTCTGTCTTTTTCTATTGATTGGAATAGTTTCAGAAGTAATGGTACCAGTTCCTCCGTGTACCTCTGGTAGAATTCAGCTGTGAATCCATCTGGTCCTGGACTTTTTTTGGTTGGTAAGCTATTATTGCCACAATTTCAGAGCCTGTTTATTGGTCTATTCAGAGATTCAACTTCTTCCTGGTTTAGTCTTGGGAGGGTGTATGTGTTGAGGAATTTATCCATTTCTTCTAGATTTTCTAGTTTATTTGTGTAGAGGTGTTTGTAGTATTCTCTGATGGTAGTTTGTATTTCTGTGGGATTGGTGGTGATATGCCCATTGTCATTTTTTATTGCATCTATTTGATTCTTCTCTCTTTTCTTCTTTATTAGTCTTGCTAGTGGTCTATCAATTTTGTTGATCTTTTGAAAAAACTAGCTCCTGGATTCATTGATTATTTGAAGGGTTTTTTGTGTCTCTGTTTCCTTCAGTTCTGCTCTGATCTTAGTTATTTCTTGCCTTCTGCTAGCTTTTGAATGTGTTTGCTCTTGCTTCTCTAGTTCTTTTAATTGTGATGTTAGGGTGTCAATTTTAGATCTTTCCTGCTTTCTCTTGTGGGCATTTACTGCTATAAATTTCCCTCTACACACTGCTTTGAATGTGTCCCAGAGATTCTGGTATGTTGTGTCTTTGTTCTCACTGGTTTCAAAGAACATCTTTATTTCTGCCTTCATTTCATTATGTACCCAGTAGTCATTCAGGAGCAGGTTGTTAAGTTTCCATGTAGTTGAGCGGTTTTGAGTGAGTTTCTGAATCCTGAGTTCTAGTTTGATTGCACTGTGGTCTGAGACACAGTTTGTTATAATTTCTGTTCTTTTGCATTTGCTGAGGAGTGCTTTACTTCCAACTATGTGGTCAATTTTGGAATAGGTGTGGTGCTGAAAAGAATGTGTATTCTGTTGATTTGGGGTGGAGAGTTCTGTAGATGTCTATTAGGTCCGCTTGGTGCAGAGCTGAGTTCAATTCCTGGATATCCTTGTTAACTTTACTTTTCTGTCTCGTTGATCTGTCTAATGTTGACAGTGGGGTGTTAAAGTCTCCCATTATTATTGTGTTGGAGTCCAAGAATCTTTGTAGGTCACTCAGGACTTGCTTTATGAATCTGGGTGCTCCTGTATTGGGTGCATATATATTTAGGATAGTTAGTTCTTCGTGTTGAATTGATCCCTTTACCATTATGTAATGGCCTTCTTTGTCTCTTTTGATCTTGGTTGGTTTAAAGTCTGTTTTATCAGAGACTAGGATTGCAACCCCTGCCTTTTTTTGTTTTCCATTTGCTTGGTAGATCTTCCTCCATCCCTTTACTTTGAGCCTACGTGAGCACGTGAGATGGGTTTCCTGAATACAGGACACTGATGGGTCTTGAGTCTTTATCCAATTTGCCAGTCTGTGTCTTTTAATTGGAGCATTTAGCCCATTTACATTTAAGGTTAATATTGTTATGTGTGAATTTGATCCTGTCATTATGATGTTAGCTGGTTATTTTGCTCGTTAGTTGATGCAGTTTCTTCCTAGCCTCGATGGTCTTTACAATTTGGCATGTTTTCGCAGTGGCTGGTACCAGTTGTTCCTTTCCATGTTTAGTGCTTCCTTCAGGAGCTCTTTTAGGGCAGGCCTGGTGGTGACACAATCTCTCAGCATTTGCTTGTCTGTAAAGTATTTTATTTCTCCTTCACTTATGAAGGTTAGTTTGGTGGGATATGAAATTCTGGGTTGAAAATTCTTTTCTTTAAGAATGTTGAATATTGGCCCCCACTCTCTTCTGGCTTGTAGAGTTTCTGCTGAGAGATCCACTGTTAGTCTGAGGAGCTTCCCTTTGTGGGTAACCCGACCTTTCTCTTTGGCTGCCCTTAACACTTTTTCCTTCATTTCAACTTTGGTGAATCTGACAATTATGTGTCTTGGAGTTGCTCTTCTCGAGGAGTATCTTTGTGGCATTCTCTGTATTTCCTGAATTTGAATGTTGGCCTGCCTTGCTAGATTGGGGAAGTTCTCTTGGATAATATCCTGCAGAGTGTTTTCCAAGTTGGTTCCTTTCTCCCCGTCACTTTCAGGTACACCAATGAGACGTAGATTTGGTCTTTTCACATAGTCCCATATTTCTTGGAAGCTTTGTTCATTTCTTTTTATTCTTTTTTCTCTAAGATTCTCTTCATGCTTCATTTCATGCATTTTGTCTTCCATAGCTGATACCCTTTCTTCCAGTTGATCGCATTGGTTACTGAGGCTTGAGCATTTGTCACGTAGTTCTTGTGCCTTGGTTTTCAGCTCCATCAGCTACTTTAAGGACTTCTCTGCATTGGTTTTTCTAGTTATCCATTTGTCTAACTTTTTTTCAAAGTTTTTAACTTGTTTGCCATTGGTTCAAACTTCCTCCTTTAGCTCGGAGTAGTTTGATCTTCTGCAGCCTTCCTCTCTCAACTTGTCATAGTCATTCTCTGTCCAGCTTTGTTCTGTTGCTGATGAGGAGCTGCGTTCCTTTGGAGGAGGAGAGGTGCTCTGATTTTTAGAGTTTCTGGTTTTTCTGCTCTGTGTCTTCCCTATCTTTGTGGTTTTATCTACCTTTGGTCTTTGATGATGGTGACATACATACGGGTTTTTGGTGTGGATGTCCTTTCTGTTTTTTAGTTTTCCTTCTAACAGTCAGGACCCTCCACTGCAGGTCTGTTGGAGTTTACTGGAGGTCCACTTCAGACCCCGTTTTCCTGGGTATCAGCAGCGGTGGCTGCAGAACAGTGGATATTGGTGAGCCGCAAATGCTGCTGCCTGATCATTCCTCTGGAAGTTTTGTCTCAGAGAAGTACCCGGCTGTATAAGGTGCCGGTCCGCCCCTACTGGGGGGTACCTCCCTGTTAGGCTCCTTAGTGGTCAGGGACCCACTTGAGGAGGTGGTCTGCCCGTTCTCAGATCTCAAGCTGCATGCTGGGAGAACCACTACTCTCTTCAAAGCTGTCAGACAGGGACATTTAAGACTGCAGAGGTTATTGCTGTCTTTTGTTTGTCTGTGCCCTGCCCCCAGAGGTGGAGCCTACAGAGGCAGGCAGGCCTCCTTGAGCTGTGGTCGGCTCCACCCAGTTTGAGCTTCCTGGCCGCTTTTTTTACCTACTCAAGCCTGAGCAATGGTGGGTGCCCCTCCCCCAGCCTCACTGCTGCCTTGCAGTTAGATCTCAGACTGCTGTGCTAGCAATGAGCGAGGCTCCATAGGCGTAGGACCCTCTGAGCCATGTGCAGGATATAATCTCCTGGTGTACCGTTTGTTAAGCCTGTTGGAAGAGCGCAGTGTTAGGGTGGGAGTGACCCGATTTTCCAGGTGCCGTCTGTCATCCCTTTCTTTGACTAGGAAAGGGAATTCCCTGACCCCTTGCACTTCTCGGGTGAGGCGATGCCTCGCCCTGCTTTGGCTCACTCATGGTGTACTGCACCCACTGTCCTGCACCCACTGTCCGGCGCTTCCCTGTGTGATGAACCCTGTACCTCAGTTGGAAATGCAGAAATCACCCATCTTCTGCGTCGCTCATGCTGGGAGCTGTAGACTGGAGCTGTTCCTATTTGGCCATCTTGGCTCCACCCCTTTGATTATAAATTCTTAGGGAAGCCTTTTTTTCTTCCACCCAGAGCCCTAGCCAAGGAGGATCATTTTCTTTTGTGTCTTCTTTTGCTTTTTTTGTTTCTTTTTCCCATACTGCCCTATGTCTGAGTCAGTAGCTCTAAGAATGCCTGGCTTTACAGTCTCAGTTGCAGCTTTTCTTCTTGCATAGACCCAGGGCCTTGGCTCATCTCCTTGGGGTGATTAAAACACATGCCTCTTTTTACTCATATCAGCAAGTCTGCTCAGGGCAGCCATGGGTTAGCTTCAGCTTACCACTCTTATTTTCAACTCTTCATTATTGGCAACCGCAGCTACAGGTGTGTTTATTTCATGCAGCATTTGTACAGTAACATAGTGGGTGTTTTCAGGATATGCAATTTGCCATATTGCTGAGGTCCTAGTGTTCCCATTTTATAAGTGAGAAAATGAGGTTTGGAGTGACATGAAGTACCTGCTCAGTATAACACAGTTGTGAGTGGAGGAGCTGGAACTCAGAGGCCTCCAAGATCCCTGCTCTCTGTAATACATGTTATTTTCTATAGTAACAAATTCAGGCATGTAGATGCCCTAGGCTTTCAGCTTTAGTAATGCCCCAAGGATAGCTGTTTAGCTTTCTAGAGCTCATATGTTACAAAGAAAGGGACCTGAAGACATAATGTGCCCTGATGTGTCTTATGGTAGATGTTCATTATTTTGCTAAGAAAGAAACACGTATTTCCATTTGATTTCTAAACATAGGGCCACCATTGCAAAACTGTACTGGTCAATTTAACTCCTCATGTTAGTCAAATTTGACACCTGGGAGACACTTGTCTTTTTATGCCATGAATATTATTGCTGGACTACTATTCAGTGACTTATTTTAGAGGTTTCCCAAAAGTTGAATATAAAGATACTGTGCCTTACTATTCACAATAGCAAAGACTTGGAACCAACCCAAATGTCCATCAGTGATGGACTGGATTAAGAAAATGTGGCACATATACACCGTGGAATACTATGCAGCCATAAAAAGGGTGAATTCATGTCCTTTTTAGGGATATGGATGAAGCTGGAAAGCATAATTCTCAGCAAACTATCGTGAGGACAAAAAACCAAACACCGCCTGTTCTCACTCATAGGTGGGAATTGAACAATGAGAACACTTGGACGCAGGAAGGGGAACATCACACACTGGGGACTGTTGTGGGGTGGGGGGAGAGGGGAGGAGGGATAGCATTAGGAGATATACCTAATGTAAAGGACGAGTTAATGGGTGCAGCACACCGACATGGCACATGTATACATATGTAACAAACCTGCACATTGTGCACATGTACCCTGGAACTTAAAGTATGATAATAAAAAAATAAAATAAAGATACTATGCCTTTCTGTATCAATACTTTTGCAGTGTGCTAACACCATTGCTCTCCTGCTGCTGTTGCTGCTACAGGCAAGCATTTTACTGAATTTGTGGTTTATGGAAGGTTTCTACCTTCATTAACTCAGTTCTCAAAAGAATTCTGGCCATCAGTTGCTATTACTCAAATATAAGATATATATAGAACGGGGTTCAGAGAAGTTAATTTTATTAAGGTCACACAACTAAGAAGGCTCAAAGTTGAGTGTTAAAAATCTTGTTGAATACATAGATTAGTGAATGAATTATGACAAGGGATCTGATGTCTTCCTGCCTGTCTGTTCTTCCTTCCTTCCTACCTACCTTCCTTCCTTCCTTCCTTCCTTCCTTCCTTCCTTCCTTCCTTCCTTCCTTCCTTCCTTCCTCCCTCCCTTCCTTTAAACTTTTCTTCTCTCCTTCCTTCTTTTCTTTCTTAATTATATAAGCATATGCAAGGGTTAGCAAAAACCCAAAGCATAATAGAACTCATAGTGAAACATAGGTTTAACATTTTTAAAAATAATTTTCTCAGCATAATTTCACTCTTCCTTGATCCAGATATCAAATACAGAGGCAGGTTAAAAGCCCTATTTCCCACGGTCTTAAAAACCCAGATTCTCAGTCTGGCTCTCTCTTAATTTATTGTTTTTGTTTTTCTTTTAGTTTCAGAGGTATACATGCAAGTTTGTTATATAGGTAAATTGCATGTCACAGGGGTTTGGTGTACAGATTATTTCATCACCTATGTAATAAGCACAGTACTCGATAGATGGTTTTTGATCCTCACTCTCCTCCCACCCTCAAGGAGGCGCTGGTTTCAATTGTTCCCTTCTTTGTATCCATGTACACTCAATGTTTAGCTCCTACTTATCAGTGAGAACATGCAGTATTTGGTTTTCTGTTCCTGGGTTAGTTTGCTTAGGGGAATGACCTCCAGTTGCATCCATGTCCCTGCAAAGGACATGATCTCATTCAGTTTTATGGTGGCATACTTTTCCATGGTGTATATGTGCCATATTTTCTTTATCCAGTCTGCTATTGATGGACATTTAGTTGGATTCCATGTCTTTGCTATTGTGAATAGTGCTGCAGTGAACATGCATGTGCCTTTATAATAAAACAAATTATATTCCTTTGAGTATATACCCAAAGGTAGAATTAGTGGAATGAATGGTAATTCTGTTTTAAGTTCTTTTTTTTTTTTTTTTTTTTGAGACAGAATCTCGCTCTGTCACCCAGGCTGGAGTGCACTGATGTGATCTTGGGTCACTGCAACCTCCGCCTCCCGGCTTCAAGAGATTCTCCTACCTCAGCCTCCTGAGTAGCTGGGATTACATGCATGTATCACTACGCTTGGCTAATTTTTGTAGTTTTAGTAGAGAGGAGGTTTCGCCATATTGGCCAGGCTGGTTTCAAACTCCTGACCTCAAGTGATCCACCCGCCTCGGCCTCCCAAAGTGCTAGGATTACAGGCGTGAGCCACCGTGCCCAGCTGTTTTAAGTTCTTTAAGAAATTGCCAAACTACTTTCCACAGTGACTAAACTAATTTACTTTTCTACCAGCAGTGTATAAGCATTCCCTTTTCTCCTCAACCTCTCCAGCAATTGTTATTTTTTGACTTTTTAATAATAGCCATTCTGACTGGTGTGAGATGGCATCTCATTGTGGTTTTCTTTTGCATTTATTTAGTGATGAGTGATGTTGAACATTTTTTCATATGCTTGTTGGTCGTGTGTATGTCTTTTGAAAAGTGTCTGTTCATTTCCTTTGCCCACTTTTTAATGGGGTTGTTTGCTTTTTGTTTGCTAATTTAAGTTCCTTACAGATCCTGGATATTAGACCTTTGTCAGATGCATAGTTTGCAAATATTTTCTCTCATTCTGTAGGTTGTCTTTTTACTCTGTTGATAGTTTCTTTTGCGGGACAGAAGCTCTTTAGTTTAATTAGGTTCCATTTGTCAATTTTGGTTTTGTTGCAATTGCTTTTGGCATCTTCATCATGAAACCTTTTCTAGGCCCAATGTCTAGAATGCTGTTTCCTAGGTTTTCTTCAAGGGCTTTTATAGTTTTAGGTTTTACATTTAAGTCGTTAATCCATCTTGTGTTGGTTTTTGTATATGGTGTAAGGAAAGAGTTAAGTTTCAGTCTTTCTGGAAAGGGTCCAGTTTTAATCTTCTGCATGTGGCTGGTTAGTTATCCCAGCACCATTTGTTGAATAGGGATTCCTTTCCTTACTGCTTGTTTTTGTTGACTTTGTTGAAGGTCAGATGGTTGTAGCTGTGCAGCTTTATTTCTGGGCTCTGTATTCTGTTCCATTGATCTGGTATTTTTGTACCAGTACCATGCTATTTTGTTTACTGTAGCCCTTTAGTATAGTTTGAAGTCAGGTAAGCATGAAGCCTCCAGTTTTGTTCTTTTTGCTTAGTATTCCTTAGTTATTCAGGCTCTCTCTTTTGGTTCCATATGAATTTTATAATTTTTTTAATTCCATGAAGAATGTCATTGGTAGTTTGATAGGAATAGCTTTGAATCTGTAAACTTTTGAGCAGTATGGTCATTTTAACAATATTGATTCTTCCTATCCATGAGCATGGAATATTTTTCCATTTGTTATGTCATCTCTGATTTCTTTCAGCAGTGTTTTGTAATTCACGTTACACAGATCTTTCACCTCCCTGGTTAGCTGTGTTTCTAGGTATTTCATTTTTTTCTCTTAATTTGTTTTGTAACATTTGATAATATGTCAAACTGCATCTGGGCACTAATTTCTTCATCTTGAATGACAGTTCTGTCCTTGCTGCTTCTCAGCAGGTAATGCAGGGGTAGAACAATGTCCATGAAAGCAACTTGAGAAGGTACAGTTGTAAATGGATATGTTTAAGGATTATGTTAAGAAGTTCATATTCCTTGAACTTTTCCAACCTGAAGATCCCCCAACGAGTCTTTGAAGAAATCCAGCTCAAGCAGCAACAACCCCCCATCAGATGTCTCAGTTGAGGAGCTCCTAGGAAGAAAATTTAAAAAGAGTAGTTTCTGTGATGAGATACCTTTTCTATGCTCAGAGTCACTACTTTTTATCCCCTTCCCCACATATAAATATGTGCCAAAGATTTGTCATTATTGGCCATAAAAGCATTATTCAGTGGCTCTCCACCATGTTTTAGGGCCAGTGCTAGACACATTGGATAAAGAACCTCCAATTCTTATAAGAACATTGTGAGATCAATTTCGGTGTTCCTGTTTTACAGGAAAATAAAGCTAAAGCTCATGGCACAATGTCCCATTAGTTGTTCCCATTGAAAGAAGCTGGACCATCAGTGGCACCCATTGGAAATGATTGCCAGTGCTGCTGCACATCATCCCAGAGTGCATTACTGGGAAGGCAGATGATGAGTGGCCCCATCTGCAGGTCTTTATTTCTGTGTCCTCCTCTTGTCCCTTGCAGTTTGGTCAATCTGTTTTTCAGCCTGTCCACTCTATTACACTTAGCCATCCCCTCTACTCTAGGCTGTCATTGTCACTTATTCACTTTTAGGAGAATGAAAAAGGTAAGGAGAAAGATCCTGTGCTGTTTGAAGTCACACCTGAACACAAATCCCAGTAGTACCACTTCTAACCTGCGTGGTCTTAGGCGATCTTTTTAGCCTATGCTTTGGTTTTCCCATCTGCAAACTGGAGGCAGTAGTACCATAGAATCAGCATGAAGGTTACATGCAGTGATTAATAAAGTGCCTGGTGTGTTGCCTGCCATTGAGTAAGGGCTGAGTATGTGCGAGATTCTCTCCCCTTGTCTCACCAGGATTGTTGTAACCCGCTCACTGTGCACCATGTCTCCATTCTATTTGTCTCTTCTAATCCTTCTGCCACCACTGCCAACTTACTCTTCCTAAGGGCTTGTGCTTGCTCTTTGTGGCCCCAAAAGATCTATTAAAATAATTCCAGACCTTTCTTCCTAGGTTGTCAGGATTTACAAAATTTGGCCTCAACTCTTTCCAATGCTGTCTTCAGGAAGCCTCTGGGAAGCCCTCCAGGAGCATTGGGTTGATCCACATGCTCTGTTGCTTCCTGAGTAGAGCTTACATTGCTCCCTCTGTCTAGAGGGAGTTCCCTTCAACTCTGCTTGAAGAAAGCCTACCTGGAACCAAACCTGGGCCTCCAACTAGACAATATATTTGAGACCAGGTGTTGTTCTTGGGCAAAGGCGATTACTTTTTCATCTGAAATTTCCAGAATCTAGCAAAATGTTTAGATTTGTTGTTGTTGTTGTTGTTGTTTAGACAGGGTCTGACTCTGTCACCCAGACTGGAGTGCAGTGGCACGATCTCAGCTCACCGCAACCTCCTTCTCCCAGGCTCAAGCGATTCTCCTGCCTCAGCCTCCGAAATGGCTGGGATTACAGGTGCGTGCCACTACTGCCCAGCCAAGTTTTGTATTTTTAGTAGAGATGAGGTTTCACCATGTTGGACAGGCTGGTCTCAAACTCCTAACCTCAGGTGATCCACCCACCTCGGCCTCCAAAGTGCTGGGATTACAGGCGTGAGACACTGCACCCAGCCTGCAGAGTTTCAGTTTTGCAAGAAGGAAAAGGTCTGGAGATCTGTAGCACAATGTACATAGAGTTAACACTACTGAACTGTACACTTGGAAACATCTAAGATGGTGAATTTTATATGTTTTTGTCACAACTAAAGAGAAAAGGTTAACTGGGGATGGATAATGGTATCTACTCTAAAGTGTTGTTTTGAGCATTACATGAAATAATGTATGTAAAGTGCCAGGCAACAGGCCCCAGACTAGGAACTGCTCAAAAAATTATAGCCACCGTGCGTGGCTAATTTTTGTATTTTTAGTAGAGACAGGGTCTCACCATGTTGGCCAGGCTGGTCTTGAACTCCTGACCTCGTGATCCACCCGCCTCAGCCTCCCAAAGTGTTGGGATTACAGGCGTGAGCCACTGTGCCCAGCTGAATCTTTTTTTGTAGATAAAGGACTACTGAGATATTCTATTTTTGCCTATGTTAGCTTTCGGTAAGGTATGTTTTTCTAGAATTTTTAAATTTATCTATGTTTGCAAATTTATACCTCTTTATTATATTTTTAATGTCTGTAGGCTCTGTAATGTCCCCTTTTCCATTCCTAGTGTTCTTTGTGTTTTTTTCCTATTTTCTTTATCAGTGTTACTGTGGGTTTATCAATTTTATTGGTGGTTTTCAAGAATTTGCTTTTGGGTTTATTGATCTTCTATATTGTTTATTTGTTTTTATTTCATTGATTCCACCCCTTAAAAAATTATGTCCTAACTTGTCATTTTTAATATTCTATTCCTAATTTTTGTATATAAATACTTACATACATACATTGTTGATTTTCAGCATTTTTTTTCTGACAATGCACTTAAGGTGATAATTTTCTTCCCAGCATGGTTTTATGTAAGTTTTAATATGCCATGTATTCATTATAGGTGAGTTCAGATTATTTTCCAATTTCTATAGTAATTTCCACTTCTAATTTTTGAGAAGTGTGTTATAAAATTTCCAAACATTTGGAGATTGTTTAGCTTTTTCTTATTGAGTTCCAGCTTAATTTAACTGTAACTAGAACATAAACTGTACAGTTATAGTGGACTTGGCCAGAGTCAGGTCTTGTTTTCTGGCCTCACAGGTGCTATGTTCTTTGACACAGTTTTTTAGGTTTTACCCATACATTTTGTAAGGTTGTAAAAAATAAAGGATGAGACTCATGAAATAAAGTAGATGTTCTTTGTTTTTCTTTTGAGTTATTCTCAAGCCTCAATAAACTTTCCATATATAGGATTCTTAGCTTATTACTAGTTGGTATCATTCACTAATATATATATATGTTTATTGAGCATCTTATGCACATGAGGCCTTTAACTAGATATTGGGTATTTCACAATGATTAAAATCAGACATCACCCCAGACCTCACAGCCCAGTAGGGCAGACTGATATTAATCAATTAAACAGCAGAATGGTATGTTACTTTAAACTGAGATTAATGGTATGTTACTTTAAACTGAGATAAATGCTCTAAAGGAAATGAACATGCTTCTCTGAGAGCATATAGCAAAGGAATCTTGCCTGCTTGTTCAGGGTTTTGGGGGATCAGGAGGGCAGTTCTCTTACCTATGTATTAAGTTGTCATTGTATGTAGAAAATTTAATGAGATTTGATGTCTAAAAAGATGAATTGCTTGCATCTTGCAAAGCTCTTGTATTATTTTCAGATCATCACAACCATTTGATTTTCTCCTACTGATTAATATGTATCTCATAGGTTTTTTTAAATTTATTTTTTATTTAGGTAACATACATACAGCAAAGTGAATTGGTCTTAACCAGATAGCTCAACACATTTCTTACATACATATGCTTGTCGGTGACAACCACCCAAATCAAGATACGGAACATTATCAGAGGGTCCCTCATGCCTCATTCCCAGTCAATGCCCCACCAAGAGGCTACTACTGCTATTCCAATCTCTAACACAAGCCATCTGCGTAACCTCTTTTTAACTTAATGTGAATGGAATCATATAATAAATACTGTTTTATGTTTGGCTACTTTCACTTAACATAATGTCTTTGAGATTCATAATGTCATTGATATACTATTGTATATAAGTTTAATCTTTTTCATTATTGCCTACTCTTCTACTATATGAATATACTCTATTTAATCATTCTACTGCTGTTGGACAATGGGGTTGGTTTAATTGGGGGATTCTATGAATAAAGCTGCTGTGCACATTCTTATCCATGGTGAACATACGCATGCATGTCCCTTGAGTATTTTATACCTCATAAAGGTGTTGAATGGAGTGACACACACAGAGCCCGTAGCATGTGTGAAGCTGACACATGCCCCAAAGTGCTATATTGACTATACTGAATCTAAATGGTTACTTTGGTTGTCTAATACTCTGAGATTAGAAGAAGGAAATTGTGGGAATTGAGCTGTAGGGGTGATGTTTGATCTCATCAGACCTTCCCATCCATGTTAGAGATGCAGATACTGAGCCTAGAGAGAGGACATGACCTTCCCGGGACCACACAGTTATCAGTGGCCTCTGATCACCACATGGCACTTGCAGATGTTTCATCTCACAAGCTTAGTGTCTTTTAAGCCAGAGACCATCTTTCATAGATGTGTGACATTTACTTCACAGAAAATTTTATCATAGACTAAAAACTATCAAAAGAGTGTTTAAGCTTGGTCTCCCAGGAGAAGGGCTTGAGGTCATCTAAGGAAGTTTTGGTTGTGGGGTATGGATCTGGAAGGAGTTTGGTACTTAAAAGAACACACCCAGAGCAAGCAGTCTTCAAGTAATTCTTCCCCGGCTCTAGCTTTCCACTCTCCCACTGCTTCCCCTGTTGAGTAAATGAGCTATATCCATCAGTGTAAACTCAAAGCATTACTTGCTCTCTGAACCGTCAGCCAGGTTTAAGCACCAGCTGCCCCGTCTGTCTAAATGCTCCTCCACTGCTTTTCTAGCCTTAAGGCCTGAGTCAGACATCCTGTCCCCTGCGAAGTCTTCTCCTGCCTCCTGTCTGAGCCTGAGTGACTGAGTATCTCTCTGTGTGTTCCTGAAGCCTTTTATTAGCTGAACTTGGCTCTGGGCACAAGATGGACTAGGCTTCTTGGATATATGCTCCATGGAACCCTGAACTTCTTAAAAATGAACGATGTCAGGTGTTTTTCTTGTCTCCTTTCCTGGTGAGATGGAGCTGTGAGGATGGATATTGGGGCTGCCTTGACTCCACTAGCTCCTTGACAACTAGCACAGAGCAGGTACCCAGTGAATGAGTAAGTGGATGAATAAGTGAGTGAGTGGATGAATAAGTGGGTGAGGGGATGAATATGTGAGTGAGTGGATGAATAAGTGAATGAGTGGATGAATAAGTGAATGAGTGAATGAATATGTGAGTAAATGAATGAATAAGTGAGTGAATGAATGAATGAGTGAGTGAACAAGTGAACGTGAGGGTGAATGAGTGAGTGGGTGAATGAATGAGCGGGCAACTGAGTGAATGAATGAGTGAGTGCACAGGTGAGTGAGTGAATGAGTGAGTGAGCAAGTGATTATGTGAGTGAATGAATGAGTGAATGATTGAGTGAATGAATGAGTGAATGATGAAGTGAGTGAGTAAATGAGTGAGTGAATGAATGAATGAGTAGATGAGTGAGCAAGTGAATGAGTGAGCAAGTAAGTGGGTGAGTGAATGAGTAAGTGAATGAGTGAATGAGTGAGTGAATGAATGAGTGAATGATTAAGTGAGTGAATGAGTGAGTGATGAGTGGATGGATGCAGAGCACTGTCCAGAACATGGTAGCTCCTCCCCACTCCACCATAACCATCTCACCAGCCACCATCATCAGCCCTATGGGTCTTCTTGCTTCTACCCTTGGGCTCCTGCATCCTCTGCTCACAGCAGCTAAGGAGACACGTTTCCATCATATCACATCACGCTTCTGCCATGATCGCTTCAGTGACTCCCACTTCACTTAAACAATACAGTGGGGGCTGGGCATGGTGGCTCAAGCCTGTGTAATCCCAGCACTTTGGGAGGCCAAGGTGGGTGGATCACCTGAGGTCAGGAGTTTGAGACCAGCCTGGCCAACATGGCAAAACGCTGTCTTTACTAAAAATACAAAAATTAGCTCTGTGTGGCGGCATGGGCCTGTAATCCCAGCTACTCGGGAGGCTGATGTAGGAGAATAGTTTGAGCCTGGGAGGCAGAAGTTTCAGTGAGCCAAGATCGTGCCACTGCACTCCAGCCTGAGAGAAAGAGCAAGACTCCATCTCAAAAAAGAAAAAGAAAAAAAGAAAAAAAACAATACAGCAGGGGAAATGTGGGCTGTGGTCAGACTTCCCGAGTTCAAATCTTACTCCTTTCTGTGACTTGGCTCAGTTACTTCACTCTCTGTGCCTGTGGATGGCTCGCTGAATGTTATGTGGCTCAATTCATAGGAAACACTCAAAACAGCACCTAGCGGATAGTCAGGGACTTCATCGCTATTCATTATTAGTGTTGTGAGGATCAAGTCAGAATAAAACAAAAAATTATAGTGATATTGAGAAGTGACACATCTGAGTTAAACGTGCAGGGGGACAGTGCCTGGGTTCAAGCCCCAGTGTGTCACTTACTGCCCATGTGCCCTTACAGTACATTGGGGTGATAATATTTTGTGCCTCATAGGTTTGGAGACAATTATGAGATTGAATGTCTGAACATAATTTGAACAGTACCTAACATACCCCCAGTTCTCAATAAATGTTGCTGGTGAATGTTCATTTCATTAGGCTCCACAGCCTCTCAGGGCTCACAGAGCCTGTGCCCTGCCTCCCTGTTGCAAGCGTTCCGTGCATAAAGCTAAGCTCTTGGCTGCTCCCAGAACTGCTCCATTCTCCCCAGTGTGAGCCCTCAAACATCAGTGATCCATGATTATCCTCTTCCTTTCCCACCCTACATCTAATCCATGAAGAAATCTTGTCTCCTCCTTCAGCACATCCAGGATCCAGTCACTTCTCAGCATCTCCCCAGCTTCCACCCTGGTTCAAGTCACCATCACCTCTCTCCTGGGTGATTGTAACAGCTTCATGCCTGGTTACCCCAATTGTCCCTTTGCCCCTGTTAGTCAATTCCCAGTGCAGCTGCAGGGGATCCTATTAAAACCTCAGCCAGGTCATGTCATTCCTCTCTTCTCAACCAGCCCCAGGTTCTCCATCTCACTCGGAGGTAAAGCTGAATTTCCAGCAATCGTCTATGAGGCTCCATGTGGTGAGTGCCTGTTATCTCTCCAGCCTCATCTGCTTCACTCACTTCTTTCCAGGCTTGTAAAAGCCTGTTTTTCAGGCACCTGCCTTTGAGCCTGTTGTACCCTCTTCCTAGAATGCTCTGCCCCAGAGTTTTACATGACAACCTCCCTTTCTCCTCCAGTCTTTACTCAACAACATCTTCTCAAGAAAGCCTTCCCTGGCAACCTCATCTAAAATTGCCACCCTCAAAAATTACCCACACACCTCCTCTATTTTTTTCTATAGCAAGAATCAACATTATATATTTATATTTATGTTTACCTTTTTATTTACTGGCTACCTCATTTAGAGTGTAAGCTCCATGAGGACAGGAATTCTTATGTCTGTTTCTTCTCCAAAATGTTCTTGGCACCTAGAGGTATGCTTGGCACACATTAGGTGCTCAGAAAGTTCATGTCACTTGGTGGATATTCACAGAATGCAGGCAGAGGCAGAGTAGCTTTGTGATTTAGAGCCCAGGCTCTGGTATTCGACTGCTAGAATTTGATCCTGGTTCTGCCACCTATTGACTATGGATTTCCGTTAAGTTACTCAACATCTTTGGACCTCAGTTCCCTCATTCTCTCTTTATAAAGCAGAGAGAATAACAGTACTGTGTCACACAGTTACATAAAAATTTAATGAGTTAACATTTATGAAGCACTCATAATATTGCCAGACACACAGTAAATGCTCAGTGAGTGTTATCTTCACTATAATTTTCAAAACCTGTTTCCTTCCTCATTCTTTCTAATAGCCTTTAGGATGCCAGGCAGAAACCATGTGCTGGGATGAGAGCTCTGAGGCCCAACTCTTCCTTTAACAAGATGCACTCTAGTCAGGGAGACAGACGCACCAGACTATTTTAATGCAAAATAATAAGGGGTATATTTAGGAGGGTCTCAGAACACAGAGTTTGGAGCTTATAATCCTGCTCGCAGAGGTCAGGAAGGTTTACTGGAGAAGATGCTGTCTGAACAAGACCTGGGGGTGTGGTAGGTGGGGATGGGGCAAGAGTTTCCACACTGAGGAGCATAAGTGTGCAGAGCTAGGGGAATCTTCCTGAGGGGGGGTCAAGTCATGCCAACCTGCTTCTTATGACTTATCCTCCAATGTGGAAACCATATGCAAACATACACACATACACACACACACACGCACACGTGCACGCACACACACACGGAGCCGTACACACTAAAATTTACAGCTTCACGAGATTTTCTGCAAGATTATATTAAGTGAAAAAGGGAGAAAGCTGCCAAATGCTTCATGCTCTGAGTTTTCCCAACATTGCAAATTAGCAACACCCTTAACAAATGTCCATTAATCTCCCAGCACTGGGCATGTCAAGATTTTCATATGTTAAACAGAAATTTGCTCAGCTTATGACACATACAAGACCCCAGCTGAGCGCTGAGATGATTGAGATGGGGCCAGAAGGAGCACACAGCTAGTGTGGGCAGCAGACAGCTAAACAGGAGATGACAATACAGTAAGATCAGTGCTCGCAGAGACACAGACAGGCCCCTCAGGACGCAAAGGACCCAGCCTTTAACTCTGCCTGGAATGACCGGGGAGGCTTCCTGGAGGAGGCACCATTTGATCTAAAACTTGCTGGGGGAATAGGAGTACACTAGGCTACTAACTTTGAAAGGGCCTTCTGGAAAAGGAGAGAAACATAAGTAAAGGCAGGGACGTGAGAAGTGAATGGCCTATTAGGGAAGGAAAGACATCTGGCACATGTCAGACGGGAGAGGTGGGATACTAATCTGGAGAAGTAGCCTGTGTTGCAAGTTGGTTTCTTAGGAAGCAGACTCTGACATGGAAGTTAGCAAGAAGGAGGTCTACTAAGGGGTGTCTAATTAGGAAGGCCCTAGGGACCAACATCTGGGGAAGGCAACAGAAAGGAAGGGGGCAGAGTTGTTTAGAGGGAGTAGCTGGCCTTGGTGCAGTCTCAGTGAGGCTTCAGTGGACCCCAGGGTGGTCTGAAGCTGGATGGCTCTTCAGAGTTGTCCTGAGTTGAGGTGAGAGGGCCAGGCCTTTATGCACCCATGTCAATCAGCCAATCACTGTGGGCTGCCCAAGGAAGGGGGACACGTTGGTCAAGGCGGCTCTTTAGTGGAGACAACTCCAAACATGGCTGATAGCTGAAGGCTGTCTCCTCTCAGTACCTCCAGCAGCTGGGGGGCGAGCCTGCAGTCCTATAAGGGGGTCCGGGTAGCACATCATGACATCCTTCACTACAGCCTGGCCCTGCTCATGAAGGTGGCTGCTCATTAAGGCTTCGTGCACCAATTATGAGGCTTGCAACTTATCCTGAGGCTGCCGACAGCCATCAAAATTCTATGAACATGGAAAATATATGCATCCAGATTTGTATATTAGAAAGACTTGCTGTGTGTCAGCTAGAGGAGAGACGAAGGAGGCAGCAATACCTGTTAGGAAGCTATTGTGTCAGTCTAGGTGAATGGTGTTGAGGCCCTTAGCAAAGATGGTGGCAATGGGGATATAGAGGATTTGTGGGTAAAGGAGAGTAATGACAATCACCATTTATTAAGACCCTGTCACACATCAGACTCTTTAACCTATTGTTTCTAACCTGCCCAGTAGTTCTGCAGAGTTTGCATTTTTACACATAAATTGAAGATCAGAGAGGTTTAATAACTTGCCTAAGGTTACACAGTAGTAAGGAACTGAACTAGGAATAAACCCCAATTTCATCCTTAAAATTCTGCACTATTTCTTATGAACTACCACCTAGGACAGCTCCCCCAAACACTGGACACTCAGAAAGGTAGTTGTTATTATTATTGTTATTATTATTACTTTATTATTATTACTATGACTACTACTATTGCCAACATTATCTTAATAAAATCAAGGCCCCGGTACCAGATCTGCATTTTATTAGCAGAAGCACTGAGGATTGCTGACAGCTAATGATGATCTTGACAGTATTCGCAGCAGAAATATTCAAATGCAATTAAAAACTGCAAATATAATAATCAAATGTAAATGAGCAGCAGCCAACAATTACTGGTGCATATACAATTAGCACATATGGTAATTTAGCAGGAGGCATAACTCGCTCCATTTCATTGCCTCTAACAAATTGCTGATTCTCCGTCGTGCCTCCCTCCTTCCCCTCATCTTTGCTGCTAACAGTTTCCTCCCCATGTTTGTCCACTCTCTCTGTTGGCAGACACAAGTCTAATTAACTGGACTCTCTTGGAGCCAAAATGCATCCAGTTGCAGCTCAGAGGAAGAGCAGGTCCCATTGCCTGTCTGGAGCTGGCAGGCAGGCATAATTTTAGAATGTAGCATCCTCTCTCCCTTGCTGAAAAATAACTAAGCTTATAAAATAGCTTCCAGTGTGGAATTCTACACAGCCATTAAAAATGGCAGTGTGTGCCGGGCGCAGTGGCTCACACCTGTAATCCCAGCACTTTGGGAGGCCGAGGCAGGCGGATCACAAGGTCAGGAGATCAAGACCATCTGGCTAACATGGTGAAACCCCGTCTCTACTAAAAAAAAAAAAAATTAGCCGGCCGTGGTGGCGGGCGCCTGTAGTCCCAGCTACTCGGGAGGCTGCGGCAGGAGAATGGCGTGAACCTGGGAGATGGAGCTTGCAGTGAGCAGGGATCGTGCCACTGCACTCCAGCCTGGGCGACAGAGCGAGACTCCATCTCAAAAAAAAAAAAAAAATGGCAGTGTGGACTCATATGAAGAGACAGCCACAATATATGGTTAAGTATTAACCAATTTTTTAAAGCATATTAAAACAGCATGTAAATGTGATCTCATTTTCATATTAAATACATAGAGAGGACTTTGCTGGCAGGAAAGACACCATTATAATCATTGCAGAGCTTATCTCTGAGTGATAAATTGTTGGTTGATGTTCATTTAATACTCATTGCTTTTTTGCTATTTTATATGTATTTTTCACAGTAAACATTTATTACATTAATAATGAAAGTAAAATCATTGAGTTGGGTAACACCCACATGGAAGAAGACTTAGCTCAGATATCAACTATCCCCTGAAGCCTCCCCTGATCACCCTCCCACCCATCCCAAAAACTTAAGCATCTCTTGCTCATACCTCTGTTTAGCATCTTATTTTATTGAATTGGCTTGTAGAGCCCTCTTTCCACTAGACTATGAGCTCCTAAAAGACAGCACCCAACACCGGGAGGGACTTAGGTAATGTTTGTGGATATGAATTGGTGCTCTCTAAGGCAGTGAAAAAAGAGGGACCTCTCACTGGAGGACAGCCCACGTGTATCAATGCAGTCCCATATAATTCTTATGTATCATCCGTGCAGTCCCATATAATTCATATGTAGCATCCGGGTGTGTCTGAGGCTTGATTTGGTTTTCACTGGGCCAGTGGTCCCAGCTGATGATAAGATCACATTCTGCCCAGTCTCCTAAAGCCACAGCAGGGGTGTCATCCCATGTGTTCCCATTAGCCTCTCCCTGCAGAACTCTGTGAAATGTTGACAGTCTGTTGGAGCACTGATGTCCATCTCTGTAGTGAAATGCAGAGGATGTTCTACTTATTATCCCCAAAATACAGCTGCCACAGAACTCAGCTCCATCCACCTATGCAAAATCACCTGGCCTGGAAAACCATCACACTGGCTAAGAGTGATCAGGAAAGCATGCCCTTGTGTTGGATGGCTTCATTCTTTTCTTTTCCCTAAACAGTATTTTACATATTATGATACGCAGACATCTTAGTGTCCTGTTTGATTTTGACGTGTGTATTCAATTGATCAGTTTTGAGAAAGGACCAGTTTTGACAAAGGTACTCTTATAACTCACACTCACTTTATAGACTATTTCTATCATCCCCCAAATTTCTCTGATGTAGCCTCCTTGTTAATCCCTATCACTATTATCACTGCCTTCCAGGAAACCACTGTGCTTATTTCTATCACCATACATTGGTTTTGCCTATTCCAGAATTTTGTATGAATGAAAATATTGTGCCTGGCTTCTTTCACAAGCATAATGTTTTTGAGATTCAAGTATATCATTGTATATAGGAGCAGTTTATTTCATTTTATTGTGTAGTATTCCACTGCATGAAAATACTGCAGTTTGATAATTCATTCTTCGATAGATACACATGTGGGTTGTTTTGGGTTTGTACTATTATAAATAAGTCTGCTGTGAACATTCCTGTGTACGTGATTTTGTGAACATATACTTTCATTTCTCTTGAGTAAATACTTAGGAGTGGAATTGTTTGGGTATAGAGTAAGCATATTTGTAGCTTTTAACTGACAAAGAGTTTTCCAAAAGTTATCATAAAATTTTACTAGAGTTCTGGTTACTCCATATCCTTATCAACATTTGCAGTTGTTAGTTTTCTTAATTATAGCCATTCTAGGCAGTGTGCTTTGGTATTTCTTTGTGGTTTTAATTTCCTTTTCTCCAGTGACTACTGATATTGGGCACTTTTAATCTAATTATTAGTATTTATGTATCTTCCTTTGTGAAGTATATGTCTAAGCCTTTTGCCTATTTTTAAAACTTAAAAAAAAAAATTGTTGTGTTGTGACTGGGCGCGGTGGCTCACGCCTGTAATCCCAGCACTTTGGGAGGCTGAGGCGGGCGGATCACGAGGTCGGGGGATCGAGACCATCCTGGCTAACACAATGAAACCCTGTCTCTACTAAAAATAAAAAAAAAATAGCCGGGCATGGTGGCGGGCGCCTGTAGTCCCAGCTGCTCGGGAGGCTGAGGCAGGAGAATGGCGTGAACCCAGGAGGCGGAGCTTGCAGTGAGCCAAGATTGCGCCACTGCACTCCAGCCTGGGCAACAGAGCGAGACTCCATCTCAAACAAAAAAAAAAATTGTTGTGTTATACAAGTCCTTTATATATTCCTGATGAAAGTTCTTTGTCATGAATGTATTTTGTGAATTCTTTATCCCAACATATGGCTTGCTTTTTATTTTATTAGTGACGTCTTGATGCCATTATGAATAAGATTTTAATTTGGATGAACTGCCATTTTTCTTCTTTATGTTCATTGCTTCCTATCCCCTAAGAATTATTACCTACCTCATATCACAAAGGTAGTCTTCTGTGTTCCTTCTAGAAAATATATTTAATAGATCTATTACTGATCTCACATTATCTTTGTCAATGGTGTGAAGTAGCCATTGATATTTTTAATCCCATATAGATAATCAGTTGTTCCAGTCCTAAATGTCAGAAAATCTTTTCCTAATAAATTTCTTTGGTCCTTCGTTAGAATCTGGACAATGGTGCAAAACACCCACCTCAGAATTACACCACCTGACAGGTGAGAACGCGTGGGTGTTTCTACAACTCCTGAGAGTAGCTGAAGGTTGCTCCTTGGAAAGCGTTAATTCTTTAATCCTTTTAACCTGCTGCATACATGGGCTTCTGCAGGTCCAGATAAATGTTCTCAGACACAGAAATGTGATGCCCACATGGAATAAGACTTGGCTCAAATATTGACTACGCCCCGAAGCTTTGCCTGACCACTGCCGCCATCCATCCACCTCCAGTTGGAAGCACCTCAGAGCTAATTGAAATGATGGGGTCCCAGGTTTATGGACAAGCACTGACACATTTGCTGTAGAGAACTACTAATGCAAATATTCCAAACCACACCAAGAACAGCAAGATGTTTCTAAAATATTTGGAGTTATGGTAGTCTCACTTTTATTTGTTGCATATTTATTAACTTAAAATTAAATATGCTAATAAACCTTTCCACATCTTATAACTCAAAATTGACTGTTTTCATTTTCTCCCTGTCATTTTAGTCTTTGGCCTATTTTTATGTAATCTAGTTGTTGTAAACTTTACATTTTTTATCCTCTTTATTTTGGGCTTGATATTCCAAGTGTTTTCCTTGTCATAGCATTGTGTTGATTTTAATAGCACATAATATTCCATAATTTGGATGTACTAAAATGTATTTACTCACTGTCCTATTTTTAGATAATAGGATTAGGTAAGTTTAATATTTGGTGATATATTAAATTATGAGCATCTTTGTACATAAAAATTTTCACTTATTTTGTTTCAGTTCTTTAAGGAAACTTTCTAGGTATTGGTTTCCTGGATGAAAGGGATAGTATACATTTAGTCTCTTAATATACATGTAGTCTCCCAATAATCAAATTCATTAGTAAGTTTAGGATTTAAACCAAGAATGCTACAGTGAATTTTATCAGTGATTTCTCTTATTACCCAATAATAATAACAACAGCATCACCATCATTCGGACACATTTTCTTTGTTTGGATTTTGACAAACAGTATTCCGAACTGGCTCACAGTCTGTCCCTAGAGAAATCAACTTTTTAAGATAGCGCAGTTATAAAACACACTCTGCAAACTGAGCATATAATGTGGGAGTAAAATAAACAGCCCTCTTCAGAGCTGCACAAATGTCTCCAGGGAGTGACTGGGGGTAAAAGGGTTAGGTCTGGTTTCAAAAACAGTATACAAAGATCTTAATTAATGATCTGGGAGATCTCTCAACAACAGCTGGTTAATTAAATTCACACATGGGACTCCATTGAGAGGTGGCGTGAACTCCGGGAAAAGGTGAGGAAATTAGAGAAGGAACTCTGTGAAGTGACCAAGGAACATACAGTGATTCTGAAGATCTGCAGTTTTCTGAATCAACATTTTTTAGTCTCATATTAATTGAGTATTTTACCTCAGCCACTTATCTCTCTTAGCTTGGCTTGCTTAAAGGAGCACTGAGTATGGGATGGGAATCTGGGTGGGGGTCCTTTCTTTTCATCCTGGTGATCTTTAGCAATTCCCCTTGGCCTCTTTGAGATCCAGATTCTTGTGTCTTTGCAGAGAATAGTAGTTGCATTTACTTTGCAAAGTTAAATGAGAGCAAGAGTAGGGAAATGCCTGGTCAACTCCAACATCATTTTAAAGTTGCTCATAATTCCTGTTCAACTCTAGCATCTTTTGCTTGAACCTTGATCATATACTTTAAAATATATTTTTGCCCACTGCAGCACAGGTTAAATAAAGGCCAACCAGAGGGCTCCCCATCTCAAACATCTACACTTTTTGGGGTCTGTGGACCAAGATAGGACCTGGGAGGTGAATTCCTGAATCATAAAACCAGGGTGGCGTGCAATGCTTGGATGGAGGACATTGTACTAAAAATGTGCATTGTTTGCAAAGAGAAAACCACATTTGCAGTCATCTTGTTGAAACTGTGAGTGAGGAGGATCTGAAAGATTCCCAGTGAGCAATGGGTATTCAATGCAAAGAACTGTCCAGTGTCCATTATAGCTGAGTCAGGCTGGGTGCAATGCCATTGACATGCTTTTAAATTCAGTTCAGTCTTTATATTTTTAAAATTGAATAAAAGGAAAAACATTTATTAGTCTGTGACCTTGATGCTTTTACCTGCCCCTCCCCGCTTTCCCTGAGTTTCTCAGCTCAGTGCCTAATTTTCTTACATGGAAGTTTGTTTGTAGCTAAGCTTTGTATCTAGGTAGGGAGAGACTCCTGTATTATCAATCTGAGTAACAACAGCTCCCCTAGGAGAGTGTGGGAAGATGAGAGCATTCTCACATCTCAGGAAAAGAAATGAAAGCTCCAGTAAATTAAGTGACTCGCCCAGGGTCGCGCAGCAAGTCTGGCACACAGTAAGTCAGTCGCACAGCTGGGACGAAAATCAAGTTTATTCATATATTCTGGTTATGCAAGTCTCCTGATGTCTCATCCAGTCTCACAGCCAAAGAGTAGAGAGAGAACAAATTACCCGAGAGTGCGGGGGAAGGAAACTGAAAAATGGTCCCATTTATTATTGTAAATGGCAACCCACTCTAAAGAGACGCTGCTTGTACCATATTTTCTAATGAAAAGAGAATATGTGAATCCTTCATCTGTTCCTCAGCTCCACCATCTCTGGAGGCTGCCCAGAAGTTGACAGCTCTGCTGCCTCTCTTTGGGGGATAGAGAGTAGGGAGGATGGTTACCGACTCTGAGAAGGGCTTGCCAGCGATGCTTGGGGCATGCTCTTGGGAGGTTGCTTTGGACAAGGTACAAGAATAGTTACAGGACAGCAGTTGGTTCAGGAGCCATTCTGTTCTGCTTGCCAGCAGCCTGTGGACTGAAAATGCTCTGCTATTGCAGGGAAAGGTAAGCCAACTTCTCTGAGGTTTGTTGAGCATCATTTTAGAGAGAGGAATGTAAAGAAAGTTTCACTTTGATATTTCTTTGTGTGTTTGGGCACAGTTCTACCACACTCCGCTGCATACCTTTTTCTCTGAGGTGGAAGGTTCAAGCAATCTAACCCCTGCTTCTCTCACCACATGCCAGCCACTCTGGCCTCATTATATACTGCAAATGTGCTAAGCTCATTCCATACTCAGGACTTCAGTGTTTGGAAATGTATCTGCCTCGACCGCTCTGCCCCAGGACCTTTGCGTAGCCGCTTTCTCCTTATCATTCAGCTCAAATCCTTATTTATCAGAGACACATTCCTTGACTAATGTTTGTCCGGCTGTTTTCCCGTCTCCTTTGGTCACTATCATTACCCTGATTTACTAAGCACTATTTGAAGTTGCTTGGTGTGGTGTGTGTGTGTGTGTGTGTGTGTGTGTGTGTGTGTGTGTGTGTGTATAGCAAATATATATGCTTTATGTTGCTTGGCTTTATGTTTTGCTTTATGCTGGTTGGCTGCCACTAGACTGTAATCTCCAAGGATGCAGGGACCTTCTGTCCTGTTCACGATATATTCCTGCACCTGCACATGCCACGGTTGTCAATTTTATTAACATTCCTTTGAAAAACCCCCTCTGCAGCCGAAAGCAGGCTAAGGGCTTCGGCTTCTGGTTGAAATGGGATAATAGGGACCAGATTTACCCTCCTACCTTAAACAAACAAAAAAGGGGGAAAAAACAATAAGCAATAGTTTGGAAGAAACTGGACTGGACATCAAGCAACAGAGGACAGTGATCCCTGAGGGATCGGAAGTAAAAGATGGGAGCTTTAGGATACCCCACATTACTGACTTGAGGGAGTTTTCAGGTTGTGACTCTGGAAGCAGGAACTGAGGAAGAGCCCAGGGGTCTCTCTGAGTAGAAGAGACAGAATTGAGAGTCTGGAAAGACCAAGGCAGCTAGAGTTCATAGATCAGTGTACCAGAGAGCAGAGCATGCACAGAGACCTCGAGAGATATGAAGAGGGCTTGCCTGGAGTATTCGGGTGAGTGCTGATCAGTGGATGTGTGCGAGGACCATCCAAAAGGATTAGTTGTAAGTGATGCTCACACAGGGCTGAGAAAAGTGCCCATGCCCACCAGCCAGACCACAAAACCTCAGAATTCAAGAGGAATTGAGTAGAGAACATAGAAGGGTCTCAGGAATGGGGGGTACTAAGCTTTAGATTAAGTATTACTCCTGCAGTCCTCTCTAACAAAAAGCGAGACTTACAAAGATCAAACTATTTCCAACTAAATAAACTGCACTTCAAATTAAGGCTCAAGATCAGGAACACAAAAAGGTAATATATACAGTGTTTGGCATGCATAGAAGCAAGGCAGTGTGAGGCATTGTGAGGTAATACAGCAATCAACTGAAACAGACAATTTGTTAGAATTAGCAGACAAGGGCGGTTAAGTGGTTATTATAACTGTATTCCTCATGTTCAAAATAGATGAATTTTGTAAAAAAGGCCTAAATCAAACTTCTAGAGATCAAAACTGCAATATTTGTGCTGAAAAATACACTGTATAGAATTCACAGCATATTACATATTATAGAAAAAAATTAGTGAACTTAAACATATAGCAATAAAGGAAATACACCCCAGTTGATTCTATGAGTCTAACATTATGTGATATGAAAACCAAAGATATAAGAAAACTGTAGACTGATATTACTCAGGAACAGATACAAAAATTCTTTACAGTATTTTAGAAATTCAAATTCAACAATAATAAAAGAATAATAGTGAGATTTATACCAGAAATTTAAGGTTGGTTTAACATTTGATACACAGTCAGTGTAATTCAGTATATATACAAACTGAAAGAGAAAAGTCATGTGATCATCTCTATAGAAGCAGAAGAAACATTTGATAAAATCCAACATTCATTCCTGGTAAAAAACTCAAGAAATTTGGAATAGAAGGGATCTTCCTCAACCCAGTTTAGGGCATTGTATTAGTCAGGGTTCTCTAGAGGGACAGAATGAATAGGATAGATGTATATATAAAGAGGAGTTTATTAAGGAGTATTGACTCACACGATTACAGGTGAGGTCCCACAATAGTCCATCTGCAAGCTGAGGAGCAGGGAAGCCAGTTTGAGTCCCAAAGCTGAAGAACTTGGAGTCTGATGCTCGAAGGCAGGAAGCATCCAGCACTGGAGAAAGATGTAGGCCAGAAGACTAAACTAGTCTAGTCTTTCCATGTTCTTCTGCCTGCTTTTATTCAGCACTGTCAGCTGATTAGATGGCGCCCACCCAGATTGAGGGTGGGTCTGCCTTTCCCAGTCCACTGACTCAAAGGCAGATCTCCTTTGGTAACACCCTCACAGACACACCCAGGAACAGTATTTTGCATTCTTCAATCCAATCAAGTTGACACTCAATACTAACCATCACAGGTGTCTACAGAAAAACTACAGATATCATGATACTTAATGGGGAACAATTGAATGCATTCCCCCTGAGATCTGGAACAAATATCCACTCTCACTACTTTCAGTAAACATTGTACTGAAGGGCATAGCTATTTCTGTAAGGCAAGAAAAAGAAATAAAAAGCATTAAGATGGGAAAGGATGAATAAAACTTTATTTGCTGGCAGATGATATGCTTATGTCATTTATCTGAAAAATCAGAGTTTACCAAAAAGATAGTAAAACTAATAAGTGAGTTTATCAGGGTTGCAGACAAGATCAATATATAAAATTTAATTCTGTTTCCATATACTGTCAACAAAATCAAAAACTGAATTTTCTTCCCTCCACACCCCCCGCCCCTCCCGCCCAGAGACAGAGTGCTGTGTCACCCAGGCTGGAGTGCAGGGGTGCGATCTCAGCCCACTGCAACCTCTGCCTCCCAGATTCAAGCAATTCTCCTGCCTCAGCCTCCTGAGTAGCTGGGACTGCAGGTGCATGCCACCATGCCCGGCTAATTTTTGTATTTCTAGTAGAGATGGGGTTTCACCATGTTGGCCAAGCTGGTCTCAAATTCCTGACCTCATGATCCACCCGCCTTGACCTCCCAAAGTGCTGGGATTAACAGGTGTGAGTCACTGTGCCCAGCCTGAGTTTTTTAAGTATCTTTATAATAACAACAGAAATATGAAATAGGGATAGATCTGGATAAACATGTAAAAAAATTAACCTGTACACTGAATACCACAAAACATTACTGAAAGAAGGCTTAAATAAATGGAGATGGATGCCTTATTGATGAGTCTTAAGACTCAATATTGCTTGTAGTATAGTTTGAAGTCAGGTAGTGTGATGCCTCCAGCTTTGTTCTTTTGGCTTAGGATTGACTTGGCGATGCGGGCTCTTTTTTGGTTCCATATGAACTTGAAAGTAGTTTTTTCCAATTCTGTGAAGAAAGTCATTGGTAGCTTGATGGGGATGGCATTGAATCTGTAAATTACCTTGGGCAGTATGGCCATTTTCACGATATTGATTCTTCCTACCCATGAGCATGGAATGTTCTTCCATTTGTTTGTATCCTCTTTTATTTCCTTGAGCAGTGGTTTGTAGTTCTCCTTGAAGAGGTCCTTCACATCCCTTGTAAGTTGGATTCCTAAGTATTTTATTGTCTTTGAAGCATTTGTGAATGGGAGTTCACTCATGATTTGGCTCTCTGTTTGTCTGTAGTTGGTGTATAAGAATGCTTGTGATTTTTGTACATTGATTTTGTATCCTGAGACTTTGCTGAAGTTGCTTATCAGCTTAAGGAGATATTGGGCTGAGACAATGGGGTTTTCTAGATATACAATCATGTCATCTGCAAACAGGGACAATTTGACTTCTTCTTTTCCTAATTGAATACCCTTTATTTCCTTCTCCTGCCTAATTGCCCTGGCCAGAACTTCCAACACTATGTTGAATAGGAGTGGTGAGAGAGGGCATCCCTGTCTTGTGCCAGTTTTCAAAGGGAATGCTTCCAGTTTTTGTCCATTCAGTATGATATTGGCTGTGGGTTTGTCATAGATAGCTCTTATTATTTTGAAATACATCCCATCAATACCTAATTTATTGAGAGTTTTTAGCATGAAGGGTTGTTGAATTTTGTCAAAGGCTTTTTCTGCATCTATTGAGATAATCATGTGGTTTTTGTCTTTGGCTCTGTTTATATGCTCGATTACATTTATTGATTTGTGTATATTGAACCAGCCTTGCATCCCAGGGATGAAGCCCACTTGATCATGGTGGATAAGCTTTTTGATGTGCTGCTGGATTCGGTTTGCCAGTATTTTATTGAGGATTTTTGCATCAATGTTCATCAAGGATATTGGTCTAAAATTCTCTTTTTTGGTTGTGTCTCTGCCCGGCTTTGGTATCAGAATGATGCTGGCCTCATAAAATGAGTTAGGGAGGATTCCCTCTTTTTCTATTGATTGGAATAGTTTCAGAAGGAATGGTACCAGTTCCTCCTTCAAGGCTACAGTAACCAAAACAGCATGGTGCTGGTACCAAAACAGAGATATAGATCAATGGAACAGAACAGAGCCCTCAGAAATAACGCCGCCTACCTACAACTATCTGATCTTTGACAAACCTGAGAAAAACAAGCAATGGGGAAAGGATTCCCTATTTAATAAATGGTGCTGGGAAAACTGGCTAGCCATATGTAGAAAGCTGAAACTGGATCCCTTCCTTACACCTTATACAAAAATCAATTCAAGATGGATTAAAGATTTAAACGTTAGACCTAAAACCATAAAAACCCTAGAAGAAAACCTAGGCATTACCATTCAGGACATAGGCATGGGCAAGGACTTCATGTCCAACACACCAAAAGCAATGGCAACAAAAGACAAAATTGACAAATGGGATCTAATTAAACTAAAGAGCTTCTGCACAGCAAAAGAAACTACCATCAGAGTGAACAGGCAACCTACAAAATGGGAGAAAATTTTCGCAACCTACTCATCTGACAAAGGGCTAATATCCAGAATCTACAATGAACTCAAACACATTTACAAGAAAAAAACAAACAACCCCATCAAAAAGTGGGCGAAGGACATGAACAGACACTTCTCAAAAGAAGACATTTATGCAGCCAAAAAACACATGAAAAAATGCTCATCATCACTAGCCATCAGAGAAATGCAAATCAAAACCACTATGAGATACCATCTCACACCAGTTAGAATGGCAATCATTAAAAAGTCAGGAAACAACAGGTGCTGGAGAGGATGTGGAGAAATAGGAACACTTTTACACTGTTGGTGGGACTGTAAACTAGTTCAACCATTGTGGAAGTCAGTGTGGCGATTCCTCAGGGATCTAGAACTACAAATACCATTTGACCCAGCCATCCCATTACTGGGTATATACCCAAAGGACTATAAATCATGCTGCTATAAAGACACATGCACACGTATGTTTACTGCGGCACTATTCACAATAGCAAAGACTTGGAACCAACCCAAATGTCCAACAATGATAGACTGGATTAAGAAAATGTGGCACATATACACCATGGAATACTATGCAGCCATAAAAAATGATGAGTTCATGTCCTTTGTAGGGACATGGATGAAATTGGAAATCATCATTCTCAGTAAACTATCGCAAGAACAAAAAACCAAACACCACATATTCTCACTCATAGGTGGGAATTGAACAGTGAGATCACATGGACACAGGAAGGGGAATATCACACTCTGGGGACTGTGGTGGGTGGGGGGAGGGGGGAGGGATAGCATTGGAAGATATACCTAATGCTAGATGACGAGTTAGTGGGTGTAGCGCACCAGCATGACACATGTATACATATGTAACTAACCTGCACAATGTGCACATGTACCCTAAAACTTAAAGTATAATAAAAAAAAAGAAACAAAAAAACAAAACAAACAAAAAAAAGACTCAATATTGCTAAGCTGTCAGTTCTTTGCAAATTTATCCATATATTCCACACAATCTCAATCAAAATCCCAGCAAGATTTTATGTAGAAATTGACAAACTATTTCAAAAATATATGTGGAAATGCAAAAGACCTGGAATAGCTAAAACAACTTTAAAAAGTGAACAGAGTTACAAAATTAACCACTTAATTTCAAGTCTTATTATAAATACACAGTAATCAAGACAGTGTAGTATTGGTGCCGAGACACACAAATAGATCAATAGAACAGAATTTTAAAATAGAACCACAAAGATATGATCGATTGATTTTTGACAATGTCTCTGCCCTCATGAAGCTGCCCTTTTAATGGTGGGGGGTAGGGTGGGACAGACCATATTGAGATAAACAAACTGAGAGACAGGACTAGGTGGATTTCCTAGGCTGATTAAGAATCCCTAAGCCTAACTGGGAAGGTGACCACATCCACCTTTAAACACGGGGCTTGCAACTTAGCTCACACCTGACCAATCAGAGAGCTCACTAAAATGCTAATTAGGCAAAAACAGGAGGTAAAGAAATAGCCAATCATCTATTGTCTGAGAGCACAGCGGGAGGGACAAGGATCAGCATATAAACCCCGGCATTGGAGCTGGCAGCAGCGACCCTCTTTGGGTCCCCTCCCTTTTTTTGGGAGCTCTGTTTTCACTCTTTTTCACTCTATTAAATCTTGCAACTGCACTCTTCTGTGTTTGTTACGGCTCGAGCTGAGCTTTCCATCGCCGTCCACCACTGCTGTTTGCCGCGGTTGCAGACCCGCCGCTGACTTTCATCCCTCCAGATCCAGCAGGGTGTCCGCTATGCTCCTGATCCAGCGAGGCGCCCATTGCCACTCCTGATCGGGCTAAAGGCTTGCCATTGTTCATGCACGGCTAAGTGCCTGGGTTCATCCTAATTGAGCTGAACACTAGTCACTGGGTTCCACGGTGCTCTTCCGTGACCCACGACTTCTAACAGAGCTATAACACTCACTGCGTGGCCCAAGATTCCATTCCTTGGAATCCGTGAGGCCAAGAACCCCAGGTCAGAGAACAGGAGGCTTGCCATCATCTTGGAAGTGGCCCACCGCCATTTTGGAAGTGGCCTGCCACCATCTTGGGAGCTTTGGGAGCAAGGACCCCCCCAGTTAACAAAACCAATTATATAATATTAAGTGATGATGTAGATTCAACTTAGTTACATCCTGTCTGGCCTTTTTGTTCCATTATCACAGAGAGAGATAGAACGAATTGATTTTGTTCCAGTTTGGCAGATCTTATTTTATGGTAGATAATTGTTTTCCAGTCGTGATTTTAAGAATCTGCTTTGTTCATTTTATTTAAAACTGCCACTAATCAATTTTGATGCAAATATCTTTTTATCGTGGTTCATGTCTGGGCACTCTCTCACCCAGCCAGGGAAGAGAAGGAGAAGAAGCTCTCAGAGGAGGTGCACCCTCTTTCGGGATCGTTTCCCGTCTTCACCATCCCCTTGAACCTTCTGTGAATCAGTTGCTTGCTAACTCCTGTTCGTGCCTCAGATCTTGGCTTTGATGTTGTCTCGGTGATTGCCATCATTGCACCCCCATCAGTTTCTGCAGCACGTGGTGTGTAGTGAGTGCTTTGGACACCTGGGGGAATGGATGGAGGAATGAATTGGGATTGAAGGCTGAGTTAAAGACGTTCTGGAAGTGTCCTCTGTGAGCAGAACCACCCTGAGAGTGGCGCACACTGAGTACTGCTGGTGGTGCCGAGGTCACTGGTGGGGTGAGGAAGAAGGAGAAGGGGGATGCCAGTGCCCTCTCATGTAAGATTTGTAGTATTTTAAACAGAACCTATTTTGGAGCCATGCATCCAGTCACCTGCTAGGAGACCTACTAGTAGAGACCCCAAGTCATCTCTTTTTGTCAAAGAACAAGATAAGAGCACAGCCAGCCTATATTTTAAAAGACATTTAGGCCGGGCATGGTGGCTCATGCCTGTAACCCCAGCACTTTCGGAGGCCGAGGCAGGCGGATCACCTGAGGTCAGGAGTTCAAGACCAGCCTGGCCAACTTGGAAAAACCCCATCTCTACTAAAAACACAAAAATTAGTCAGGCGTGGTGGTGCACACCTGTAGTCCTGGCTGCTTGGGAGGCTTAGGCAGGAGAATCACTTGAACCCAGGAGGCAGAGGTTTCAGTGAGCCAAGATTGCACCACTGCACTCCAGCCTGGGCAACAGAGTGAGACTCCATCTCAAAAAAAGAAAAAAAAATTCATTTAACCAGGTTTATCACGTTTTCATGTCTTTTAAAAAATTATCCAGACTTGTTAGAATGTGCATCCTACTTTGGGGAGGTCAGCAAGGGGCCCTCTCCTAATATACTGCCCTTGCCATGGAAGGGTTTCATTCTAGACACTTCTTGGGGCTATGACTTCAAGATAGAAAATGTGATGTTTCCAGTGTCTCTTATGTCAAATCCTGAAGGAACTCAAACAAAAGGGTAGTTAATACATCATGTTGCAGATTCTTTGCTGAGAAGAAAACCAAAGGACTGAAAACACAAGCAGATTCTTTTTTTTTTATTTTAATGGAATAGTAATTGTGTCTATTTTTCATAAGGCGTCACGTGTTACGAACTGCTGCCACGTGCATCTTTTCATCACGAGGCTGAGATTTGTTATAATTTTTACAATAGTCATATTACCGAGAGGGGAAATGCCGCTCAGAAACATGATGTGCTTGCCCAGAGAGGCACAGCTGGCCAACGGTGGGGTGCAGTTTCCGCTTCTTCTCTGTCCAAATGCCCAGCCCTTGTTTTTTGCCTCAGCACTGAATTGCCTCCCAGTGAGAGCAAGAGCCTGCAGGGTTTTCCAATTTCCTCATTAATTGAGTCATATAGAGGACACTCTATAAATACGTGTTTAATGCCATTCATTTGGACTGGTTCCCACTGAAGATGAACGCCAGATTTTGGAATGGGCACCAGTTTCTCCAGATGAACTTTTATCTTATGGAGTTCATTCTCCCTGACTCCAAATCCTTATGATACATGTGGGGCATTCGAAAGACAACAGGTTGGTTGGTTTGGGCTTTTTTCTTTGTTTGTTTTCAAAATAGGATATAACAAGCCTGTTTAGTTGTGTGTTTTCTGAAGACAGTGCTGTGGACAGAATGGTGCAGAGAGTCATGCACTTTCTAGCATTGGCTTCAACATGCCTCCTTCATCGGAATCATTATTTGTGCAAGTGCATAACTCACTCTTTCTTTTCAGCAAAGGACAATGGAGAAGCTATTAGAGAACAGGTCATTTCCAGAACAAGAAAGCTGTCTGGAGTATTTTTTTTTTTCAGCCAGCCAATTCATTCTTTTTAAATTGCCTTAGAAGTGTTAGAGCATGATAGTCAGACAGTAGCAATTTTAATGGGGTTTCACTGGATCAGCTAAAATAGACATTGAAAAGTTGAAGTGTCTGATTCTTTGTTTGCTTATGAATGCGCTCCTGGACTCATTGTCTCCATTTGTAACATGCGGATAAAATCTCTTTTCACCTGCCTACCCGGTTGTGATGTGAAAATTAATAGGATGTGTTTTACTCACTAAAAAAAACTAAAAGATATTAAAAGCTGCACTTCATCATTTATAGCTGTGCAGTTCATCTTTGTATGGTTTTCATAGTGTTCAGATTGCCAGATTCTTTAAGAGCCTTTACATTTTATTTTTTCTTTCATATCTGAAATGGTTACATTGACAGATACAGATTTTTTAAAAAATGATATGTTCCTGGCAACCTATAATCTGGTCCTTTGGAATATGCCTTTGACCATCCATAAGAATATTTTGACCCACACTAAACCTGGCCTGTCACTCAGCAGGTGTTCATTATCATTTGTTCAATGAATAAATGAGTGAGTGACCTAGAAACGAAACTGTTTTTAATGCTGCATGTGACACTTTACCAGGTAGCCACCATAAGGCTGCCTAAATGAAAGCAATTGATCAAGAAGCCACACTTTGTTGTACTTATCATTGGCAGATGAGGTGACTCAGGTGACTAATGACAGGCCCCAGGGGTGGCAGGTAGAAGATGACGTGGGAGGTTTTGACTTCTGGCAAGGTGATGGGCTAGTCTATGACATGAAGAGCCTCTCAGTAAAATTGCTGAGGAATGGTGGACAAAATACATTTAAAAATTAAGTACAGAACTGAGCTTGAAAGGAAAACTCTTCATGCACCAGGAAGGAAGGAGGCTTCTGAAAACCAGAGCATTAAGGGTCTGAGCCAATGCTGCAGCTGCCCAGGGGGCAGATCAAGGAGCTGAGCTGGTCTCAGTTATGTTGGGAGTTGGGGTTCAGCGCATATGTGGGCGTAGGAGATGAGACCTTGGGCCCTTGTGAGACAGGGAGTATGAACTGAAACTGCCACATAAACTGGGGACCTTCCAAAGACTGTGCTTTCATTAAAGAGTCAACTAGAACAACAACAAAAATCTGTCCGTCAGCACAAGAGACAATAAGAAGTCTCTAATGGACTCTAGTAAGAAAAAGAAATTCACTTGCGAATTTGAAAACCTAGGCATATACCTCAGAAGTACTGAGGCCTGAATCTATATTACCAATATTGTTACAGAGAGTTATGGTATTAGTCCCTTCTAACACTACTATAAAGACATACCTGAGACTGGGTAATTTATGGATAAAAGAGATTTAATTGTCTCAGTTCCACAGGCTGTACAGGAAGCATGGCTGGGAAGACCTCAGGAAGCTTACAGTTAATGGCAGAAGGGGAAGCAGGAACAATCTTCACATGGCAGAGTAGGGAACAGAGCAAATGGGGAAGCACTACACACTTTTAAACAACCATATCTCATGAGAACACACTCACTATCATGAGAACAGCAAGAAGGAAATCTGCCCCCATGATCCAGTCACCTCCCACTAGGTCCCTACCCCAACACTGACAATTACAATTTGACATGAGATTTGGGTGGGGACACAGAGCCAAACCATATCATTCTGCCCCTGACCCCTCCCAAATCTCATATCCTTCTCACATTTCAAAACCAATCATGCCTTGCCGACAGTCCCCGAAAGTCTTAACTCATTCCAGCACTAACTTGAATGTCAAAGTCCAAAGTCTCATCTGAGACAAGGCAAGTCCCTTCCACCTATAAGCCTGTGAAATCAAAAACAAGTTAGTTACTTCCAAGATACAGTGGGGGTACAGGCATTGGGTAAATGCCCCTATTCCAAAAGGTAGAAATTGGCTAAAACAAAGGGCTACAGGCCCCAAGCCAGTTTGAAACCCAGTAAGGCAGTCATTAAATTTTAAAGCTCCAAAATAATCTTCCTCGACTCCATGATTCACATCCAGGCCACACTGATGCAAAGGACGGGCTTCCAAGGTTTTGAGCAGCCTCTGGCTCTGTGGCTATGGAGGGTACAACCCCCACAGCTGCATCCACAGGCTGGCATTGAGTGCCTATGGCTTTTCCAGGTACACAGTGCAAGCTGTCAGTGATCAACCATTCTGGGGTCTGGAGGATGGTAGCTTTTTCCTCACAGCTCCACTAGGCAGTGCCCCAGTGGGGACTCTGTATTGGAGCTCCAACCCCACATATCCTGTGTGGACTGCCCTAATAGAGGTTCTCCATGAGGGCTCCGCCAGGTGTTGCCATACATCCTCTGACATCTAGGCAGAGGCTCCCAAAGCTCAACTCTTGTGTTTTGTGCACTCGCTGTCTCAACACCACGTGGAAGCCACCGAGGCTGGGGACTTGCACCCTCTGAAGCAACAGCCCAAGCTGTACCTTTGCCCCTTTTAGTCACAGCTGGAACTGGAGTGCCCAGAATACAGGGTGCCATGTCCCAAGGCTGCACAAAGCAGCAAGGCCCTGGGCCTCACTCACAAAACCACATTTTCCTTCTAGGCCTCCAGGCTTGTGATGGAAGGGGCTGCTGTGAAGGTCTCTGAAGTGTCCTGGAGGCATTTTCCTCATTATCTTGGCTAGGAACATTTGGCTCTTCTTTACTTATGCACATTTCTGAGCCTTGATTTCCTCTCCAGAAAATAGGTTTTTCTTTTCTACCACATGGTCAGGCTGCAAATTTTCCAAACTTTTATGCTCTGCTTCCCTTTTAAATATAAGTTCTAGTTTCTGGTCTTTTTTTTGTTCAACATTTCTCTCAAGTTCAAAGTTCCACAAATCTCTAGGGCAGGGCACAATGCTACCATTGTCTTTGCTAAAGCATAGCAAGAGTGACCTTTACTCCAGTTCCCAGTAAGTTCCTCATCTCCATCTGAGACCTCCTCAGCCTGGACTTCACTGTCCATGTCACTATCAGCATCTTGGTCACAAGCATTCAACAAGTCTCTAGGAAGTTCCAAACTTTCCCTCATCTTCCTGACTCTCCCTCGTCTCCCTGTCTTCTTCTGATCCCTCCAAACTGTTGTAAACTCTTCCCATTTTGCAGTTCCAAACCTGCTTGCACATTCTCAGGTATCTTTATAGAAATGCCCCCACCTTTTTGGTACCAATTTTCTGTATTAGTCTATTCTCGCACTGCTATAAAGACATACCTGGCCGAGCGCAGTGGCTTATGCCTGTAATTCTAGCACTTTGGGAGGCCGAGGTGGGTGGGTCACTTGAGGTCAGGAGTTCAAAACCAGCCTGGCCAACATGGTAAAACCACATCTCTACTAAAAACACACAAAAAAATTAGCCAGGCATGGTGGTGGGTGCCTGTAATCCCAGCTACTTGGGAGACTGAGGCAGGAGAATCACTTGAGCCCAGAAGGCAGAGGTTGCAGTGAGCCGACATCGTACCACTGCACTCCAGCCTGGGAGACAGAGTGAGACTCCATCTCAAAAACAAAAGCAAAAACAAAAACGAAACAAAACAAAAAAGACATACCTGAGACTGGGTAATTCATGGAAAAAAACAGGTTTAATTGACTCAGTTCTGAAAGCTGTACAGGAGGCGTGGCTGGGGATGCCTCAGGAAACTTACAGTCATAGTGGAAGGGGAAGGAGAAGCAGACACAATCTTCATATGACAGAGCAGGAGAGAGAGAGGGCAAAGGGGGAAGGGCTGCACACTTAACCAACCAGATCTCATGAGAACTCACTATCATGAGAACAGCAAGGGGGAAATCTGTCCCCATGATCTAGGCACATCCCACCAGGTCCCTCCCCCAATACTGGGAATTACAATTTGACATGAGATTTTGGTGGGGACACAGCCAAACCATATCAGTCACTATGGCATAATAATAACATGATGTCCATTCTCAGCAAACTAACACAGGAGCAGAAAACTGAACACTGCATGTTCTCACTCGTAAGTGGTAGTTGAACAATGAGAACACATGGACAAAGGGAGGGGAACATCACACACCAGGACCTGTTAGGGTTGGGGGCAAAGGGTTGGGAGAGCATTAGGACAAATACCTAATGCGTGCAGGCCCTAAACCCTAGATTACAGGTTGATGGATGCAGCAAACCACCACGGCACATGTATATCTATGTAACAAACCTGCGTGTTCTGTACATGTATCCCAGAACTTAAAATTTAAAAAAGAAGAAATATAATAAGCAAATAAAAAATAATAATACCATGATGTAAATTTTAAATCATGCTAAACTCAGCAACAAAGTTGAGAGATATGCACCATTGTATTAACGCTGTAAAAAAGCAAGACAAGAGTAAGTGCAAAACTCAAATTAGTGTTTCCATCTGGGGGATGGAAGAGGACATAATTGAGGTGAAACACACAAGGTTTAGGTATCATTGAACAGATTCTATTTCTTAAGTTGGATAATGGCTATACCATTTATTTAATTACATTTACAAATCACAGATACATATGTTACATATTTTTTCTATTCTTTGAAATATATTTTTAAAAAATTGATTTACCTATTTTTAATTCATTCTTAATTTTTTTATTAACAAGTCATAATTACATATGCTTATGGGTTATAATGTGAGGTTTTGATATATGTATACAATATGGAATAACTAAGTTAAGCTAACTAACATATCCATCACCTCACCTATCATTTGATGATGAGACATTTGAAATTTACTCTCTTAGTTAGTATAAAGTAGTCCCACTTATCCATGAGGGATGCATTCCAAAACCCCTAGCAGATACCTGAAACTGCAGATAGTTCCAAATCCTATATATATTGTTTTTTACCTATACATGAAACTGGCCCTCTGCATCTGCAGAGGATTGATTCCAGGACTCTTCACAGAGGCCAAAATCTACAGATTCTCAAGTCCCTTATATAAAATGCCACAATATAGTTAGCCTTCCATATCTATGGGTTCTGCATCTGTGGATACAGAGGGCCTACTGTATATACCTATCATGAAGTTTAATTTCTAAATTAGGCACAGTAAGAAATTAACAGTAATAACTAACACTAAGAACAATTATACAATCTACTGTAATAGAAGTTACATGGATGTGATATTTCTCAAAATATCTTACTATGCTGTACTAATGCTTCTTCTTCTTCTTGTGGTGATGTGAGATGATACAAAGTTTTTATGTGATGAGATGAAGTGAGGGGACTGACACAGGCATTGTGAGGTAGCATTTGGCTACTATTGACCTACTAATGAGACAGAAGAAGGATCATCTACTTTAGGTGATCCTGGATTATCAAGCCATGATGATGTCAATGACCAGTGGCTGGGTAGCATATACAGCATAGATATACTGGGCAAGGGGATAATTGATGTCCTAGGCAGGACAGAGCAGGATAGTATGAGATTTCATCACATTACTCAGAACAGCACTCAATTTAGAACTTATGAGTTGTTTATTCCTGGAATTTTCCATTTCATATTTGCAGACCACAGTTGACCGTGGGTAACTGAAACCACAGAAAGCAAAATCATGGATAAGAGGGAAACTACAGTATACAATACATTATGATTTACTGTAGTGCCCTGCTGTTCCATGGGTCTCAAAACCTATCCTTTCTATTTATTTGAAACTTCATACCCTTACATGAACAACTCCCCATCTCCTTCCCTGACCACCCCTCCCTAGCCTCTGATAACCACTCTGTACTTCTATAAATTCATCTTTATTAGATTCCACATATAAGTGAGATCGTGTGGTATTTCCCTCCCTGTGCCTGGCTTATTTCGCTGAGCATAATGTGCTCCAGAGTCATTAATGTTGTCACAAATGATAGGATTTCCTTCTTTTTTTAAAAGGCTAAATAGTATTCCATTGTTTATATTACCCAGTCAGCAGAACAAAAAGGAAAAAAAAAGAATCAAAAAGAACAAAGAAGGCCATGGGAATTATGAGACACCATCAAGATGTTCCTGAAAGAGAAGAAAGAGAAAAAGTCCAAGAAAACATATTTAAGGAAATAATGGCCCCATATTTCCCAAATCTAAGGAACGACAACAAAAACATCCAGGTATAGGAAGCTCAGAGGTTGCCAGTCAAATTTAATCCAAAGAGGAATTCACCAAGAAACTGCATAATCAAATTATCAAAAATTAAACACAAAGAATACTGAAAGCAGCAGGTCATAAGAAACAAATCACATTCAAGGGAGCCCCAAGATGGCTTTCAACAGATTTCTCAGCAGAAACCCTGCAGGCCAGGAGAGAGTGGGATGATATATTCAACGTGCTGAAGGAAACACAATTGTAAATCAGGAGTATTTTACCTGGCAATCTTTAGAAATAATGGAGAAGTAAAAAGTCCTGGGCAAACAAAGCTAAAGGAGTTCATCACCATTAGACCTGCAGAAATTGCTAAAGGGAGTTTTTGTTTGTTTGTTTGTTTTTTAAGCTGAAACAAAAGGCCACTAACTAAAAACAAACCAAAAAAAATGAAAGTGAAAACAAAAACTCAGTGGTATAAGTAATATACTGCCATACTGAGAATTTTCTAATTGTACCATAAAGGTGGTGTGTAAAGCAATTTTATTCCTACTCAGAGGGTTACAACACAAGACTATTCAAAAATTGTCTAGGCGTACAAATTACAAAAACAAATGTAAATTTTGAAATCAAAATTGTAAAAGAGGGAGAGGGAGTGAATGCATAAGTTTTTGTATGTGATTAAAGGCACATTTTTATCATCTTAAATTAGGTTGTTATAAGAATAAAATATTTTATGTAAGCCTCATGGCACCCGCAAAGCAAAAAAACTGTAGTAGCTGCTCAAAACATAAGAAAACCATCAAACCACAAAAGAAGACAGCAAAAGAAGAAGGAAATAGTTTTAAATGGCAACAAGTAAATTGAACAAGATTAAGACAAAAGTAAACTTTAACTCTAAAAACTAGGTTTAAGAGAAGACTTAGGCAGCAATAATAGAAGGGATAGAATACAATGATAATAGAAGGCATAGAATAATAGAAGGAGTGATATAGTAAAACTACTCAAGGGTTCGTATGGTTTTTTTTGTCTTATCAATTACTATGATAAAATGTACATTAATCTATTATAAAAAGTTAAAATGTATTAAAGCTTACACACAAACCCTTACAGACCGTACACGGGGACATTCAAAGTTGATAGACATGTAAACAAATGTAAAGATGTAGTGTGAAATTATAACTGCATAAAACTCACTGTAACACATACTGTATGACGGTAATAATTTTACAGCCACCTTCTGTTGCCAATGCAGTGAGCCCAAGTGTTGCTTCTGCTTAAAACATCATATGATACTAATCATCTCCACGTGAGCAGCTCATCTTTCCAGTAAATTGCGTATCACAGAAAAAGTGATCTCTCGCAGCTCTTGTGTATTTTTCATCATGTTTAGTGCAATACTGTAAACCTTGAATAACACCATGGACCCATACAAAGTGCCACTTGTGGTGCTAGAAACGCTCCCAAGAAACAGAAAAATCATGACATTACAAGAAAAAGTTAAATTGCCTGATAATGTACCACAGCTGCAGCTGTGGTTGCCCACCATTTTAAACAAATTGTTCATCTTATAAACAGAGATGTAAACTTACAGTATCAATATAAAGTACAGTATTGTAAATATATTTTCTCTTAAGATTGTCATAATAGCATTTTAATTTCTCTAGCTTACTTTATTGTAAGATTACAGTACATAATACATATTACATACAAAATATGTGTTAATCAACTGCTCATGTTCTTGGTAAGGCTACCGGTCGACAGTAGGCTCTTAGTAAAGTCTTAAGGCAGTCAAAAATTATACATAGATTTTTGAGTGTGGGGAGGGGGTTGATGCCTTTAATCCCCATGTTGTTTAGGGTCAACTTTATATAAAATGATAAAAATATATCTGTGACCACAATAGTTATAAACATTCTGAACTTACTAAAGAATACCCAAAATCTCAGTTTGAATATTTTAAAAACCTATGTGTAGCCTATTTACAAGTGTCATGATGAAAAGCATGAAGATAGTGAAAGACAGGACATAATAGGATAGAAAAAGATAAACCAAGAAAAGAATTATAGTACAAATTGACTGCACAGCAAAAGGAATTTTTTAGGATCCTGAGAATAACCATAGCAATCATAAGAACAATTCACATTTCTGAACTTGTATGCTCCTCACATAAAATTGAGAAATGTATGAAGGAAAAATTGCCAGAATTACAAGGGAAAGGAACAAATCTAATATTTGGTGAGAGATTTTTAACTCACCTCCCTTATTAGTAGATAGATCAAATGGTAAGTAGCACACAATTTAGAAATTCAAGCTAATGGAGAGAAATACAACTCTGCATGAAACAGTAAAACTGAATGTCAGTAGACATCAAGCTCACTCTGAATTGTGTTCTTCCCAAAATTCTCATGATAAATCGCTAACCCCCTATACCTCAGAATATGACTGTATTTGGAGACAGGTTCTTTAAAGACATAATTAAGTTAAAGTGAGGTCATTAGGACCCTCATCCAATATGACTGATATCCATATAGAAAGAGGAGATTAGGACCCACAGAGACACAGAGGGAGGATCATTATGTGGTGAGAAGACGGCCGTCTACAAGCCAAGGAGAGAGGTCACTCAAACCAACCCTGCCAATGCCATGATCTTGCACTTGCAGCCTCCAGAACTATGAGAAAATAAATTTCTGTCGTTTAAGCCACCTGGCTGTGGTACTTTATTATGGCAGTTCTAGCAAACTAATACACTGTAATCAAAGAAACTCAAAACTACATTAAAAACCATTTTACACCCAACAGATGAGCCACAAAACTAGACTTCTCAATAACTAACAAGTCATCTATAAGATGTGGAGAGTCGGATACTTTAATATAAGTTTTATGGAAGTATAAGATCTATGGAGAAGTGCACAAATGACTGAGTGTACATATTGAGTTTCACCTGGGAACACACTAAGTGTTCTCCATGTAGATCAGTGACACCTCAAAGTCCTGTTGCCCCCTTCCAATTACTATCCTCTTCCTCCAGGACAAACACTGTAGTGATTTTTAATGTTAAAACTTAGTTGTGCTTAGTTTTGAATTTTCTATAAATAGAATCATGTAATGACTTTATCTGGCTTATTTCCCTTAACATAATACCTGTGAGATCTATCCATTTTGTTGCAATGTAGCACTAGTTTTCCACTGTATAATTATAGCACAATTTATTTATGATTCTTCTGTTAATGAACTTTTAATCTGTTGGAATTCAAAATAGGACTGTTTTTGCATTGTTGACCTTTACAAATAATTTTGCTATGAACATTTTTGCATATGTATTTTGGTAAATACAGATGTACTTTTTTTTTTTTTTTTTTTTTGAGACGGAGTTTCGCTCTTTCACCAAGGCTGGAGTGCAGTGACGCGATCTTGGCTCACTGCAACCTCTGCCTTCCAGTTTCAAGCGATTCTCCTGCCTCAGCCTCCCGAGTAGCTGAGATTACAGGCGTCAGCCACCACGCCAGGCTAATTTTTGTATTTTTAGTAGAGACAGGGTTTCACCATGTTGGCCAGGCTGGCCTCTAACTCCTGACCTCGTGTTCCGCCCACCTCGGCCTCCCAAAGTGCTGGGATTACAGGCATGAGCCACCGCGCCCAGCCAGGTGTACACTTTTGTTGGTTATATTCTAAGGAGTGAAATTGTTGGATCTCTGGGCATGTATATGTTCAGCTTTAGTAGATACTGCCAAGTCGTTTCCCAAAGGGTTTGTACCAGTTTACATTCCAGTCAACAGTGAATGAGGCAACAGAATTGATCTTCATCTTCAGCAACTCTTAATATTGTCAGTCACTCTTTCTTTAGCCATTTTCTTGGGTGTAAAGAGGTATCACATTTTCATTTTAATTTGCACTTCTCTGACGTCTAATGAGGCTGAACACCTCTTTATATATTTATATATTTATTGGCCAATTGGACACCCATTTTAAAAGAAACTCTTCAAGCCTTTTGCCCATTTTTTTCAGTTTAAGTCGATGAATATAATTCTAAAGTTTTTTTTATTTTTGAATAGATACATTTATATGCTTCACAATTTAAAAGATGGACATGAGTGTACAGTGAAATGTCTCCTTTTCATCCCTGAAACCAAGCCAACTAGTGTCGTTCCTGCCCCAATCAGTTTCATGAATTTACTTCAAGACCTTTTATGTACATGTAAATAATACATATGGTATTTTCCCCTTTTTATAAAATTCTTTTTTTTTACACAAATGGTAGTATATTAAACATTGTTGTGCATATTGCTTTGTGGAGGAGGTAAAAGTTTTATTGAGATATAAATTCACATGCCATAAAATTCATCATTTTAAAATGTACAATTCAGGAGTTTTTAATATATTCAGAGTTGTGCAATCATTACCACTAACTTCAGAATATTTTTATCTGCCCTAAAAGAAATCTGATCTCCATTAGCAGTCACTGTTGATTCCCTGCTCCTCCTAGCCCCCAGAAACCACTAACCTACTGTTTGTTTCCATAGATTTGCTTGTTCCATAAAAGTTGAATCATACAACATATAACCTATTAAGACTGATTTCTTTCATTCATCATAATGTTTTCAAGATTCACCCATGTTATAGCATGTATCAGTACTTCAATTCTTTTATATGGTCAAATAATCTTCCGTTTTATGGATCTACCATACTTTGTTTATACTTGATGGAGTGTTTCAATTGTTTCCCTATTTTGAGTAATGCTACTGGGAATATTTGGTCCAGGTTTTTGTGTGGGCATGTTTTTCACTTCTCTTAGGTATATATCTAGGAGTGGAAGTGAAGGATGGCATAGTAACTCTTTGTTTAACATGAAGAATTGCCAGACTTTTCTGACTGTTTTTACAGTGGTTAAACCATTTTGCAGTCCCATCAGCGATGCATGGAGGTTCAAATCCTATGTGCACCTGTGTTATTGTCCATCTTTTTCATTTTTACCATCTTAGTGGGTATAAATGATCCCTTATTGTGGTTTCGTGTTAAATGTCCCTGATGATTAATGATGTTGAACATCTTTTCATGGGTTTTTTGGTTATTTTGGTATATTTTGATTGGAAAAATGTCTTTTGAAATTGTTTGCCTATTTTTTAAATTGGTTTATTTGTCTTTTTATTATTGAGTTGTAAGTTTTTAAATCTAATTCTGGATAAACATCTCTTATCAGATATAGAATTTGCAAGTGAGGTTTTTCATTCTCTGGATTGTCTTTCTGCTTTCTTGATAGTGTCCTTTGGAACACAAAAGTTTTTAATTTTAATGACAACCAACTTTCTATTTTTTTCTTTTATCATTTGTGCTTTTGGTGTCCTATCCAAGCTCTTGAAAACCTACACCTATGTTTTGTTCTGAAATAATCTGTCAGCACAAAACAACTATGTTTTAAAGTTTTAGCTTTATGTTTAGGTCTATGATTTATCTTGAGTTTAAAGCAAGTTTTTGTATGGTGGCAGGTAAGAATTCACCTTCATTCGTTGCAAATGAATAAATGGTGTTCCAGCACCATTTGTTGAAAAAACAGTCATATGTCACTTGACAGGGATACATTCTGAGAAAGGTTTCATTGGGCTATTGCAGCACTGTGTGAATATCACAGAGTATACTTGCACAAATTTTGATGATATAGGGTACTACATACCTAGGCTATATGGTATAACCTATTACTTCTAGGTTACAGATATATGTAGGATGTTACTGTACTAAATACCATAGGCAGTTGTAACACAATGGTAAGTATTTATGTATCTAAACATAGAAAAAGCATAAGTGTGGTATAAGAGATGAAAAATGGCACACCTGTATAAGTTACTTACCGTGAATGGAGTTGGCAGGCCTGGAAGTTGCTCTGGGTGAGTCAGTGAGTGAGTGGTGAGTGAATGTGAGGGTCAAGGACATTATTGTACACTTGGACACTACTGCAGACATTGTAAACACTGTACACTTAGGCTACACTAAATTTATTTTATTCTTTTTTTTTGAGACGGAGTCTCGCTGTCTCCCAGCCAATAAATATATAAATATATAAAGAGGTGTTCAGTCTCATTAGATGTCAGAGAAGTGCAAATTAAAATGAAAATGTGATAACTCTTTACACCCAACAAAATGGCTCACTGCAAGCTCCACCTCCCGGGTTCACGCCATTCTCCTGCCTCAGCCTCCCGAGTAGCTGGGAGTACAGGCACCCACCACCATGCCCGGCTAATTTTTTTTTTTTTTTTTTTTTTTTTTTTTTGCTATTTTTAGTAGAGATGGGGTTTCACCATGTTAGCCAGGATGGTCTTGATCTCTTGACCTTGTGATCCGCCTGCCTCGGCCCCCCAAAGTGCTGGGATTACAAGCGTGATGAGCCACCACGCCCGGCCTATTTTATTCTCTTTTTAGAGCTTTTATTTTAGGTTCAGGGATACGTGTGCAGGTTTGTTATATAGGTAAATTGTGTGTCATGAGGTTTTGTTGTACAGATTATTTCATCACCCAGCTAATAAGCATAGTACCCAATAGGTAGTTTTTCAATCTTCACCCTCCTCCCAAACTCCACCGTCAAGTAACCCCCCGTGTCTGTTGTTCCCTTCTTTGTGTTCATAGGTACTATTTATTTAGCTCCCACTTACAAGTGAGAACATGCAGTATATGGTATTCTGTTCCTGGGTTAGTTTCCTGTTGAGGTGGAGCACAGCCACGGACGCCCATCTTCCAAGGCTCACCTTGCTCCCCTAAATTTATTTTAAAATGTTTTACTTTCTTCAATAATAAATCGACGTTAGTATACTGTAACATTTTTAACTTTATAAACTTTTAAATATTTTAAATTTTTTGACTCTTTTGTAATAACACAACGTAAAACACAAACATTTTACAGCTAAACAAAAATGTTTTATTCCTTTATATGCTTATTCTATAATATTTTTTCTATTTCTGCCTACATTTTTAAACTTTTTTGTTAAATACTAAGACACAAACACAAACATTAGCCTAGGCCTGCATAGGGCCAAGATCATCAAGATATCACTGGCTGATAATAATCTTTATCTCCGTTATAATCTCATGGGACCACCGTGGTACATGCAGTCCATTGTTGACTGAAACATTACACAGCACGTGACTGCATTTTTTTAATTACTTAATTTTTTTTAAAATTTTACTTTAAGTTCATACATGTAAACTTTACTTTTACTTTAAGGATACATGTGCTGAATGTGCAGGTTATGAATTAGCAAAAGGAGTATAAGACATTTACACTGAAAACTATAAAACAGCATTGAAAAACTTAAATAAGATATACATAAAGAAAATATTCATGGATCAAAAGATTAAGTATTAGGAATGCAGTACTCTTGAAATTGATCTGTAGATTCAACACAATTATTTTTAAAATTTCAGCTATAATATTTGCCAATATTGCAAGCTGATAGTAAAATTCATACGGAAAGGCAAGAGATACATAATAACCAAAATAATCTAGGCTGCATTCTTTCCCCTATTAGTTTATCTTAGCACTCTGATCAAAATCAATTCATCATAAAGATGTTTGTGTCTGGACTCAATTTTGTTCTACTGATCAATTTTCCTATCCTTATTTATGCCAATGCCACACTGTCTTCGTTACTATAACATTGTAATAAGTTTGAAAGTTTTGTCATTTTTTGAAGGATTATTTTGGTGATTATGTATCTCTTGCATGTCCATAGGAATTTTAATACCAGCCAGCAATTTTGGCAAAACTCATAGCTGAAATTTGGAAAATAATTGTGTTGAATCTGTAGATTAATTTCAAGAGTATCGCATTCCTAATATTTAATCTTTTGATCCATGAATATTTTCATTTATGTATATCTTATTTAATTTTTTCAATGATGTTTTGTAGTTTTCAGTGTAAAAGTCTTGTACTGCTTTCACCAAATGTATTTATAAGAATTTGGATCTTTTAATGCTATTTTAAATAAAATTGTTTTCTGTATTATATTTTCAGATTATTCATTCCTAGTGTGTAGAAATACAGCTGATTTTTTGTATATTAATTATGTTTGCTGCAGCCTTACTAAATTCATGTATTAGTTCTAATAGGTTTCTTTGCAGATTAAAAGAATTACACGCAAATCAAGTAATTTTTCATCAGAGATAGTTTTACTTGCTTTCTAATCTAGATGGCTTTTATTTATTTCTCTTTCCTATTTTCCCTGACTATAGCTTCCAATACAGTGTTGAGTAGAAGTGGTGAGAGCTGGCATCCTTGTTTTGTTCCTGATCTTAAGGGGAAAGCATTCAGTCTTTCTCTATTAAGTCTGATGTGGTTGGGTTTGTTTTTGTTTTTTGTTTGTTTGTTTGTTTTTTCATAGATGCCCTTTATTAAGTTGAGGAAACGCCTTTCTGTCTCTTTTTTTGTTTCTTTTGATTCTGGGGATACGTGTGCAGGTTTGTTACATGAATATATTGCATGATGCTGAGGTTTGGGCTTTGATTGAACCCATCGCCCAGATAGCAAACCTAGTACCCAATAAGTAGTTTTACCACGTTTTCTTTATTCAGTCCACCACTGATAGGCACTTAAGTTGATTCCATGCGATAGGCAGCAAGGTTGATGCCATGTCTTTGTTATTGTGAACAATGCTGCAATAAAAACACGAGTGCAGCGGTCTTTTTTGGTACAACAATTCATTTTACTTTGGGTATATACCCCGTAATGAGATTGCTGGACCACACAGTAATTCTATTTTTAGCTCTTTGAAGAGTCTCCAAATTGCTTTCTATGGGAACTGAACTAATTTACAACCCCAACAACAATGTATGAATGCTTCCTTTTCTCTGGAACCTTGCCAAAATCTATTATTTTTTGACTTTTTATAATAGCCATTCTGACTGATGTGAAATGGTATCTCATTGTGGTTTCAGTTTGCATTTCTCTGATGATTAGTGACATTGAGCAGTTTTTTCATGTTTGTTGGCTGCTTGTATGTGTTCTTCAGAGACGTGTCTATTCATTTCCTTTTCCCACTTTTTAATGGGGCTGTTTTTTTTCTTGTTGATTTGTTTCAGTTCCTTATAGATTCTGAATATTAGTGCTTTATTGGGTGCATAATTTGCAAATATTTTCTCCCATTTTGTACATTGTCTGTTTAATATTTTGCTGTGGTAGTTTCTTTTGCTGTGCAAAAGCTCTTTAGTTTAATTAGGTCACAATTGTCAATTTATTTTTGTTTTTGTTCTCTTTGCTTTTGAGGACTTAGTGATAAACTTTTGCCTAGGCCAATGTCCAGCAGAGTATTTCCTAGGTTTTGCTCTAGGACTTTTTTTCTTTTTTTTTAAATTACACTTTAAGTTCTGGGATACATGTGCAGAATGTCCAGGTTTGCTACATAGATATACATGTGCCATGGTGGTTTGCTGCACCCATCAACCTGTCAGCTAGGTTTTAGCCCTGCATGCATTCAGTATTTCTCCTAATGCTATCCGTTCCCATTGCCCCCTACTCCCTGACAGGCCCTGGTGTGTGATGTTCCCCTCCCTGTGTCCATGTGTTCTCATTGTTCAGCTCCCACTTATAAGTGTGAACATTTGGTGTTTGGTTTTCTGTTTCTGTGTTAGTTTGCTGAGAATGATAGTTTCCAGCTTCATCCGTGTCCCTGCAAAAGACATTAACTCATTCTTTTTTATGGCTGAATAGTATTCCATGGTGTATAAGTACCACATTTTCTTTATCCAGTCTATCATTGTTGGGCTTTTGGGTTGGTTCCAAGTTTTTGCTATTGTAAATAGTGCTGCAAAAAACATGTGTGCATGTGTCTTTATAGTAGAATGATTTATAATCCTTTGGGTATATACCCAGTAATGACATTACTGGGTCAAATGGTATTTTTGGTTCTAGATCCTTCAGGAATCTCCACACTGTCTTCCACAATGGTTTAACTAATTTTCACTCCCACCAACAGTGTAAAAGCGTTCCTATTTCTCCACATCCTCTCCAGCATCTGTTGTTTCCTGACTTTTTAATGATTGCCGTTCTAACAGGCATGAGATGGTATCTCATTGCAGTTTTGATTTGTATTTCTCTAATGACCAGTGATAATGAGCTTTTTTCATACATTTGTGGCCACATAAATGTCTTCTTTTGAGAAGTGTCTGTTCATGTCCTTTGCCCACTTTTTGATGGGGCTGTTTGTTTTTTTCTTGTAAATTTGTTTAAGTTCCTTGTAGATTTTGGGTATTAGCCCTTTGTCAGATGGATAGATTGCAAAAATTTTCTCCCATTCCGTAGGTTGCCTGTTCACTCTGATGATAGTTTCTTTTGCTGTACAGAAGCTCTTTAGTTTAATGAGATCTCATTTGTTCATTTTGGCTTTTGCTGCAGTTGCTCTTAGTGTTTTAGTCATGAAGTCTTTGCCCATGCCTATGTCCTGAATGGTATTGCCTAGGTTTTCTTCTAGGGCTTTTATGGTTTTAGATCTTATGTTTAAGTCTTTAATCCATCTTGAGTTATTTTTCTATAAGGTGTAAGGAAGGGGTCCAGTTTCAGTTTTCTGCATATGCCTAGCCAGTTTTCCCAAAACCATTTATTAAATAGGGAATCCTTTCCCCATTGGTTGTTTTTGTCAAGTTTGTCAAAGATCAGATGGTTGTAGATGGGTGGCATTATTTCTGAGGCCTCTGTTCTGTTCCATTGGTCTATATATCTGTTTTTGTACCAGTACCATGCTGTTTTGGTTACTGTAGCCTTGTAGTATAGTTTGAAGTCAGATAGCATGATGCCTCCAGCTTTGTTCTTTTTGCTTAGGATTGTCTTGGCTGTACAGGCTGTCTTTTGGTTCCATGTGAAATTTAAAGTAGTTTTTTTTCTAAATGGTAGCGTGATGGGAATAGCATTGAATCTATAAATTACTTTGGGCAGTATGGCCATTTTCATGATATTGATTCTTCCTATCCATGACCATGGATTGTTTTTCCATTTGTTTGTGTCCTCTCTTATTGCCTTGAGCAGTGGTTTATAGTTCTCCTTGAAGGATTTCTTTACATCCCTTTTAAGTTGTATTCTTAGGTATTTTATTCTCTTTGTAGCAATTGTGAATGGGAGTTCACTCATGATTTGGCTCTCTGTTTGTCTGTTATTTGTGTATAGGAACGCTTGTAATTTTTCCCATTGATTTTGTATTCTGAGACTTTGCTGAAGTTGCTTATCAGCTCAAGGAGTTTTTGGACTGAGACGATGGGATTTTCTAAATATACAATCATGTCATCTGCAAACAGAGACAATTTGACTTCCTCTATTCCTATCTGAATACCCATTATTTCTTTCTCTTGCCTGATTGCCCTGGCCAGAACTTTTAATGCTGTGTTGTATAGGAGTGGTGAGAGAGGGCATCCTTGTCTTGTGTCAGTTTTCAAAGGGACTACTTCCAGTTTTTGCCCATTCAGTATGATATTGGCTGTGGGTTTGTCATAAATACCTCTCATTATTTTGAGATAGGTTCCATCAATGCCTAGTTTATCGAGTGTTTTTTAGCATGAAGTGGTGTTGAATTTTATAGAAGGCCTTTTCTGCATCTATTGAGATAGTCATGTGGTTTTTGTCATTGGCTATGTTTATGTGATGGATTACATTTATTGTTTTGCATATGTTGAACCAGCCTTGCATCCCAGGGATGAAGCCAACTTAATTGTGGTGGATAAGCTTTTTGATGTGCTGCTGGATTCAGTTTGCCAGTATTTTATTGAGGATTTTTGCATCAATGTTCATCAGGGATATTGGGTTGAAGTTTTCTTATTTTTTTGTTGTGTCTCTGCCAGGTTTTGGTATCAGGATGATGCCTCATAAAACGAGTTATGGAGGAGTCCCTCTTTTTTGATTGTTTGGCATAGTTTCAGAAGGAATGGTACCAGTTCCTTTTTATACCTCTGGTATAATTTGGCTGTGAATCTATATGGTCCTGGACATTTTTTGGTTGGTAGGCTATTAATTACTGCCTCAATTTCAGAACTTGTTGTTGGTCTATTCAGGGATTTGACTCCTTCCTTGTTTTGTCTTGGGAGGGTGTGTGTGTCCTGGAATTTATCCGTTTCTTCTAGATTTTCTAGTTTATTTGCATAGAGGTGTTTATAGTATTCTCTGATGGTAGTTTGTATTTCTGTGGGATCAGTGATGATATCTTCTTTATCATTTTTCATTGTATCTATTTGATTCTTCTCTCTTTTCCTCTTCATTAGTCTGGCTAGCGGGCTATTTTGTTAATCTTTTCAAAAAACCAGCTCCTGGATTTACTGATTTTTCGAAGGATTTTTCATGTCTCTATCTCCTTCATTTCTGCTCTGATCTTAGTTATTTCTTGTCTTCTACTAGCTTTTGAATTTGTTTGCTCTTGGTTCTCTAGTTCTTCTAATTGTGTTATGGTGTCGATTTTAGATCTTTCCCACTTTCTGATGTGGGCATTTAGTCCTATAAATTTCTCTCTAAACACTGCTTTAACTGTCTCCCAGAGATTCTGGCGTGTTGTGTCTTTCTCGTTGGTTTCAATGAAGTTATTTATTTCTGCCTTAATTTCGTTATTTACCCAGTAGTCATTCAAGAGCAGATTGTTCAGTTTCCATGTAGTCGTGTGGTTTTGAGTGAGTTTCTTAATCTGGAGTTCTAATTTGATTGCACTGTGGTGAGTGACTGTTTGTTATGATTTACATTCTTTTGCATTTGCTGAGGAGTGTTTTGCTTCCAATTATGTGGTCAATTTTAGAATAAGTGTGATGTGATGCTGAGAAGAATGTATATTCTGTTGATTTGGGGTGGAGAGTTCTGTAGATGTCTATTAGGTTCACTTGGTCTAGAGCTGAGTTCAAGTCCTGAATATCCTTGTTAATTTTCTGTCTCATTGATCTGTCTAATATGGAAAGTGAGGTGTTAAAGTCTTCCACTGTTATTGTGTGGGAGTCCAAGTCTCTTCATAGGTCTCTAAGAACTTGCTTTATGAATCTGGGTGCTCCTGTATTGGGTGCATATATATTTAGGATAGTTAGCTCTTCTTGTTGCATTGATCCCTTTACCATTATGTAATGCCTTTCTTTGTCTTTTTTGATCTTTGTTGGTTTACAGACTATTTTATCAGAGACTGGGATTGCAACCCCTGCTGTTTTTTGCTTTCCATTTGCTTGGTGAATATCCCTCCATCCCTTTTATTTTGAATCTATATGTGTCTTTGCACGTGAGATGGGTCTCCTGAATCCAGCACACTGATGGATCTTGACTCCTTATCCAATTTGCCAGTCTGTGCCTTGTAATTGGGGCATTTATCCCATTGACATTTAAGGTTAATATTGTTACGTGTGAATTTGATCCTGTCATTATGATGCTAGCTGGTTATTTTGCACATTAGTTGATTCAGTTTCTTCATAGTGTCATTGGTCTTTATATTTTGGTATGTTTTTGCAATTCCTGGTTTGCAGTGGCTGGTACCTGTTTTTACTTTCCATATTTAGTGCTTCCTTCAGGAGCTCTTGTAAGGCAGGCCTGGTGGTGACAAAATCCCTCAGCATTTGCTTGTCTGTAAAGGATTTTATTCCTCCTTTGTTTATGAAGCTTAGTTTGGCTGGATATGAAATTCTGGGTAGAAAATTCTTTTCTTTAAGAATGTTGAATATTGGCCCCACTCTCGTCTGTCTTGTAGGGTTTCCGCAGAGATATCCGCTATTAGTCTGATGGGCTTCCCTTTGTAGGTAACCTGACCTTTCTCTCTGGCTGCCCTTAACATGTCTTCCTTCATTTCAACCTTTGTGAATCTGACGATTGTATGTCTTTGGGTTGCTCTTCTCAAGGAGTATCTTAGTGGTGTTCTCTGTATTTCCTGAATTTGAATGTTGGCCTGTTTTCCTAAGTTGGAGATGTTCTCCTGGATAATAACCTGAAGTGTGTTTTCCAACTTGGTTCCATTCTCCCCATCACTTTCAGGTACACCAATCTGTTGTAGTTTTGGTCTTTTTACATAGTCACATATTTCTTGGTGGCTTTTCATTCTTTTCATTCTTTTTTCTCTAATCTTGTCTTCACGCTTTATTTTATTAAGTTGATCTTCAATCTCTGATCCTTTCTTCCACTTGATTGATTCTGCTATTTATACTTGTATATGCTTCACAAAGTTCTCGTGCTGTGTTTTTCAGCTCTGTCTGGTCATTTATGTTTTTTTTTTTTTTTTTAACTGGTTATTCTAGTTAGCAGTTCCTGTAACCCTTTATCAAGGTTCTTAGCTTCCTTGCATTAGGTTAGAACATGCTCCTTTAGCTTGGAGGAGTTTGTTATTACCCACCTTCTGAAGCCTACTTCTGTCAATTCATCAAACTCATTCTCCATCCAGTGTTGCTCCCTGGCTGGCAAGGAGTTGTGATGCTTTGGGAGAGAAGAGGCATTCTGGTTTTTGGAATTTTCAGCATTTTTGCACTAGTTTTTCCTCATCTTTGTGGATTTATCTACCTTTGATCTTTGATGCTGATGACATTTGGATGAGGCTTTTGCATGGGCATCCTTTTTGTTGATGTCAATGCTATTGCTTTCTGTTTGTTAGTTTTCATTCTGACAGTCAGGCCCCTCTTCTGCAGGTCTGCTGGAGTTTTCTGGAGGTCCACTCCAGACCCCATTTGCCTGGGTATCACCAGCGGAGCCTGCAGAACAGCAAAGATTGCTGCCTGCTCCTTCCCCTGGAAGCTTCCTCCCAGAGGGCCACCGGCCAGATGTCAGCTGGAGCTCTCCTGTATAAGGTGTCTGTCGACCCCTGCTGCGAGGTGTCTCCCAGTCAGGAGGCACAGGGGTTAGGGACTCACTTGAAAAGGCAGTCTGTTCCTTAGGAGAGCTCAAGCACTGTGCTGGAAGATCTGCTGCTGTCTTCAGAGCTGACAGGCAGGAATGTTTAAGTCTGCTGAAGTTGCGCCCATAGCCACCCCTTCCCCCTGGTGCTCTGTCCCAGGGAGATGGAGGTTTTATCTATAGGCCCCTGACTGGAGCTGCTACCTTTCTTTCAGAGTTGCCCTGCCCGGTGAGGAGGAATCTAGAGAGTCAGTCTGGCTGCAGCGGCTTTGCTGTGCTGCAGTGGGTTCCGCTCAGTCTGAACTTTCCTGTGGCTTTGTTTACACTGTGAGGGAAAAACTGCCTACTCAAGCCTCAGTAATGGCAGGTGCCCCTCCCCACCACCAAGTTTGAGCATCACAGGTATTGACTTTAGACTGCTGTGCTGGCAGCAAGAATTTCAAGCCATTGGATCTTAGCTTGCTGGGCTTTGTGGGGGTGGGACCCACTGAGCAAGACCACTTGGCTCCCTCGCTTCAGTCCCCTTTCCAGGGGAGTGAATGGTTCTGTCTCACTGGGGTTCCAGGTGCCACTGGGGTATGCAAAAAAAAAAAAACTCCTGCAGCTAGCTCAGTGTCTGCCCAAACAGCCACCCAGTTTTGTGCTTGAAACCCGGGGCCCTGGTGGTGTAGGCATCTGAGGGAATCTCCTGGTCTGTGGGTTGGAAAAACTATGGGAAAAGCATAGTATCTGGGCCAGATAGCACTGTCGCTCACGGCACAGTCCCTCATGGCTTCCCTTGGCTAGGGGAGGGAGTTACCCAGCCCCTTCTGGGCTTCCTGGGTGAGGCAACATCCCACCCTGCTTCTGCTTGCCCTTCATGGGCTGCACCTACTGTCTAACCAGTTCCAGTGAGATGAACTGGGTACCTCAGTTGGAAATGCAGAAATTACCCACCTTTTGCGTTGGTCTCGCTGGGAGCTGCAGACCAGAGCTGTTCCTATTCAGCCATCTTGCCAGATCCTTCTTTTTATCTTTTTTTAAAATCCTCTTTTAACAGTGAAAAGGGAAGGAAACAGGAAGCACAAAGGAATTTCCTTCCCTCTTCATGGGCCCAGGGCCAGTCCCCAGCAACGTGCTGCAGTAGTGCCCTAGGATTTTTATGGTTTGAGGTCTTACATTTTTTTAATCCATCTTTAGTTAATTTTGTGTATTGTGAGACATGTCAAGTTTTATTCTTCTGCATATGATTACCCAATTTATCCAGCACCATTTATTGAGTAAGGTGTCCTTTCCCCATTGTTTATTTTTGCTTGCTTTGCCAAAGATCAGTTGGTTGTAGGTATGTGGCTTTATTTCTGATTTCCCTAGTCTCTTACATTGGTGTACATGTCTATTTTTGTACCAGAATCATGCTGCTTTTGTTACTGTAGCCTTGTGCTATAGTTTGAAGTCAGGTAATGTGACGTTTCTTGCTTTGTTCTTTTTGCTTAGGATTGCTTTAGTTATCCATTCTTTTTTTGGCTCCATATACCATGTTATGAAATTGGATCAGTAATTTTAAAAACCTGTCAACCAAAAAGAGCCCTGGACCAGATGGATTAACAGCCAAATTCTACCAGATGTATGAAGAAGAGCTGGTACCAATCCACTGAAACTATTCCAAAAATTAAGGAGGATGGATTCCTGACCAACTCATTCTATGAAACTAGTATCATTCTGATACCGAAATCCAGCAAAGATATAACAAAAAAAGGAAGCTACAGGCCGAGATCTCTGATAGACATACATGCCAATATCCTCAATGAAGTACTAACAAACCATATCCGGCAGCACATCAAAAAGTTAATTGGCCATGATCAAGTAGGCTTTATTCATGGGATGCATGGATGATATGCAAATCAATAAATGTGATTCATCACATAAACAGAATTTAAAAACAAACCATATGATCATCTCAATAGATGCAGAAAAAGCATCCAATAAAATTCAACATCCCTTCATGATAAAAACCCTCAACTAACTAGCCATTGAAAGAACACACCTCAAAATAATAGGAGCAGTCTATGACAAATCTACAGCCAACATCATACTGAGCAAGCAAAAGCTGAAAGCATGCCTCCTATGAACTGGAATGAGACAAGAATGCCCACTGTCACCACTACTATTCCACATAGTACTGGAAGTTCCAGCCAGAGCAATCAGGCAAGAGAATGAAAGAAAATGCATCCAAATAGAAAAAGAGGAAGTCAAATTATCTCTCTTTACAGACCACATTATTCTACACTTAGAAAACCCTAAAGATTCTTCCAAAAGACCCCTAACCCTGATAAATGACTTCAGTAATGTTTCAGGATACAAAATAAATGTAAATGTACAAAAATCAGTAGCATTTCTATCCACTAATAACATTCAAGATGAAAACCAAATCAAGAATGCAATTTCATTTACAATAACCACAAAAAGAATAAAATACCTAAGAGTACATCTAACCAAGGAGGTGAAAGATTCCTACAAGGAGAACTACAAAATATTGCTGAAAGAAATCATAGATGACATAAACAAATGGAAAAACATTACATGCTCATGGATTGGAAGAATCGATATTGTTAAAATGTCCATACTGCCCAAAGCTATTTGTAGATTCATTGCAATTTCTATTAAATTACCCCTATTTATTAAATTACCCATCATTCTTCACAAAATTAGGGGGACACCTCCTTCTATTCCTAGTTTGTTGAATATTTTTATCATGAAAGGGTACCAAATTTTATCAAATGCTTTTTCTGAATATATTAAGATGATCATATAAGTTTTATCTTTTATTCTATTAATATTATATTTTAGACTGATTTTCGTATGTTAGACCAACCTTGCATTCCTGGCATAAATCCTACTTGCTCATGATGTATAATGCTTGTATATGTTGCTGGATTCTGTTCCTAGCTTTCGTTGAGGATTTCTGTGTCTGTATTTATGAAGGATATTGATACGTAGTTTTCTTTCTTATGATGTCTTTGGTTTTGGTGTCAGGATAATGCTTGCTAGAAAGCATCGGAAAGTGTTTCCCTCTATTCTATCTTTTGAAAGAATTTGCAGAAGATTGTTATTAGCTCTTCTCTGAATGGTAAAATTAATCAGTGAAGCCATCTGAGTCTGGGCTTTACTCTGTGACTATTTTTAAATTATTATTTATATTACTAATTGAATCTTTTCATTTATGAAAGTCTTTTTCAGATTTTCTATTTCTTCTTGAATAGTGTTGATTGTTTACATATTTCTACTAATTTGTCCGTTTCATCTAGAATGTCTAATTTGTTGGCATAAAATTTCTTATACTGTTCTTTTATAATCCTTTTATTTCTGTAAAGTTGGTAGTAGTGTTTTCTTTTTCATTTCAAATTTAATAATTTGAGTTTCTTTTCTTTCTTTTTTTTTTTTTTGGACAGTCTAGCTAAAGTTTTGTAATTTTTGTCACTTTTCCAAAGAATCAGATTTCAGTTCCATTAGCTTTTTTTTTTTTGAAAACTGTTAGTTTATCTTTTATTTCATTGAAATAGAAAATGCTCTAATCTTTGTCATTTCCTTCGTTTGGGTTTAGTTTAGTTTGTTTTTTTTCTAGTTTCTTAGGGTAGAAGTTATTAAGATCTCTCTTCCCTTTAATTGTAGTGTTTAGTCCATTTATATTATGTAGTTACTGATAAGGTATTATTTATGTAGCCACTTTGTAATTTTTTTATATGTCTTGTGGTTTTTCCCCCATTATTCCTCCATTACTTCTATCCTTTGTGTAATAAAAACATTTTCTAGTATGCTATTTTAATTACTTTGTTCTTTCTTTTACTGTATTTTTGAGTTATTTTCTTACTGGTCACTTTGGGAATAACATTTTTGAGTTAAAACAGTCTGATGTATGTGTGTATGTGTTTTAGCAACTTTTTATTTCCATATAATTTCAAAATTACAAAAATTGTAAAAAAAAAAATCACAAAGAATTATATATGCTTTCAGTGTATCCCCAGATTAACATTTTTCCTCATTTGTTTTATATTCTGTGTGTATGTTTTCAGAGCTAAAATTCCTAATTTTAATTAAGTTTAACATATTAACATATTATTATTATTAGTTCTTTTAACATCCTGTTTAGAAATCTGTCTACCCTAAAGTTATAAAGATCTTCCTTAATGCTTTTTCTAGAAGGTTTATTGTTTTACATTGTACATTTAGATCTACAAGCCTTCTGAAATCGTCTGCATATAATGTGTAGTTTGTACCAAAATTTATTTTTCCCTGTATGGAAACCCAATTAATACAGAACCATTTACTGAAAATATCAATATTTGCCATTGGTTAATATATTCCTTCCCCCTTTATTTTATTAAATTTTAATAGGTTTTGGGGAAACAGTTAGTGTTTGCTTAGATTAAGTTCTTTAGCAGTGATTTCCGAGATTCTGGTGCACCCATCACCTGAGCAGTGTACACTGTACCCGATGTGTAGTCTTTTATTTCTTACTCCCTCCCACCCTTCCCTCAAAGCCCCCGAAGTCCATTGTATCATTCTTATTCCTTTGCATCCTCATAGCTTAGCTCCCACTAATGAGTGAGAACCTATGAAGTTTGGTATTCCATTCCTGAGTTACTTCACTTAGAATAATGGTCTCCGTTACCATCCAGGTTGCTGCAAATGCCACTATTCCATTTCTTTTTATGGCTGAGTAGTATTCTATGGTATATGTGTGTGTGTCTGTGTGTGTGTGTGTTTGTGTGTGTATATATATGTATATGTGGGTGTGTGTGTATATATATGTATGTATGTATATCACTTTTTTTATTCACTAGTTGATTGATGGGCATTTGGGCTGGTTCCATGTTTTCACAATTGGGAATTACGCTGCCGTAAACATGTGTGTGCAGGTATCTTTTTTGTATAATGACTTCTTTTCCTCAGGGTAGATACCCAGGAGGGGGCATTGCTGGATCAAATGGTAGATCTGCTTTTAGTTCTTTAAGGAATCTCCACACTGTTTTCCATACTGGTTGTAGTAGTTTTCATTCCCACCAACAGTGTAAAAGTGTTTCATTTACACCACATCCATGCCAACATCTATTATTTTTTGATTTTTTGATTATGGCCATTCTTGTCAGAGTGATGTGGTATCGCATTGTGGTTTTTATTTACACTTCTGTGATAATTAGTGATGTTGAGCATTTTTTCACATGTTTGTTGGTCATTTGTATATTGTCTCTTTATAATTGTCTATTCATGTCCTCAGCCCACTTTTTGGTGGGATTGTTTGTTTTGTTCTTGCTGATTTGTTTGAGTTCCTTGTAGATTCTGGATATTAGTCCTTTCTCAGATGTATACATTGCAAAGATTTTCTGTCACTCTATGGGTTCTCTGTTTAATCTTCTGATTATTTCTTTTGCTGTGCAGCAGCTTTTAGTTTAATTAATTCCCATCTATTTATCTCTATTTTGTTGCATTTGCTTTTGGGGTTTTGGTCATGAAGTCTACCTAAGCCAATGTCTAGAAGGGATTTTCCAATGTTTTCTTCTAGAATTTGTGTAGTTTCAGGTCTTAGATTTAAGTCTTTTATCCATCTTGAGTTGATTTTTGTATAGGGTGAGAGATGAGGATCCAGTTGCATTCTTTTACATGGACTTGCCATTATCCCAGTACCATTTGTTGAAGAGGTTGTCTTTTCCCCACTTTATGGTTTTGTTTGCCTTGTCAAAGATCAGTTGGCTATAAGTATTTAGCTTTATTTTTGAGTTCTCTATTCTGTTCCATTAGTCTATATGCCTATTTTTATACCAGTACCATGCTGTTTGGGTGACTGTGGCCTTACAGTATAGTATGAAGTCAGATAATGCAGTGCCTCCAGATTTGTTCTTTTGGCTTAGTCTTGCTATGGCTATGCAGGCTCTTTTTTGATTCCATATGAATTTTAGGATTGTTTTCTCTAGCTCTCTGAAAAACGATGGTGATATATTGATGGGAATTGCATTGAATTTGTACATTGCTTTTGACAGTGTGATCGTTTTCACAATGTTGATTATACCCATCTATGAGCATGGGATGTGTTTCCATCTGTGTCATCTATGATTTCTTTCAGAAGTGTTTCTACTTTTCCTTGTAGAGGTCTTTCAGCTCCTTGGTTAGGTACAGTTCTAAGTATTTTATGGTTTTTTTTTTTTTTGCAGCTATTATAAAAGGGATTGAGTTCTTGATTTGATTCTCAGCTTGGTTGCTGTTGGTTTATAACAGAGCTACTGATTTACATACATTAATTTTATATTCAGAAACTTTACTGGATTCATTTACCAGTTCTAGGAGCTTTTTCGATGAGTCTTTAGGGTTTTCTAGGTATACAATCATGTCATCAGCAAACAGCAACAGTTTGACTTCCTCATTACCAATTTGGATGCCCTTTATTTCTTTTTCTTATCTGATTGTTCTGGCTAAGACTTCCAGTACTATGCTGAATAGAAGTGGTGAAAGCGGGCATCCTTGTCTTGTTCCAGTTATCGGGGAGGGGGGGTGCTTTCAACTTTTTTCCCATTCAGTAGAATATTGGCTGTGGGTTTGTCATAGATGGCTTTTATTACCTTAAGGTATGTCCCTTCTATGCTGATTTTGTTGAGGTTTTTAATCATAAAGCATTGATGGATTTTGTCAAATGCTTTTTCTGCATCTATTGAGATGATCATGTGGTTTTTGTTTTTAATTCTGTTCATGTAGTGTATCACATTTATTGACTTACATATGTGAAATCATCCCTGCATCCCTGTTATGAAACCCACTTGATCATGGTGGATTATTTTTTAGATATGCTGTTGGATTCCCTTAGATAATATTTTGTTGAGGATTTTTGCAGCTATGTTCATCAGGGATATTGGTCTGTAGTTTTCTTTTTTTGTTATGTCCTTTTCTGGTTTTGGTATTAGGGTGATACTGGCTTCATAGAATGTTTTGGGGAAGATTGCCTCTTTCTTTATCTTTTGGAATAGTGTCTCAGTAGGATTGGTCCCAATTCTTCTTTGAATGTCTGATAGAAATCAGCTGTGAATTCATTGGCCCTGCACTTTCTTTCCTTGGTAACTTTTTAATTACCATTTCAATCTCACTATGTGTTATCGATCTGTTTAGGGTTTCTATTTCTTCCTGGTTTAATCTAGGAAGCTTGTGTATTTCCAGGAATTTATCTGGAATCTCCAGGAATCTCCTCTAGGTTTTCTAGTTTATGTGTGTAAAGGTGTTCATAGTATCCTTGAATGATCTTTTGTACTTCTGTGGTATCAGTTGTAATACCTCCCATTTCGTTTCTAATTGAGCTTATTTGGATCTCTTTTCTTTTCGTGGTTAACCATACTAATGGTCTATCAATTTTATTCATCGTTTCAAAGAACCAGCTTTTAGTTTCATTTATCTTTTATATTGTTTTTTGTTTGTTTCCATTTTATTTAGTTCTGCTCGGATCTTGGCTATTTCTTTTCCTTTGCTAGGGTTGGGTTTGGTTTTTTCTTGTTTCTCTAGCTCCTTGTCATGTGACCTTAGATTGTCTACTGGTGCTCTTTCAGACTTTTTGATGTAGGCATTTAATGCTATGAGCTTTCCTCTTAGCACCACTTTTGCTGTATCTCAAAGGTTTTGATAGGTTGTATCACTATTATTGTTCAGTTCAAATAATTTTTTAAATTCCCATCTTGATTTCATTGTTGATCCAGTGATCATTCAGGAGCAGGTTATTTAATTTCCATGTATTTGCGTTGTTTTGAGGGTTCCTTTTGGAGTTGGTTTCCAATTTTATTCCACTGCAATCTGAGAGAGTCCTTGCTATAATTTTGACTTTCCTAAATTTGTTGAGGCTTGTTTGTGGTCTATCATGTGGTCTATCTTGGAGAATGTTCCATGTGCTGATGAAAAGAATGTATATTCTGCAGTTGCTGGATAGAATGTTCTGTAAATATTTGTTAAGTCCATTTGTTCTAGGGTACAGTTTAAGTTCATTGTTTCTTTGTGGACTTTCTGTCTTGATGACCTTTCTAGTGCTGTCCGTGGAATATTGAAGTCCCCCATTATTATTGCATTGCTGTCTGTATCATTTCTTAGGTCTAGTAGTAATTGTTTTATGAATTTGGGAACTCCAGCGTTAGGTTCACATATATTTAGGAATGTGATATTTTTCTGTTGGACTGGTCCTTTTATTATTAAATAATGTCCCTCTTTGTCTTTTTTAACTATTGTAGCTTTAATCTTTATCCACCCCTTTACCTTAAGTTTATGTGTGTCCTTGTGTGTCAGATGATTGTCTTGAAGAGAGCAGATACTTGGTTGGTGAGTTCTTATCTATTCTGCCATTCTGTATCTCTTAAATGGAGCATTTAGGCCATTCACATTCAACATTAGCATGGAGACGTGAGGTACTGTTCTATTCATTGTGCTGTTTGTTGCCTGAATACCTTGCTTTTTTGTGTATTGTTGTTTTATAGGTCCTGTGACATTTATGCTTTAAGGAGATTCCATTTTGGTGTATTTTGAGGATTTGTTTCAAGATTTAGAGCTTCTTTAAGCAGTTCTTGTAATGCTGGCTTGGTAGTGGCAAATTCTCTCAGCATTTGTTTGTCTGAAAAAGACTACCTTTCCTTCATTTATGAAGCTTAGTTTTCCTGCACACAAAATTCTTGGCTGAAAACTGTTTTGTTTAAGGAGGCTAAAGATAGGACCCCAATCCCTTCTAGCTTGTATGATTTCTGCTAAGAAATCTGCTGTTAATCTGATAGGTTTTCCTTTATAGGTTGCCTGATGCTCTTGCCTCACAGCTCTTAAGATTATTTTCTTTGTCTTGACTTTAAATAATCTGATGACTATGTTCCTAGGTGATGATCTTTTTGTGATGAATTTTCCAGGTGTTTTTTGAACTTGTTGTATTTGAATGTCTAGATCTTTAACAAGCCTGGGGAAGTTTTCCTTGATTATTGCCTCAAACTTGTTTTCCAAACTTTTAGATTTCACTTCTTCTTTGGAAACAAAAATTATTCTTAGATTTGGTCATTTAACACAATCCCAAACTTCTTGGAGGCTTTGTTCATTTTTTTATCTTTTATTCTTTGTTTTTGTCAGATTGGTTTAATTTGAAAACCTTGTCTTCAATCTCTGAAGTTCTTTCTTCTACTTGTTCAGTTCTATTTCTGAGACTTTCCAGTGCATTTTGCATTTCTCTAATTGTGTTCTTGATTTCCAGAAGTGGTGATTGTTTTTTATTTATGCTACCTATTTCACTGGAGATTTTCCATTCATATGCTCTATCTTTTTTTTTTTTTTTTAGGTTGAACTTCACCTTTCTCTAGTACCTCCTTGATTACTTAATAATTGATCTGCTGAATCCTTCTTCTGGCAATTCATTTGGATCTATTGCTGGTTAGCTAGTGTGATCTTTTGGGAGTGTTAGAGAACCTTGTTTTGTCATATTACCAGAATTACCATATTTTCTGGTTCCTTCTCATTTAGGTAGAGTGTGTCAGAGGGAAGTTATAGGACTCAAGGGCTGCCATTCAGATTCTTTTGTCCCACGGGGGTGCTCTTTTGATGTGGTGCTTTCCCCTTTCCCCTAGGGATGGGGCTTCCTGAGAGCCGAACTGCAGTGATTGTTATTTCTCTTCAGGATGTAGCCACCCAGCAGAACCACCAGGCTCTGGGCTGGTACTGGGAAGTGTCTGCAGAGTTCTATGATGTGATCCATCTTCAGGTTTCTCAGCCGTGGACATGAGCACCTACTCCAGTGGAGGTAGCAGGGGAGTGAAGTGGATTATGTGAGGGTCCTCGGTTGTATTTTTGTTAAGTGTGCTGGTTTTGTGTTGTTTAGCCTCCAGCCAGGAGGTGTCGCTTTCAAGAGTGCATCAGCTGTGATTGTATAGAGAGGATGAGGTGATGGGCAGGGCTAAAGAGCTTTCAAGAGATTATGTCCTTTGTCTTCAGAGTTCTTGGCTGTCCCACAGAGCCTGCAGCATCAGTCCACTTCCTTGAAAAGGTCTGTGGATTCTCTTGGCTTTCTTGGTATGTTCCTCCAGTAGTTCTTGGAACAGAAGTTCACGAGTGGTTCTCCACATGCTACTCTGTCCATCCAAGTGGAAGCTGCAAGTTAGTCCTGCCTCCTATCCACCATTTTCCCCAAGTATGTGACTTTAAGTAATCTACACTCTTCCGATGCCTCAGTTTCTTCCTTAGTAAAATATTTATTTTTGTGTATTCCTCTAGAGTTATTATAAATATTATAGGAGTAAGTGTGTGGTATGTGTCAATCATTCTGTGTGCTTAGCATCAGAAAGTTAGCGTCATTCATTTAGTCACTCATTCATATGTGCCAGGTGCCTTCTTCTAATTAGGTAACCCCATGGATGCAGGGACATGATTCCTTTTACTTAATAATGTATCCAGAGCACCTAAACCAGTGCCTAACGTGTAGTTGGTATTCAGTGAATATTTGTTTAATAAATTATCTTGTATACCTCAACAAAATGAAGGCCATACATGACAAACCCATAGTCAACAACATACTGAACAAGGAAAAGTATAAAGCTTTCCCCTAATATCTGGAACCAGACAAGGATGCCCACTTTCACCACTGTTTATTAAACTTAGTACTAAATGTCCTAGACAGAACAATTATGCAAGAGAAAAAAAATAAAGGGCATCCAAATTGAAAAGGAAGAAGTCAAATTGTCTCTGCTTGTAGATGACATGATCTTATGTATAGAAAACCCTAAAAGCTCCACAAAAAAACTCTTATGGGTGATAAATGAATTCAGTAAAGTTGCAGGTAAAAACCAACATGCAAATGTAATAGCATTTCTATACACCAACAAAAAACTAGTGGGAAAAGAAATTAAGAAAACAATTTCATTTGCAATAGCTACAAAATAATACATATAAATAAATTTAACCAAGGAGGTGAAAGATCTCTACAAGGAAAACTATAAAACAGCGATGAAAGAAAATGAAGAAGACACAGAAAAATGGAAAGTTATCTCATGTTCATGGATTAGAAGAAGTAATATTGTGAAAATGACCATACTACAAAAAGTGACCTACAATGGAATCCTTATCAAAATACCAATGACATTCATCACAGAAATAGAAAAAAAAAATCCTGAAATTTTTATGAAATTACAAAAGATGCTGAATAACCAAAGCAATCCTGAGCAAAAAGAACAAGGTTGGAGGTATCACACTACCAGACTTCAAAGTATACCATAAAACTATAGTAGCCAAAACAGTATGGTGTTGACATGAAACCACATAGACCAATGGAGCAGAATAGAGAATCTAGAAATAAATCCACATATTTACAACCAATGGACTTTTGGCAAAGGTACCAATAACATTTACAGGGGAGAAGGACAGTCTCTTTAATGAATGGTGCCAAAAATACTGAATATTCATTTGCAGAAAATGAACCTAGACACCTATCTCTCATTATATAAAAACCAACTTAAAAGGGATTAAGGATTTAAATGTAATACCTGAATCTGTGAAACTTCTGGAAGAAAATATAGGGGAAATGCTTCAGGACATTGGTCTGAACAACGATTTTTATGGAGAGGATCTCAAAAGCACAGACAACAAAAGCAAAAATAGAAAAATGGGGCTGGGTGTGGTAGCTCATGCTTGTAATCCCAGCACTTTGGGAGGCCAAGGCAAGTGGATCACCTGAGGTCAGGAATTTGAGACCAGCCTGGCCAGCATGGTGAAACCTCATCTCTACTAAAAATACAAAAATTAGCCGGGCGTGGTGGCAAGTTGCTGCAGTCCCAGCTACTCAGGAGGCTGAGGCAGGAGAATCGCTTGAACCCAGGAGGCGGAGACTGCAGTGAGCCCAGATCACGCCACTGCACTCCAGCCTGGGAAACAGAGCAAGACTCCATCTCAAAAATCAAAAAAGAGAAATAAGTTTATGTCAACCTAAAAACCTTCTGTACATCAAAGGAAACAATCAACAGAGTAAATAAACAACCTTCAGAATGGGAGAAAATATTTGCAAATTATTCAACTGACAAGGGGTTAATATTCAGAACATAAAAGTAACTGAAACAACTCAACAGCAAAAAACAAGCAAAGAATCTGATTTAAAAATGGCAAATGAACTTAATAGACATTTGTCAAAAGAAGTCATACAAATGGCAAACGTATGTGAAAAAATGTTCATCATCACTAATCATTAGGGAAATGTAAATCAAAACCACAATGAGAGATCATCTCACCCCATTTATAATGGCTATCATCAAAAAGACAAAAATAACAAATGCTGGCAAGGATGTGGAGAAAAGGGAACTCTAGCACACTGTAGGTGGGAATTCAAATTAGTATAGCCATTATGGAAAACAGTATGGAGGGTCCTAAAAAAATAGAAAAAAAATGAACTATCATACTACCCAACAATCCCACTACTAGGTATATATCCAAAGTAAAAGAAATCAATATGCAGAAGAAGTATCTGCACTCCCACATTTATTGCAGCACTATTCATAATAGCCAAGATATGGCATCAACTTAAGTGTCCACAAATAGATGAATGGATACAGAAAATGTGGTATATGTACATGATAGAGTACTATTTAGCCATAAAAAATGAAATTCTGTCGTTCATGGCAACATGGATGAGCTTGATGAACATTATGTTAGATAAAATAAGCCAGGCACAGTAAAGAAAATGTCACATATTCTCACTCATGTTTACACATGAGCTAAAAATTTGATCTCATAGAAGTAGAGAGTAAAACAGTGGTTACTAATGGTGGGGAAAAGTGGCAGGGAAAATTAGCATGGAGGGAGGATAGCCAAAGCTTTGTTAACAGATACAAAAATACATCTGCCTAGGAGAAATAAGTCCTATGTAGATGTGGTATAGAAAAAATTCTGTACCACTATAGAATTACTTTAGTTAACAACAATTTATTGTATATTTTCACATACCTGGAAGAGCAGATTTTGAATGTTACCAACACAAAGAAATGATAAACCTTTGAGATGATGCTTATGCTAATTACTCTGATTTTTATCATTACACATTGCATACATGTATCAAAATATCACACAGTACCTCGTAAATACGTACAATTACTGTGGGTCAATTAAACATAATAAAAATTAAAAAGAGCAAAATAAACCCAAGGCAAGCTGAAAGAATGAAATAATAAACAGTAGAAATCAATGAAATTGAAAATAGGAGAACAGTAGAGAAAATCAATGAAAGAATAAGCTGATTCTTCAAAAATATTTAAGAAAGTTGATCAAGCTCTAGCAAGACTGACAAACATAAAATGAAAGAAGAACAAATAATGAAAACCAGGAATGAAACAGAGGCTACCAACACAGATTCTGCAGCCATTAAACAGATAAAGAGAATATTGTGAACACATTTTTACTCATAATTTTGATAGCTTAGAAGAAATGGACCAATTCCTCAAAAAGCACAAACTACCAAAATTCAACTAAGGAAAAAATGAACACTCCTATATCTGTTAAATAAATTAAATTCACAATAGCTTCTGAAAATTAAATCAGGCTCAGATGATTTCACAAGAGAATTCTATCAAACGTTTGAGGAAGAATTAGCACCAGTTTTACACAGTTTCTTCTGGAAATGGAAGAGAAGTGCATACTTTTATATATATATATTTTTTTTTAAAGTTTATTCTTATTTTTATGAAAGTAGTAGAATCTTATTTAAAAAAATTATAAACAGTACACAAAAATTTAAGGAAAATAAAATGCCTCCATCCTTCTTCATTCTTCTCTCCATTATATATTTTAACAGAAGTAATCAATGTTAATATTAGGTTGGTAATATATAGTACAATCATCCATATATTGAAATATACTTTATGGGATTGTATACAATTTTTTTCTTTTATGATTCATGATTTTATGTCTACCTCAAGAAATCTTTGCCATCCTAAGATCACAAAGATTTTCTTGTTGTTTTTCTAGAAGCTTTATGGTTTTACCGCTTACGTTTAGTTTTTTTTTTATTTTATTATTAGGTTTCTTTTTTTATTTTGTTATTATACTTTAAGTTTTAGGGTACATGTGCACAATGTGCAGGTAGTTACATATGTATACATGTGCCACGCTGGTGTGCTGCACCCATTAACTCGTCATTTAGCATTAGGTATATCTCCTAATGCTATCCCTCCCCCCTCCCCACACCCCACAACAGTCCCCAGAGTGTGATGTTCCCCTTCCTGCGTCCATGTGTTCTCATTGTTCAATTCCCACCTGTGAGTGAGAACATGCGTGTTTGGTTTTTTGTTCTTCCGATAGTTTACTGAGAGTGATGATTTCCAATTTCATCCATGTCCCTACAAAGGACATGAACTCATCATTTTTTATGGCTGCATAGTATTCCATGGTGTATATGTGCCACATTTTCTTAATCCAGTCTATCATTGTTGGACATTTGGGTTGGTTCCAAGTCTTTGCTATTGTGAATAGTGCCACAATAAACATACGTGTGCATGTGTCTTTATAGCAGCATGATTTATAGTCCTTTGGGTATATACCCAGTAATGGGATGGCTGGGTCAAATGGTGTTTCTAGTTCTAGATCCCTGAGGAATTGCCACAGTGACTTCCACAATGGATGGTTGAACTAGTTTACAGTCCCACCAACAGTGTAAAAGTGTTCCTATTTCTCCATATCCTCTCCAGCACCTGTGCATACTTTTAAATTCATTTTATGAAACTTGTATTATCCTGATAACAAAAGCAGATGAAGACAGTATGATAAAAGAAAGACCAACATAGCTCATGAATATAGATGCAAAAATCTCAACAAAAATATTATTAGGTTGGAGCAAAAGTAATTGTGGTTTTTAAAAACCACAATTACTTTTGCTCCAACCTATTATCAAGTAGAATCCACCAGTGTACAAAAAGAATTACACACCACAACAAATTGAGATTCACTATAGACTTGCAACACTAGTTCGATATTTTTAAGGCAGTCAATGTAATCTACCATGTTCAACAAGCTAAAGAAAAAATCCTATTATTATATCAATTGATGCAGAGAGAGCATCTCTGCATCTAACATCTGTGGTAAACATTCATGATAAAAACTCTCAGGCAACTAGAAAAAGAGGGTAACTTTTTCAATTTATAAGGAACATCACGGTGACAGACTGAATGCTTTCTCCCTAAGATTGGGCACAAGGTAAGGATTTTTGCTTTTACTACTCTTACTTAGTAAACTGCTGGAAGTTCTAGCAACTGCAGTAAGTCAAGAGAAAAATAAGGCATATAGATTAGAAAAGAGAAAATAGAACTGTCTCTATTTTCAGATGGCATAGTTATTTACATTAAAAAACAAAGAATTTATTAAAATTAAAATATCCTGGAACTAAGAAGTACATATGTGTATGTGCGTGTGTGTGCAGTTGTGACAGCAAGGTTGTGGTCTACAACATTCGTGCATAAAGATCAACCTAGAACTGTGACAGCACCATTACAGTATACAGCACTAGCATCCAAAGATTAATCACATTTCTGTATACTGACAACGAACATGTGGAAAGCAACAATTTAGAAATCCCATTTACAGTCATTCCATAGATAATAAACCTAGATATAAATGTAACAAAAACATTTACACTATTTATTTGCTGAAAATCATAAAATGCTGATTACAGAAATCAAATAAGACCTAAATAAGTGGGGAAACACATCCTGTTCATAGATGCAACATAGTAAAGATAACAGTTGTCCTCTAAGTGATTTAATGCAATTGCTATGAAAGTCCAAGAAAAGTTTTTTGCAGACATAGACAAACTTATTTTAAAATTAATGTGAAATGTCACAGGGTCTATAATAGCTAAGCAATTTTGAAAAAAAAATAAAGCAGGAGTCAGCCTACTCAATGTTAAGTTTTATTATGTAACTGTAGTAATCAAGACAATGTGGTATTAGCATAGGAACAGACACATAGATCAATGGAACAGAATTTGAACTACACAAATATGCCCAACTGCAAAGTTTCAAAAGCAATATCATGAAGGAAGGATAGCTTCTTCAACAAATAGTAATTGGACAACTGTAAGCAGAAGAATGAACCATCACCAAACCTCATGCCTTACATATTTTTAAAAAACTCAGCTGGGCACTGTGGCTCACGCCTGTAATCCCAGCACTTTGGGAGGCTGAGGCAGGTGGATCACCTGAGGTCAACAGTTCAAGACCAGCCTGGGCAACACGTTGAAACCCTGTCTCTACTAAAAATACAAAAGTTAGCTGGGCATGGTGACAGGCACCTGTAATGCCAGCTACTCGGGAGGCTGAGGCAGGAGAATCACTTGAACCCAGGAGGCGGAGGTTGCAGTGAGCCGAAATCACGCCATTGCACTCCAGCCTGGGTGATAAGAGCAAGACTCCGTCTTAAACAAAAACTCAAAATGGATCATGGATTGGAGTGTAAAGTGTAAAGCTATAAAACTTTTGAGAAAAAACATCATAGGAGAAAATAGATAGAACCAGTCACATAGCCAACAAAGTAGCAAAACGGGCTGGGAAATTTGCAGGGTATTTTAAAACTTTTTATTAAATGAAGGAGATAAAATAAAAATACAAATTTTATTTTAAAAATATAACATTGATAGAAAAAGAGAAGAATGAAGAGCTAAGTGAAGAGTCTTCAGACTTGACACCAAAAGCATGTATCATAAAAGTGAAAATTGATAAACTGGACCTCATTAAAATTGAAGATTTATGCTCGGCAGAAGACTCTGTGAAGAGGATTAAAAGACAAGCTACAGAGGAGAAGAAAATATTTGCAAACCACATATTTGACAAAGGACTTGTATCTAGACTATATAGTGAGTTCTCAAGTCTCAACAGTAAATTTTTTTAATCCAATTAAAAAATGAGCAAAAGACATGAACAGACATTTCCCAGAAGAGGACATACAAATAAACACATGAAAAAGTGTTCATCTTCCTTCTCCATTAGTGAAATGCAAATTAGCCATTAGGGAAATGCAAATGAGATGTGACTACACACCTGTCAGAATGGCTAGCTTAAAAATAGTGATAACATCAAGTGAAACAAACAGATCTGTATGTATCTTGGATAAATTTTACAAGAATTACTTTAAGAGGGAAGATAAGCCACAAAACAGTAACAATAATACTCAGCAACACTTACTGAGTATTTATATGTCAAACACTGCTTCAAGTAATTAATATGCATAAACTCAATATTATCTAAAACTGTATGTATGTTTATCTGTTTTACAATTTTATATGATTTATGGATGCATATATTGTAAAAGTAAAAAGAAATAAGGAGTATCTCAACATCAAGTACTAATTATTAATACCTCTGGAAAGAGTAGATGAAGGAAGGAATAGATGGAGTAAGGCAATTCTTGAGTATTTTTTCTTTTTCTTTTTCTTTTTTTTTTTTTTTGAGACGGAGTTTCACCCAGACTCCAGTTTCGCCCTGAGACTCCAGTGCCCAGGCTGGAGTGCAGTGGTGCAATCTCAGCTCACTGCAACCTCTGCCTCCTGGGTTCAAGCTATTCTCCTGCCTCAGCCTCCTGAGTAGCTGGAATTACAGGTGCATGCCACCACGCCCAGCTAATTTTTGTATTTTTAGTAGAGATGGGGTTTTGCTGTGTTGGCCAAGCTGATCTCGAACTCCTGACCTCAGGTGATCTGCCTGCCTCGGCCTCCCAAATTGCTGGGAGTATAGGTGTGAGCCACCGGGACTGGCCGAGTATTTTATTTTTTAAAGAGAGCTGACATTAATAAGGCAAAATGTAATGTCTGTTTAGTTTTGATGGAGAATATATATGTGTCTGTTATGCTACTTTCTGTATAAATATATATATATATTTTCAAGTTATATATATATATAACTAAATATATATAACTAAATATATATATAACTAAATATATATATTTAGATATATAATATATATTACATAATATATTATATATACAATATTATATATTGTATATATAATATATTATATAGTATATATAATATATTATATACAATATTATATATAATATATATATTGTATATTATATATTATATACAATATAATATATTATATCATATATTATATATATTATATATATTAATTATATATATAATATATTACATATATAATATATAATATATATTACATATATAATATATAATATATATTACATATATAATATATAATATATATTACATATATAATATATAATATATATTACATATATAATATATAATATATATTACATATATAATATATAATATATATTACATATATAATATATAATATATATTACATATATAATATATAATATATATTACATATATAATATATATTATATATTATATATATAATATATAATATATTATATATATAATATATAATATATATTATATATATAATATAATATAATATATATCATATTATAATATATAATATAATAATATATTATATAATATCTTATATAATATATATTATATCATATATATTATATATATTATATATTATACATATATATTATATATTATATATATTATATATTATATCATATATATTATATATTATATATAATATATTATATATATTATATATTATATATAATATATTATATATATTATATATAATATATAATATATATGATATAATATATATAATATATATAATATATAATATGTATGATATAATATATATAATATATATAATATATAATATATATGATATAATATATAATATATATAATATATAATATATATGATATAATATATTATATATATAATATATATGATATAATATATTATATATTATATATATAATATATATGATATAATATATAATATATATAATACATTATAATATATAATATATATGTATAATATACATATTACATATATATAACATATAATATATATATATAACATATATATATTATATATATAACATATATATATTATATATAACATATATATATTATATATAACATATAACATATATATAATATATAACATATAACATATATATAATATATAATATATAACATATGTATAATATATATTACATATATAATACATATATATAATATATATAATGTATATGTATTATATATATTACATATATATAATATATATAATGTATATGTATTATATATAATACATATATATTACATATATACATAATATATATAATATATATGTATAATATATATATTACATATATATAATATATATTATATATGTATAATATATTTATTATATATATATTACATGTATATATATATATATATATAACTTGAAAAAAATATGTAAGGAGGACATTAGGCTTAACCACTGAAGCAACACTCAGTGAACACTCATGCCCTGGACCAGGCCCTGAGTGGATGCTGGAGGATTCCAGGGAGGTCAGACAAGGTGCCATCTGCAAAGAGCTCCTATTCTTGTTTGGGAGGCTTCTTGGAGAAGGTGACAAGTGATTTCCTTATTTGAAGGATAAACAAAGAGTTAAGAGTTATTGACTTAAAAATCTATTGATGAGCTGCTGTGTTCAGTAGGCATTCATCTAAGTGTTTTGGATAGAACTGTGAAAAATGTAGATCGGCACTTCTCAAAGTGCTGTCCCCATACCAACAGCATCAACATCACCTGAAAATCTGTTAGAATTGCCAAATTTCAGGTTTTGTCCCAGGCCTACCAAGTCAGAAACTCTGAGGTGAGGCCAGCAATCTGTGTTTTCACAAGGTCCCCAGATCCTTCTGAATGCCTGCTGAAGTTTGAGAACCACTGGTAGAGAAAGTCTTGGCTCTCAGGGCTTGCATTTGTGTGTGCTTGTGCACGTGTGTGTGTGTGTGTGCACGCTTGTGTGAATGCATGCACTTGTGTGTGTGATTGGGGGAAAGGGCAGACAGCACACAACAAAACAGGTGAGTAAATGAGATTATTTCATGTAGGGATAAATGTTATGAAGAGAGGTTTATAGGGGCTTAGAAAAAATTTTAGGAAGTCAGAAAGAAGTGGGGCTTCTTAAAACAGGCAGTGAAAGAAGGCCTGCCTGGGGAGTTGTCTTAGGAACTGAGACTAAATGATGAGAAGGAGTGATAGGAAGATGGAGCAGGGAAAAGAACTGTAGGCAAGGAGACTAGCAAGTGCAAAGATCTCAACCCTGGAACAGAAAGAAGAATGAAAGCCAAAATAAATAGATTGAGAAAAAAAAAGTTAGGAGCAAGATAAAATGAAATTGGAGAGTCCTGATCACATAGAGCTTTGTAGGCTAGGTTAAGGGATCCTGAATTTATTCCAGATATATTGGGACATCACTGCAGTGATTTAAATGGTGAATCAGCTAGACCCAGAATCACAGGGTAGGTACTTTCAGACAAGGGAACAGCATAAGAAAAGGTACACAGGTATGAGAGAGAAAGCACATTTGACTAACTCCAAGTCCCTCAGGATGACCAGAGCAAAGAGTTCATTCTGTAGAAGGATGCAGTGGGCTGGATTCATGGCAAAAGCTGTTGAGAATAATAAAAATAGCAAGTATTTTTTTTTTTTGAGACGGAGTCTTGCTCTGTCGCCCACACTGGAGTGCAGTGGCGTGATCTCCACTCACTGCAAGCTCTGCCCCCTGGGTTTATGCCATTCACCTGCCTCAGCCTCCTCAGTATCTGGGACTACAGGTGCCCGCCACCATGCCCAGCTAATTTTTTTGTGTGTATTTTTAGTAGAGATGGGGTTTCACTGTGTTTGCGAGGATGGTCTCGATCTCCTGACCTTGTGATCCACCCGCCTTGGCCTCCCAAAGTGCTGGGATTACAGGCGTGAGCCACCACGCCTGGCTAAAAATAGCAAGTATTTCTCAAGCACTCATTATGTGTCAGTCACTTTTCCAGTCCCTTGACTCATAATAACTCCTGAAATCTTTGAAACACCAGGACGTAAACACCACAATAATTCCTGTATGACTAATGAGGATATGGGGCCCAGAACCTAGGACTTTGCCTCCAGAGCCTGTACACTTCAAAAGGGTTTGTGTGCTCTCCTGAATAGGGCTCATCACTGCTTACCAATGAAGCAATATTGCCTCAACTGCTCTCCTGCCTAAAGCAAAGGTCCTCCAACTAATTGGATATGTAGCTGCCAGAGCAGCTGTTCCAAAACTCAAATCTGACAAGGACTTTCTCCTGTTTCCAAATCCTCAGTGGCTTCCCCTTGTGCAAGAATAAAGTCCAAACTTCTTATCATGACTTACAAAGCCCTTCTTGAAGAGTCTTCTCCTCACTCCCATCTTACCCCTCTCCAGCACGCACCCAGGCATACAGAGCTGGAATCCATGCTCACCACTCCTCTCAGCCTTTGTTCATGCTGTTCCTTATTTCTGGACCATTGTCCTTGCTCTCTGCTCCTCTCTGGTTCTATCAACCAGGGCTCAGCTTCAAGGAAGAGAATACAGTCTTGTTAGTTCAGAAGAAAGAGATTTGTTACAGGGTATGAAATGTCTTCTCAGAATCCCTGGGAGGCAGAAGAGCTGACTCTGGGCTGAAACTCTGAGAGCTCTGCCCAAAGTCACAGGGAGAACTGACCTGCAGAGGATGTGGCTGCCTCTGCTGCGGGTGAGAAGCTGCCTCCCAGAATGAGACCTCAGACCTTGCCCCACTTAGCCATGTCTTATGTGGATGCAACTTACTGAGAAACCTAAATCATGCAGGAACTCTAGCTGCAAGGGAGTCTGTGAAATGAACTTGGCAGATTTCTAGCCTTTGCATTTACAGGAAAGCACACTTGCAGGAGGGTGGAACAGACACTGATGAGCCAATTCAAGTCTCCACTCTACCTAGACGTCTCTTCCCCTTCAGAATCCCTCCCCTTTTTTGATAGGTCCCTCCCCTATGTGTTTCTACACTACCTTATCCTTCCCCTCCTAGAGTACAATGAGCACCTTGAGTAGAGCGGCCACATCTGGTTGATGAATGATTCCCCCTCCCATGATAGGGCCTGGTACATAGTAGGTGTTCAACAAACATTCAGGCATATTCACCCTGCAGAACGCCTCTGCACTTAACATTTTCTTGGTCCAGTGCCTCTTGATTTTCATTACTAAGGCTGCATGGACTGTATTAGGTTGAACCATGTGAAATTGTTATTCCATAGTCAAAATGGTAAGCATTGGCAATTTCACATGGCTTAACCCTGTGTGTATCTATCAGTACTTTTTCAGCTATTGTTTACATTGAAAAAAATTATATTTACAGCCTTGAAACTCAATATAACATTTTTAACAATGTGATATCAGGTCAAGTCTCAAGTTACATTTCAAATACAACTAGTGAAATGTAAGAACCAAGTGTAGTCAGTTTGAAAAATCACATTAAGTATGTATCGCCACAGGGATGTGCGTCTTAGACACTGCTGAGGGTAAACAAGACCATGTTACTGCAAAAGCCCAAAACTAAAACATCATTAACTATATTTAGTGTTTGATCATGAGGATGGAATGGAAACACTTGACATATTAGCAGATGGATATCCTATCTATTTTGTTGTGTTTACATTGTATTTTAAGAAATTGGTTAAGAAATTTGGGTTGAAGAGTGATGCATTGTAATTTTTCCCACTTAAATAATGGGAAATACATTCTTAGTGTCTTCAAACAGAATGACTGGTTTTTAGGAACAGGTCGATTATGTTCAATAGATGATGCATGTATACTGAATGATGAGAAGTGCATCACTGTAGACTCAGAAGAGTATGCACTGTGTAGTTGAAGGGAAGGGTCTTTGAGAGAGTACAAAAGGGCTTTGAAGATGTGGTTGGCAAAAGGATTTCAGAGGGAGGGGGTTGGAGCAAAGCTGAGTGCGACTCTAGGCAAGTTACTCAGCTTCTCTGAACATCAGTTCTGTCACCTCTAAAATAGCCATAATAATGCCTACACCAAAGTGTTGGAAGATTAAGTGAGATCTCCAATGTAAAGAGCTCACATAGAGCAAGGAGCCTCGGTCAATGGTATTAAAAAAAAAGCACTTAGGACCATGGCTACTACATAGGAAGCACTTAGCATATGTGAGTTATCATTTATCCTTTCCCATTCTTTCATTCAATGCCCCTTGTAAGAGAATGCAAGTTATAAATGTCTTTTGGAATTTGGCCCAAGAAGAGCAGTTTGGCTTCATCTTATTTAATCAAGTGGTGAGGGCTGTGTTGGTCATTCCCCATTGCCCTTTGCTTTCTTTCCACTGCTAAGGGAGCAGGAGCTACTGTTTCAGGCTCACTGTCTGTCCCCGTGAACAGTACGTGTGCCTCTCCTTCGTTGTACATTTTTCCCACTATCTCCTCTATCAGTCTTACCTGTCCTTTGTCAGCCACTACAAATTCTTTAGAAGCATGAAGGATATAGATTGAAATAAATAAAACCATGAAGGCACAAGGGCAATATTCTGCATTTATACAGATAGATAGCACTTTACAGTCTGCAAAGCCCCTCCAGTGGGACGGGGGCACCGTGGACCTGAAGCCTGCCTTCACCTCATCACGCGACTGCTCCTGCCCCCAACTGCCTCTGCCTGGAGGTGCTGGATGGCTTTGAGAGGTTCTCATCTTGTCGCCTTGGTCTACGGGAGGCCATTGGAAGCTAACCAGCGTCCTTCGACTTCCTGGGAAGGAGATAGGAGAATCAGTCCAGTGTGAAGAACAATGAGAGCCATCATGTTTGAGTGGCTTCAAGACTCTTGTGCCTCAAGTCAAATTAAAAAAAAAAAAAAAGTGGTGGGAGTGGGGGTGGGGGGTTGGGCTGGCTGAACACAGTGGCTCACACCTGTAATCCCAGCACTTTGGGAGGCCAAGGCAAGAGGATTGGTTGAGGACAGGAGTTCAAGACCAGCCTGGGCAACACAGCAAGATTTTGTCTATGAAAAATAATAATAAGCTTATCATTGTGAATGTTATTAAAGACATGTATCAGGCACAAGTCAGGCTTGATAAGCTCTTTTTTCCTCGTACAATATGAGCTGTCAGAAGGCCGAGCGCTCCATTGTTGGATTTCTGTAGCGTGTGAGGCTATTCTTAGCTCCTCTCTTGCTGGCTGTTACATTTTTAAGAATCGCTAGAGGTGAGCATAGTGAGTGAGACCTCCCCTCCATCTGCTACCCTCGGAGGTCAGATGGAATGGAAAGTGGCCTGAGGAGATGCTCAGCTCATTGCCCCTGCAGTTGCCACACAGTAAAAACACAGGAGATGAGTGTTGTAGACATGTGGTTTGTCCTGGCTGCCAAGATTTTCTGAATCCCACAGAGTCATCTCTGGGCACCCAGTGACTTTTGCCTCAGGAAGAAGAAGTGGAGAAAGGTGGCTGTTTCAAATAGTTCAAGTGGCATTGTGCTGCCTGGAGACTAAGAAAGGTCTAGGGTTTCCTCCAGACTCTTCCTTTCCCTTTCCAGCCCTCCCCTACCTTTAACAACTGCACAAGGTTTGTGGATGCTACACTGTTTGCCAGGCCCTGGGCAAGGTGAGATGGAGAGTCAGTCACTCATCAGGTAAGAGGAGGAGCTGAACCAAGCTTTTCCAACTCCAGATTTCCCCCAGCAACAGGCACTGCCTCCCTCATATGTGTTCACGTGTATTTCATGTGTTATCAGCATGGCTGACCTTTAGTTTGTAAGCAGCCTCCAAGGCTGATGATTGAGTACATGACATGCTTTCCAAGAAAACTGACCTAGTGACCTTGGACCAGTCAACCTCTCTTGTCCTTGGTTTCCTCCATTGGGCAATTGAGGGTGATAATGCCCACGTCCCACGGTTAGTTGGGACAAGTGTTAAGGGATGAGCAGGGGGTCTGTGAAGAGCACCTCTCCTCCCTTCTCGATTTTAGGACTAATTGAGAGACAGGAGTCTGACAGGTGGAGGTGGAAGTATCCACTTCATGCTAACAGTCAGTCAGAGAAACCCACTTTAGATTGGTAGCCAAAACGGCTTGCTACCTCTTGAGTTCTGAAATGGAATCACCTCCGAGGCACAGGAAACGGTGATCACCTGCAAGTCCCCCTCCACCAGCCAGGCCCTGGCTGTTGCAGAGAGCAGACAGGAGTGTAAGCCCACTATGAGCAGGTTCTGAAGCAGAAGGGGAGCCCGAGGGGACTGTGCTGAGCACGGCTGCTTCTTCTGGACTCCCTCATCAGGTCTATCACTTCTGCACCCTGCAAGGGAGGGAGACGGCTATGGGGAGAGACTGGTGAGTCACTCAGGCTAATGGGAGTCCCTGGTCTCTGTGACAAGAAGAGGCCAGAGAAAAAGGAGGTTCCTGTAGGTAGTGACATAAACAGCAGGGCCTAGCACCCTTCCTTCCCCATCAACCCTCTACCCTCTGTCTTTTTTCTGTACAATGCCCCACTTCTGTGTAGACATCATTGACTGACCCAATGTGCCACACAGAATATGGGTGTTTCAGGCGTTTGTGGCTTTTTCATTCCGGAGTGTGTGGAATGCTCCTGGCTATGTGCTAAATGCAGGGGATGGTGCTGAATTAGCTAGGTCCCTGCACTCAGAGTTCACTGGCTGGTGGGGAAAAGAGACCAGAAGAGCAATGGTGACTTGGCCACAAGGAAAGTGCTATAGGGCATCAAGCACAGAGTCTAGGTTCTGGACATGGACTATCTTGGCTCAGTCCCAGCTCTGCTATTCCCTGGCTGTCATCTTGGACATGTTACTTAATCTCTCTGAACCTCATGGTCTTGAGCTATCGAAGGCAGTTTGTAATAACTCCTATCTCAAAGGATTGTTGGGAACATTAAATGAGCGCATATACGTAAAGCACTTAGGCCGGGCACGGCAGCTCACACCTGTAATCCTAGCACTTTGGGAGGCCGATGCAGGAAGATCACTTGAGGTCGGGAGTTCAAGACCAGTCTGGCCAACATGATGAAACCTTGTCACTTTTAAAAATATAAAAGCTAGTCAGGTGTGGTGGCATGGGCCTGTAATCCCAGCTACTGGGGAGGGTGAGGCAGGATAATTGCTTGAACCCAGGAGGCAGAGGTTGCAGTGAGCCAAGATTGCACCACTGCACCCCAGCCTGGGCAACAGAGGGAGACTCCATCTCAAAAAATAAAAATAAGAAAATAAGGCACTTAGAACGGTGTCTGGCACAGAATTTGCACCACATCAGTGTTAACTGTTATTATTATAAGGGACTAGGGGGTCACCTGCCTCAGTTTCCGGGGTTAGGGAAGGCTTCTTAAAGGAGGGAGCGTCAGTCTTAAGCAGGGTTTTTCAACCTCAGCACTGTTGCCATTTTGCAGTAGGTGATTGTGGTGGAGGCCGTCCTGTGCATTGTAGGATATTTAGCAGCATCTCTGGCTCCAACTCACTAGATGACAGCAGCATCCCTCCAAATTGTGACAACAAAAACTGTCTCCACACATTGTCCAATGTTCCCAGGGGAGCAAAACTGCTCTGGGTTTGGGAACCCTGCACTATGCTGAGAAGTGAGTGATGGACAAGAGGACAGAGGTGGTACACCAGGAATAAGGAATATTGTGGGTGAACGTGTGGAATTGTGAGAGTGTGGGTCCATCCAGGGACTTGTCCTAACATGACGGCAAAATCTGGGCTCCCTTATGAAATCTTAAGCCCAGGTGAGCACTCATGTGCCGACTTCTCCCACTAAATCCTTGGCTTCTTGCAAGGACCAAATGCATGGGAGAAGCCTACTGAGTACTTGCTGCTGTGCGTGCGAGCCTGTCTTCGTGAAGTAGTCCCTGAAGAACATTCACCTCGTGCTCTGCTCTAAATTTATCCTGGTATGAAGAAAGTTCATCCGTGAGCATGACGCACAGCCTCATTGCTTTACCCCATGTGGCATTGCTTCTATGAAATTGGATTTTTAATGCCTTCAGCCTACCTTGAAGCACATCATGCAAAAAATTCCTGTTCCACTTATTACTGTGTTTAGAGTTATTTTATGTAGACTCATGGTTCACCACATTACAGAACACCATCTTCATAAGAATCCAGTGGAAGAAATTTCCCACTGATTTCAGTACCAGGACAAAAATCTTGCTTTTCCTAAACAATTGTTTTTTTTTTCCACATCAGCTCTGAATCATGTAGCTGATCATGTTTCTCTTTTTGCTCTGTGTGCTGGGGAGATTTGAGACACATTGATGGGCCATTTCAGGGAAGCATACAGGATCTTGAGGCATAAATTGGGGTATTTTTTCCTGATTCTGTTTTCTTGGATTTCTTTTTTATTCTGTGACTTGATCTTTGTCTTCCTTATTTTTAATTCTATTATGTTATATACATTTCACAAGTCACCTGAATCCTTTCTGGAACAAAGTAGGAAATTAATAATTTTTTAAAAAATAAAACATGGAAAATCGCATTCTTTATGCAGTTCTATTGCAATAGCCAGGCCAGGATTTAGGCCTTCACAGCACACAATTTTCTTTGCTCTTGCAAGGAGAGCCTAATTTTCCAGATTTTTCCATAGGTCAGAGTTACTGTGATAGAGCTTAGCTTTCTTATTTGTGATCTCCATCATTTCCATGACAATGTTCAGCACTATTATGAGAATATAATTCTAATTCTAATACAAGAAGCAAAAGGGACAATGTCACAAAGCTGTAGAATAGTGCAAAACTACAGAGAGATAAATGAAAGGTCATTCTGTGTTCTCCAGTAATAATATTGAGTGTCTCTGGGAATGTAGGGTCTGTGGCCTGGTGAAGAATGTGGATCTGCAGCAAGAAAAAGCCACAACCTGAATTATTGCTTAAAATATTGTTCTCTTAGCATTTTGATTTTCCTCTTTAGAATTCATTCCAGTATGCAAGTTTCCCTCTGAAAATTCATGTTGCTCCTCCAAAGAGTTGTGATGGAATACTGAATGAGATGCCCTTTGACAGTTTAGCTGTGAGTTGAGAGTACAGAACTCGCTGGTTATTAATGCAATGTTTCAATAGTCCATCAACTATTAGAATACAAATTGTGCATCTGTAGTCGGCATATTATGTTTGATTCCTGTGTTTTCTTTTGGGGCATCTATATTCTTCTATCCAGTAGCAAATACATGAAAAGTTGTAACTCAGTTCCAAGTCACAGAAATTCAAAGTAAAGTAGCTTAATTAAAAAAAATAAAAACAGTCATTGCCCATGTAAATATGAAGTTCAGGGATGGATCTTTCTTCTGACTAGGTGGGAGCCAGTACCTCCAACAGTGCCTCTTTCTGCATTTAGCTCCCAGCCCTGCTTCCCTCTCTGCAGGTTCTCTCCCTAGACAGGTCTTATTGACATTTTTTCGTTTTCTAGTGCCTTTAAAAGTTATGTTTATACTACACTGTATTCAGTGTGCAACAGCATTATGTCTAAAAAGTGTACATACTTTCATCTAAAATACTTGTTAGCTACAATGCTAACACTCATCTGAGCCTTCTTTCAACAAGTCACAGTCTTTTTGCAGGTGGAGGGTCTTTCCTCAATGTTGATGGCTGCTTACTGATCAGAGTGGTGGTTGCTGAAGGTTGGGGTGACTGTGAAAATTTCTTAAAATAAGAAAACAATGAAGCTTTCCACGATGATGGAGTCTTCACTTCATGAAATATTTCTCTATAGCAAGTGGTGCTGTTTGATAGCATTTTGCCCACAGTAGAACTTCTTTCAAAAGTGGAGTCAGTCCTCTCAAATCCTACAGCCGCTTTATCAACTAAGCTTATGTAATATTCTAAACCTCTTGTGTCATTTTAACAATGTGTACAGCACCTTCATCAGGAGCAGATTCCATCTCAAGAAGCTCGTTTCTTCCTTATCCTTAGGGGAAACAACTCAACTCCTCATCTCTTAACGTTTTATCGTGAGATGGCAGCAATTTAGTCACATTTTCAGGTTCCACTTCTGATTCTAGTACTTTTGCTACTTTTACCACGTCTGCAGTTCCTTCCTCCACTGAAGTCTTGAACCCCTCATAGTCATCCATGAGGGTTAGAATCCACTTCTTCCAAACTCCTGTTAATGTTAGTACTTTGACCTTTTCTCATGAATCATGAATGTTCTTAATGACAATCTAGTATGGCGAATCCTTTCCAGAAGATTTTCAATTTACTTTGCCCAGATCCATCAAAGCAATCACTATCTATGGCAGTTATAGTCTTACAAAATGCATTTCTTAAATAATAAGTGTCAAAGGTCAAAATTACTTCTTTATCCATTAGCTGCAGGATGGATGTTGTTTTATCATGAAAACAACATTAATCTTGTACATCTCCATCTGAGCTCTTGGGTGACTAAGAGTGGTAATATTTTGAAAGGAATTTTTTTTTGAGAAGTAGGTCTCAGCATTGGGTCTAAAATATTTGGTAAATTTTGCTGTAAACTGGTGTGCTGTCATCTGGGGTTTTTTATTCCACTTATAGAACACAGGCAATAGATTTAGCATAATTCTTAAGGGCCCTGGTATTTTCAAAATGGTAAATGAGCATTGGCTTCAACTTAAAGTGACCAGCTGCTAAAACAAGAGAGCCTCCCTAGTGAGAGAGCCTTTCCTTTGACCCTTTGAAGCCAGGCATTGACTTCTCCTCTCCAGCTATGAAAGTCCTAAATGACATCTACTTCCAATATAAAGCTATTTGCTATTTTATCTACTTTGAAAATCTCCTGTTTGGTGTATTCACCTTCACCAGTGATCTGAGCTAGATCTTCTGGGTAACTTGCTGCAGCTTCTCCATCAACACCTGCTGCTTCACCTTGTGCTTTTATGTTCTGGAGATGGCGTCTTTTCTTTAACCTCATGAACCAACCTTTGCTAGCTTCCAGCTCTTTTTCTGCAACTCCCTCACCTCTCTCAGCATTCATAGAACTGAAGAGAGTTAAGGCCTTGCTCTGGATTAGGATTTGTCTTAAGGGAATGTTGTAGCTGATTTGATCTTCTGTCTAGACCACTAAAATTTCCTCCCTATCAGCAATAAGGCTGTTTGGCTTTCATGTCTTACATGCGTTCATTGGAGTAGCAATTTTTATTTCCTTTGCATTTATAACTTGGCCAACTTTATGTTGTAAGAGTCTAGCTTTCAGCCTATCTTGGCATTTGGCATGTCTTTCTCATTAGGCTTAATCATTTCTAGTACTTGATGTAAACTGAGAGATGTGTGATTCTTCCATTCACTTGAACACTTACAGGCCTTTGTAGAGTTATTAACTGGCCTAATTTCAATATTGTTATGCCTCAGGGAATAGAAAGGCCCAAGGAGAAAGTGAGAGATGGGAAACTACTGGTCAGTGGAGCATGAGAACACATCCAACCTTTATCCATGAAGCTTTGGGTGCTATATGGATGCCATTTGAGGAGCTTCAAAGCAATTGTAATAGTAACATCAAAGACCATTTATCATAGATCACTATAGGAGATATAATAATGTTTGAAATTTTGCAAGAATTACCAAAATGTGACACAGAGATACAAACTGAGCACATGCTATTGGAAAATTGACACTGATAGACTTACTGGAGGCAGGGTTGCCGCAAACCTTCAATTTGTAAGAAAGTGAAGTGCAGTAAAACAAGGTAGTCCTGTGCTTCCCAGCGAGGCTGTATTACTTACATGCTCCTCTCTTTGTTGAGGGGGAGGAGCATGGATGAGGTTATACTGGCCCTGAAACAGATCTGAAGTCCAGCTGGTGGCCGGGCGCGGTGGCTCATGCCTATAATCCCAACACTTTGGGAGGCCAAGAGTGAGAGTGAGAATAATAATTAATAATACCAACAATAATAAAAACTTTCTGGGCAAACAAAAATATTCTAACTGAAACTTCTGGAAATAGTGCCTTGAAACTGTGACAGGAATATTGGGAACGTCCTGGGTACTCTGGGTGCCTCTGCCTAGAAAGGCAGAAGGGCCTTTCAGCACAGAACAGCCTGGGAGAAAGACAGCATCTTCAGCCCTGCACCCTCCACCATCACAGCACTTCCTGTGAGTCTCTGATAGGAGACACTTCATTCCATCCCGTGAGGTTTGTTCCAGTCTCTCATTCCATGAGGAGCAGGGACTGTATCTTACTCCACTCCTGCCCATCCATGTCACCATGGTGACTCCCAAAGGTGGCCCTCCGCTGTTTGTGCAGGTTGTGGGTACTGCGCCATGATCCAGCCTCCCGCCATGGGTCATGCTGTTTCTCTCTCTGTCTGAGTCACACAGCCTGTGCGTTCCTGACCCAGTAAACCCCTCATGGGTAAAGACTTTCCCAATTCCTCCCACCCACCTTCACCTGCTAGAGCACTGGCCTCCTCCTTTCCCACACTCGCCTGCACCCTGGAAAGACTCCTAGAATGCCAGCCCGTGCATTGTCAGTGACTGTCAGCCCAGCCCCTCCCAGGGCACTGTGCACGCCTCCAGGGCGAAGACAGTTTCTTTGTCCCAGTGTCCCCAGCACGTAGCCCAATGCCTATCAGACAGTAGGTGTTCCATAAGCCTCTGGTAAATTCATGATCTGGGGACGCAATAAACAGCCCCCTTCCTTGCCTTAATTCTGAACAATTATGAACAATGGGTAAGATACACAAAGAGGATATGACTTGTGTCCAGCCATCTCCTCTTTCCTGGACCCCAGTCTCTGTAATGGGAGCTGGAGGGGATTTGAGGTCCTTCCAACCCTGGAATTCCCTGTCCTGTAAGCATGTGGTTCTGTTGCCTGTCCTGGGACCAAATCATGCACCAGGCTCCCTCCCCAGGGCTGCACACCCAGGATACTGGAACATAGTGTGGGTGCATTACAGCAACATCCCCACAGTGTATGGTCATCAGGACACTGCAGCGAGTGAGAGTCAGGGGATTTGGGTTCTTGTCCTCACACTTACAATGACTCACCAAGTCCCTTCTTCCCTCTGGGCCTCAGTTTCCTGTTCTGTTAAGTGAGGGGAAGGACCTTGCTGATTCGGTCTAATATCTGAGGATCTAAGACACAGGTCTAAGCTTCCATGATTACATTATGCAATTCTGTGATTAATATTACATGATTCAATTATTATACCCTGTAAGTCTACAATGAACTTGACAACAGTTTGTGATGTGATGCTATACTACAATTGTTTAACAACAATCTCAGATTCTATGTGTTGGCTCTTCAGTCCTTAGAAAGCCCAAATGCATTTTGTTAAATGAATTTGGTACTGTATCAATTTTCTACTGTTTCAAAAACAAAACAAAATACCACCCTAAAACTTAATGGTGTGAAAACACCACCATTTAATCATCTCATGTTCTGTGGGGTAACTGGGCTCAGCTGGGCTGTTCTTCTGCTCCATGTGATATCTGGGGTTGCCATGGAATATCAAAATGCTCAAGGTAGCTCACTCGCATGGCAGGCAGTGGTGCTGGCTGTCACTGGGAACTCAGCTGTGGATCTGGTTTTCCTTCTCTTGGCCTCTCCATGTGGCTTGCATCTGGCTGGGTTCCAAGAGGCAAAAATTAGAAACTGCCCATTCCCTTAAGGCCTAGACTTGGATGTCCCATAACACCACTGCATTCAAGAGTTGCAGAAACAAGCTCCATATGGAGAGCAGCATGCATATGCAGGGAATGGAGGGAATGTTTGGGAGGGGAGTGTGTCTTTGGAGGCTAGCTCCTACGAACAGTGACACCATCTAATTAAAGCACCTGCTAAAAACGGATGAAGAAACATGCTGGAGTCCAGTAGTAGTTAAACTGTCATCTGTCTGCCAGAGCCTGGGAACTAATGCTGGGTACTCCTGCTTGCCTTTGCTATGTAAGAAATGAGGAAACCCCAACAAATGTGGAGGCAGCCTGAGGATTGAAAGCCTTTTCCCCTTCCCCTCCACTCCCATAGCACCATGACTCAGGCAACTCAGTGCCTCTCTCTGAGCCTCAGTTTGCTCTTCTGTAAAATGGAGGCATTGGTCTTGAGGGTGCTGAAGGTGCCTCCACCCCTAATCTTCTCTGTCCTTCTGTGCTCCTAGGTACTCCTTCCAGGATGAGGAGGACATGTTCATGGTGGTGGACCTGCTCCTGGGAGGCGACCTGCGCTACCATCTGCAGCAGAATGTGCATTTCACAGAGGGGACTGTGAAACTCTACATCTGTGAGCTGGCACTGGCCCTGGAGTATCTTCAGAGGTACCACATCATCCACAGGTAACTGGGCTGCTGGCGGGATGCCTGGGACAGAGGGACCATGGGCTAGGGTGTCAGGAGCAGTCTGCAGTAGTGGGGAGAGAATTTTGTCCTTGACATGGTTTAAAAGTGGTAGTGCATGAGGGAAAAAAGCAGAACACTTTTCTTCCTATTTTTTTATGTTTTCTACAACCAGCACCTACATCTCCCATCCTATACCCGTACACTACTGTTTAGAGACATGGCTGGTGGCTGGCCTTATCTTCTCTGCTCCAGTATGCCTAGGGAAGCTGGAACATTCTGTCTCTCCTGTCTCAAGTCAGAAGAGTTACAGGAGCATTATTATACTAGTGAGCTGGGAGTGTGAGGGATTCTACTCTCTTTTTTTCTGTACTTAGAAATCAGTGCTGTGCATCGTGGAGGATTTCTTTCTCTTAGGAAGCCTCAGTGCTGGCTCTGGGCTTTGCATAAAAGCTCTGAGTTTCTGTAGCCTCCTCAGGGACCTTACTTCTCCCTGCTATGCACAGCAGTGCCATGTCCTACACAGGTGAGCAAAGTGACTTTGCCTGCAGAAGCTGGAACTCAATGAGAGGCTTTGGAAAGTGATTGTATCATTCATAAATGTTCTCACTGACCCCAGAAGAGGCAGCTGGTGTGAGAGGCTCCAAATTGGTTTACCCATGGTCTTGCACTGTGCTTAGCTGATATCCTTGTAACTTAACTAATTTTGAAAGATTTGGAAAAGATGAGGACTTGAACTTCTAGGTAAAGATGACAGATTAAGCATATACGTCTAAATTTTTCCCTTGTTAAACTCCATTAAATGACAGTAAGGAATGTTTGAAAAGTGATAAAGTTATGAAGATAGGGAACACTGAAAGGGGACTACAGTCAAAACATGGGGGAAGCTGGGAAGAAAGATGTAGAGTGATCGATGACTTAGGAAACGGGAAACTGAATTTAATGTTGCTACTGGGGAGAGTCAATAACTAATAGATGCTAAAGAATTCCCCAAAAGCTCAGGAATTGGCAGCACCTGGTATCTATGGAATGGGGGCAGTTGGTGAAAAGAGGCTATAATAAGGCGAATTGTTGAAAACTTCTTTTTATTTTTATTTTTGTTTTATTTTATTATTATTATACTTTAAGTTTTAGGGTACATTTGCACAATGTGCAGGTTAGTTACATATGTATACATGTGCCATGCTGGTGTGCTGCACCCAATAACTCGTCATTTAGCATTAGATATATCTCCTAATGCTATCCCTCCCCGCTGCCTCCACCCCACAACAGTCCCCAGAGTGTGATGTTCCCCTTCCTGTGTCCGTGTGTTATCATTGTTCAGTTCCCATCTATGAGTGAGAACATGCGGTGTTTGGTTTTTTGTCCTTGCCATAGTTTACTGAGAATGATGATTTCCAATTTCATCCGTGTCTCAAAAAGGACATGAACTCATCATTTTTTATGGCTGCATAGTATTCCATGGTGTATATGTGCCACATTTTCTTAATCCAGTTTATCATTGTTGGACATTTGGGTTGGTTCCAAGTCTTTGCTATTGTGAATAGTGCCGCAATAAACATAAGTGTGCATGTGTCTTTATAACAGCATGATTTATAGTCGTTTGGGTATATACCCAGTAATGGGATGGCTGGGTCAAATGGTATTTCTAGTTCTGGATCCCTGAGGAATCGCCACACTGACTTCCACAATGGTTGAACTAGTTTACAGTCCCACCAACAGTGTAAAAGTGTTCCTATTTCTCCACATCCTCTCCAGCACCTGTTGTTTCCTGACTTTTTAATGATTGCCATTCTAACTGGTGTGAGATGGTATCTCATTGTGGTTTTGATTTGCATTTCTCTGATGGCCAGTGATGGTGAGCATTTGGCTGCATAAATGTCTTCTTTTGAGAAGTGTCTGTTCATGTCCTTTGCCCACTTTTTGATGGGGTTGTTTTTTTCTTGTAAATTTGTTTGAGTTCATTGTAGATTCTGGATATTAGCCCTTTGTCAGATGAGTAGGTTGGGAAAATGTTCTCCCATTTTGTAGGTTGCCTGTTCACTCTGATGGTAGTTTCTTTGCTGTGCAGAAGCTCTTTAGTTTAATGAGATCCCATTTGTCAATTTTGGCTTTTGTTGCCATTGCTTTTGGTGTTTTAGACATGAAGTCCTTGCCCATGCCTATGTCCTGAATGGTAATGCCTAGGTTTTCTTCTAGAGTTTTTATGGTTTTAGGTCTGACATTTAAGACTTTAATCCTTTTTGAATTAATTTTTGTATAAGGTGTAAGGAAGGGATCCAGTTTCAGCTTTCTCCATATGGCTAGCCAGTTTTCCCAGCACCATTTATTAAATAGGGAATCCTTTCCCCATTGCTTGTTTTTCTCAGGTTTGTCAAAGATCAGATAGTTGTAGATATGCGGCTTATTTCTGAGGGCTCTGTTGTGTTCCATTGATGTATATCTCTCTTTTGGTACCAGTACCGTGCTGTTTTGGTTACTGTAACCTTGTAGTATAGTTTGAAGTCAGGTAGCATGATGCCTCCAGCTTTGTTCTTTTGGCTTAGGATTGACTTGGCGATGCGAGCTCTTTTTTGGTTCCATATGAACTTTAAAGTAGTTTTTTTCCAATTCTGTGAAGAAAGTCATTGGTAGCTTGATGGGGATGGCATAGAATCTATAAATTACCTTGGGCAGTATGGCCATTTTCACGATATTGATTCTTCCTACCCATGAGCATGGAATGTTCTTCCATTTCTTTGTATCCTCTTTTATTTCATTGAGCAGTGGTTTGTAGTTCTCCTTGAAGAGGTCCTTCATGTCCCTTGTAAGTTGGATTCCTAGGTATTTTATTGTCTTTGAAGCAATTGTGAATGGGAATTCACTCATGATTTGGCTCTCTGTTTGTCTGTTATTGGTGTATAAGAATGCTTGTGATTTTTATACATTGATTTTGTATCCTGAGACTTTGCTGAAGTTGCTTATCAGCTTAAGGAGATTTTGGGCTGAGACAATGGGGTTTTCTAGGTATACAATCATGTCATCTGCAAACAGGGACAATTTGACATCCTCTTTTCCTAATTGAATACCCTTTATTTCCTTCTCCTGCCTAATTGCCCTGGCCAGAACTTCCAACACTATGTTAACAGGAGTGGTGAGAGAGGGCATCCGTGTCTTGTGCCAGTTTTCAAAGGGAATGCTTCCAGTTTTTGTCCATTCAGTATGATATTGGCTGTGGGTTTGTCATAGATAGCTCTTATTATTTTGAGATATGTCCCATCAATACCTAATTTATTGAGAGTTTTTAGCCTGAAGGGTTGTTGAATTTTGTCAAAGGCCTTTTCTGCATCTATTGAGATAATCATGTGGTTTTTGTCTTTGGTTCTGTTTATATGCTGGATTACATTTATTGATTTGCGTATATTGAACCAGCCTTGCATCCTGGGGATGAAGCCCACTTGATCATGGTGGATAAGCTTTTTGATGTGCTGCTGGATTCGGTTTGCCAGTATTTTATTGAGGATTTTTGCATCAATGTTCATCAAGGATATTGGTCTAAAATTCTCTTTTTTGGTTGTGTCTCTGCCAGGCTTTGGTATCAGGATGATGCTGGCCTCATAAAATGAGTTAAGGAGGATTCCCTCTTTTTCTATTGATTGGAATAGTTTCAGAAGGAATGGTACCAGTTCCTCCTTGTACCTCTGGTAGAATTCGGCTGTGAATCCATCTGGTCCTGGACTCTTTTTTGTTGGTAAGCTATTGATTATTGCCACAATTTCAGATCCTGTTATTGATCTATTCAGAGATTCATCTTCTTCCTGGTTTAGTCTTGGGAGGGTGTATGTGTCGAGGAATTTATCCATTTCTTCTAGATTTTCTAGTTTATTTGCGTAGAGGTGTTTGTAGTATTCTCTGATGGTAGTTTGTATTTCTGTGGGATCAGTGATGATATCCCCTTTATCATTTTTTATTGCATCTATTTGATTCTTCTCTCTTTTTTTCTTTATTAGTCTTGCTAGCGGTCTATCAGTTTTGTTGATCCTTTCAAAAAAACCAGCTCCTGGATTCATTAATTTTTTCAATGGTTTTTTATGTCTCTCTTTCCTTCAGTTCTGCTCTGATTTTAGTTATTTCTTGCCTTCTGCTAGCTTTTGAATGTGGTTGCTCTTGCTTTTTTAGTTCTTTAAATTGTGATGTTAGGGTGTCAATTTTGGATCTTTCCTGCTTTCTCTTGTGGGCATTTAGTGCTATAAATTTCCCTCTACGCACTGCTTTGAATGTGTCCCAGAGATTCTGGTATGTTGTGTCTTTGTTCTCGTTGGTTTCAAAGAACATCTTTATTTCTGCCTTCATTTCGTTATGTACCCGGTAGTCTTTCAGGAGCAGGTTGTTCATTTTCCATGTAGTTGAGCAGTTTTGAGTGAGTTTCTTAATCCTGAGTTGTAGTTTGATTGCACTGTGATCTGAGAGACAGTTTGTTATAATTTCTATTCTTTTACATTTGCTGAGGAGAGCTTTATTTCCAACTATGTGGTCAATTTTGGAATAGGTGTGGTGTGGTGCTGAAAACTTAAGTAGTATTGAGAACGCAGACCTCTTTCCCAACTCTGCAGAGCCAGGTGGTTGCCCCCTTCCTTACCCGAAAGGAAGACTAAAGGTTATTCTGCTAATGAGGGTAAAATGGAGAGTGCCTGGGCTAAAGGACATCAAGCCTGCCTGGGTTGGGATACTGTACTAACAATGGCAATGTTATCTGAACATAATCATACTAGATGCTGAAATGACACCCACACACCCACCCACACACACACAACTGAGATCAAAGAATGGTGTCTTTATGCCTTCATCCTCTACACAGGGAACTCAAGTGATTTCAATGGGAATGTGACTGAGCCCGAAGGAAAGAGATTGTGCCATCAAAGGTTTTCCAGGACACCTTAAAGTGTAGGTTATAGTAAACAAGCCCTATTCCTTCATTATCAGCTCCCAATTAAGTTAATGACATCATAGGATTATCAGACATCCAGGGAAATCTTCTAACTTGAACATCAGGATCCGAGCAACGAAATAGAAAAAAATAATAAAGCTTAGGTTAAACAGTGACTCTGGAAACATCAAAATAACTATGATCAGTATGTTCAGACGATAAAAGAAGAATTTTGCATGTGTGAAACAAGAAATAGCATTTTTTTTAAATTCATGGAATAAACATCAGTGCTCTTATGAATCAAAATTGTGAAAGCAGAAATTTAAAGAACTCAAAATATATGCTGGAAGATAAAGTCTTTATACTTTTCTGTAAAGTAGAGTAAAAAGACAAAAAGAAAATACGAGACAAAGCAAAGTTAAAGAATCTACAGATTTCAACACAAGAAACAATAAAGAGAAAACATAGAGGAAGAAATCATCAATGAAACAATGAAAGAACAATCTCCCAGACCTGAAATACATGATTTTCTATATTGAGAGAGCCTACGAAGGGCACGGAGCAATGGCTAGAAACAGACACATACCAAAACAAATGTCAGATCTGATAAGCTTCCAGAGAAGAGCCACAGGTCATAGAGGCTGAAGAATCAGAATAGTTTTGAATTTCTTTTGTTTTTGTTTTTGTTTTCTGTTTCTTGAGACAGAGTTTTGCTGTCGTTCAGGCTAGAGTGCACTGGTACGATCATGGCTCACTGCAGCCTCAACCTTCTGGGCTCAAGTGATCCTCCCACCTCAGCCTGCTAAGTAGCTGGGACCATAAGCACACACCACCATCCCTGGCCAATTTTTTTTTTTTTTGTATTTTTTTGTAAAAACAGGGTTTCAGCACGTTACCCGGGGTGGTCTCATACTCCTGAGCTCAAGCAGTCCACCCACCTTGGCCTCTTAAAGTGCTAGGATTATAGGTGTGAGCCACAGTGCCCAGACAGTTTTTAATTTCTTAAATGCTAGAAGGCAGCGCAGACACGCTATTCAACCATGTGTGAGGGTATACATTTTCCCCAGTTCCAGGTCTCAAAAAGTGGTCCTCCCATATACCTTTTCTCAAATACTAGGAAAATGAGATGGACTCCAAAATGAATGAATGAATCAAAGAGGATAAAGAAATGGAATGCAGAAAGCTGGAACTCCAGCAAAGCAGATAGGCGTAGGAAAACTCCAGGATGATGCTGATGGGATATCAGTTGTGCCTCACATGTATACCATGACCAGTTCTGATTAGCATGGATCAGAGACCCCGGGAGAGACTTCTTCAGGAAAAGTGATCTGATAGAATTCCTGATGCACCTGGCCTTGAGAGATTTATTTAGCTGGTAAAGAATCTGAAGTTGAGTTACGAGAGGTTCAGGAAAAAAAAAAACTCAGTAAAAATAACATTATTCATTTTAGGGAAGGAAAACGTTGTACAGGACAACATCTGTGTAGAGTACAGCTTACTAAATGAGTCAGCTCTGTATATAATACCTAATCCTATCACCTAAACCCTGAAAATCTAACCAAAAACTCAATTATACTCTATTGAGAAACTGGGGAAATGGGAAGGATGACTAAGTCTCCTGGGATTGGAGAAAGACGGCTAAATCTTTGTCTTCCCTAGTAGGAAGTCCAGTCTCCAGGGAAAGCCTGGAGTTTGAAAGTGAAGGAGTCATTAGAAGTCTATCATTTAGAGATAAGGAGTTAGATACCAAAATTATAACCTGGAACAGATGAGTGGATAGAGAAGGATAAATGGGGTAGAAAGTGGTAGGATTAATGCTGTTGTAACAAAATGTGTTTGTAAAAGAAAGTGATAGGGATTGTTGTATTGTAACAAAACTTGCAAAACTATTGGCTCTTTGAACTATTTGCATATAACTTTGATACAAATAACAGAAACAAACACAGCAAAATGAAGAGGAGAAGGAGAATAGTAGTAGTAAAGATATTGTTCAGCGTAATACACAACTGTTCATTTACTCAGTCATTCACTAGTTTTTGAATGAATGCAGGCATTCTGGTTCTGGAATCTGTGCTTTTAAGTGCGATGCTGTACTTCCTAAAGAAGGTCACACCAGGGTAGAGTATGCTTCTGTTCCTTGATTGGGCTTCTTTGAAGGTGCTGAAAGAGTTCTTTACAGATCAGTTGTATATGTGTCATTCATGAATTACTGTAGCCATTCATGAACTAGAGTGCAATAGATAGATGATCCATGTGTCCAAATTCCCTGAGACACTAAGTCATGTGGACATTGGTGAGATAAATGCCGATGTTCCAGAGCTGAGCCAGGGATGAACAAGGCAGGAAATGGAACCATTGTGTGACAGCATGGCTGGCTGGAGCCATTTCATTATGATTCACCAGATTTCAGAAAAAATTTTAAGTCATTCTCAAATATTCCTCTGGTAGAGGTCATCTGCTCTTAGATTCCAGATCTACCCTGGGGAAAAGGAGATATCCAGTAATTTATGGGAATGTTTTAAAGTCTACTAGGCAAATGTGTGATGATTAATTTTCTGTGTCAATTTGACTGGGCTAAAGGATGCCCAGAGTGCTGGTGAAACATTACTTCTGAGTGTGTCTGTGAGGATGCTTCCAGAGGAGATCAGCATTTGAATAAGTGAACTGCATGAAGCAGATGGCCCTCCCCAATGTCGTGGGCATCAACGATTCCTCTGAGGGCCTGAATAGAATGAAAAATTAGAGCCATTCACTCTTTCTACTTGACTGAATTATCCATCTTCTCCTGTCCTCAGTCATCACTGCTCCAGGTTTTTGGGCTTTCAGTCTTAGACTGGGACTTACACTAACGGCCTCCAATTTCTCAGGCCTTCATACTTGAATTGAATTACACCACTTGCTGTCCTGGGTCTCCAGCTTGCAGATAGCAGATCATAGGACTTCTCAGCCTCCAAAACCACGGGAGCCGATTCCCATGATAAATCTCTGTTATATATGTATATCTATATTCTATTTCTTTTGTTTTTCTGGAGAACCCTGACTACTGCAGTTGAATTACCTTCCCAATTCTAAAATTATAAAGTTGGCAGAGATTTGAGTCAGCGTTTTTTACCTCCTTTCTTATGGTTCATAAATCCCCCTTTCAATGTGTGTATGTGTAGATTTGAAACTGTGTATCTGAACACAACCATGTGTAAGGATGTATGGAAATGCTGTGCAATGTTTTCCATCAATTCAAGAGCTGAATTTATGAATCCTCCACTGCGTATGTACCAGACACTTTCAATGCCGTATTTATACCCTCAGATGAGTGTTGCTTCTTTCAAAGTAGCCACACTCGGAAGTGGAGGAATTATCCCACAAATGCAAGCCTGGGTTGGATTGCCAAGGATATTTATCTTCCATCTCATTGGGCTTAGGTGGGCTACTAAACTCTGCTCAACTTTTTGGACCTCGATTTTCTAATCTGAAAAATGCTCCTGATTAAACCTACTTCTTGGGCTGTTATGCAAATTTTATGAGAAAATGTTCATAAAGAATTTATCTGTGCCTGGCTTCTTTTAGACGCCTCATACTTATTTCCTCTGTCTGGGGGAACTGGCCTTGAAATCTGATGTTCAGTGTTTCCTATATACTCTGGGTGACGAAACTCCATCCTTTGAGGATGGTGTTATAGATCTTTAGAAAACAAAAGATATTTTAGGGCATAGCCTAGTGACTTCAATAGTGCCCAAGCAGGGAAATGCCACTGTCAGTCCAAAACAAATTGTTTTAAAGCAATTAGAAGATTGACTTTTCATAGCATTTGAATTGGCCCTTCATACTTTAAACGCCCATCTGGGCCAGGCTGTGTACCAGCTCCTGGGAAGAAAATGATGAATGAGACTCAACTTTCTGGGTGGAACAGGCATCCCCACAAATGATTGCAGCCAAGGATGATGACCATGACAGAGCACTACACAGCACCAGTGGGAGCTTCAAGGAGGGGTGCCCAGCCAGCCTGAATTGGGGAGTGGGGCAGGGGCCGAGTTGGCAAGTAAGGCTTCCTCTGCCACAGTCGGTCTGTGATTTGTAGGATAATTAGGAATTAGAACTAGGAAAAGGAATGCAGAAGGCACTGGGCAGAAGGGCCCAAACTTGAGAGGCCCCAGGTGGGTGGAGCCTGTATTGCAAGGGTCAAGGGTGGTAGGGAGCACACCCTAACAGACCCTGCTTTTCTCATTTATTGATGGGTTAAAGCTTGGGAGTGACATGGTCTAACTTGTCATTGAGAATGATCTTTCTGAAGGTCCTAGAAGTGCATCCCAAGATGGATCTTCATCCAAGGCAGGATTCCTTGGCTAGGTATCCAGAGTATACAAAACTAAATAAATAACAACAGTGACAATGAATCAAGTTTATTAAACAATGAATCAAGTTTATTAAAATGTGTTGACACTACTTTAAACTATATACATATACATACATGTGTTTGCATATGTGTATATATGCACATGGGGTATATGCATGTGTATGTACACATATATATAAATATAAACACCCACACATATATAATAGACACACTCACATACATGCACATATACAAATATCTCATTTAATCCTCACAGCAATAAAATGAGCTAGGTAGTATAATGACCCCATTTTGCAGAGAGATTGGGTGATTTGCCCCAGGACACACAGCTGGCAGGTCATGGAACCCTGGCTTTGAAACAAGGCGTTCAAATCCCAGATCTCATGCTGATGACCACTGAGCATACAGCTCCCTTATTGTTCAAATTGCACTGAACTGTTTACAGAATGCTCATAGAGTGAGTGCCTGCATATATTAACATACAAATGAGCACATATGGATTTCATCGACTCCTCACATCCGCCCCAGAGGAAGGCACTGTTACCATGGTGTGGATGAGGCAGCAGGCATTTCTGGGAGCTAAGCCTCTAACCCAAGGTCACACAGCTAGTTAGCAGTGGAAATGGAGCTTTTAACTGGAACGTGACTTGTAGTAAAAGGCTCTCTCCACTACACCTTGTTGCCTCCCCAGATGCAAAAGCAAAAGTAGGGTTATGTCCTGTTCACAGTCACATCCGCTAATTATTCATGGATACCCAAAACAGGAAACAGATGCTCACTTCTTCACCGAGTGTCCCTGACCACATTTTATCTAGCTAGGTTCTCACTTTATTCCTCATCACATACTTTCCCAAAGCATTTTGTCTACTTTCTTCCTGGCATGTAATCCTAATTGATAATGATTTCGTCGGTAACTTACTTCTAGGCAACCAAGGAATAAATTTGCTATATTAGGCTGTTCTTGCATCGCTGTAAAGAAATACATGAGACTGAGTAATTTATAAAGAAAAGAAGTTTATAAAGAAAAGAGGCTTAATTAGCTCATGGTTCTGCGGGCTGCACGGGAAGCATGCTGCTGGCATCTGTTCGGCTTCTGGGGAGGCCTCAGGAAACCTGCAGTCATGGTGGAAGGTAAAGGGGGAGCAGGCACATTACATGGCCAGAGCAGGAGCAAAGGAGACAGGGGAGGTGCTATACACTTTTTTTTAAAAATACTTTAAATTCTAGGGTACATGTGCACAACCTTCAGGTTTGTTATATATGTATACATGTGCCATGTTGGTGTGCTGCATCCATTAACTCATCATTTACATTAGGTATTTCTCCTAATGCTATCCCTCCCCTCTCCCCCTACTCCATGACAGGCCCCAGTGTGTGATGGCAAAAGTCAGGAAACAACAGGTGCTGGAGAGGATGTGGAGATATAGGAACGGTTCTACACTGTTGGTGGGAGTGTAAACCAGTTCAACCATTATGGAAGACAGTGTGGCGATTCCTCAAGGATCTAGAACTAGAAACACCACTGGGTCGCCAGTGATCTCATTACCAGGTATTTACCCAAAGGTTTATAAATCATGCTACTATAAAGACACATGCACACGTATGTTTATTGTGTCACTATTCACAACAGCAAAGACTTGGAACCAACCCAAATATCCATCAATGGTAGACTGGATTAAGAAAATGTGGCACATATACACCATGGAATACTATGCAGCCATAAAAAAGGATGAGTTCATGTCCTTTGTAGGGACGTAAATGAAGCTGGAAACCATCATTCTGAGCAAACTATCGCAAGGATAGAAAACCAAACACCTTGTTTTCTCACTCATGGTTGGGAACTGAACAATGAGAACACTTGGCCATACACTTTTAAACAAGCAGGTCTCGTGATAATTTACTGACTATCAAAAGGACAGCACCAAGGAGATGGTGCTAAACCATTCATGAGAAATCTCTCCCCAGGATCCAATCACCTCCCAGCAGGCCCCACCTCCAACACTGGAAATTACATATCAACATGGGATTTGGGCAGGGATGCACATCCAAACTATATCACCTGCCTAGTCTGTAAATTCTCTAAGGGCAGGCACTTTTTCTACCTTGTTCATCTTCGTATCTTCAACACCTGATATAATGCCTGGCACATAGTAAGTGCTTTAGAACTATTTGTTAAATCAGTGAAGAAATAATAAAGTAAGAGCCTACCTTACTTGAAATTACTTGACAATAGAAGTTCACATTTAATAAATCAATATTGATATCCTGAACTGCTTCCTAGAACTTCTCTGACCAAATATTCTTTTTTCTTTTTTATACTTTAAGTTTTAGGGTACATGTGCACAACATGCAGGTTTGTTACATATATATACATGTGCCATGTTGGTGTGCTGCACCCGTTAACTTGTCATTTAACGTTAGGTATATCTCCTAATGCTATCCCTCCCCCCTCCCCCACCCCACAACAGGCACCAGTGTGTGATATTCCCCTTCCTGTGTCCGTGTGTTCTCATTGTTCAATTCCCACCTATGAGTGAGAACATGTGGTGTTTGGTTTTTTGTCCTTGCAATAGTTTGCTGAGAATGATGGTTTCCAGCTTCATCCATGTCCCTACAAAGGACATGACCTCATCATTTTTTATGGCTGCATAGTATTCCATGGTGTATATGTGCCACATTTTCTTCATCCAGTCTATCATTGTTGGACATTTGGGTTGGTTCACAAGTCTTTGCTATTGTGAATAGTGCCGCAGTAAACATACGTATGCATGTGTCTTTATAGTAGCATGATTTATAATCCTTTGGCTATATACCCAGTAATGGGATGGCTGGGTCAAATGGTATTTCTAGTTCTAGATCCCTGAGGAATCGCCACACTGACTTCCACAATGGTTGAACTAGTTTACACTCCCACCAACATAATTCAAGATGGATTAAAGATTTAAATGTTAGACCTAAAACTATAAAAACCCTAGAAGAAAACCTAGGCAATACCATTCAGGACATAGGCATGGGCAAGGACTTCATGTCTAAAACACCAAAAGCAATGGCAACACAAGCCAAAATTGACAAATGGGATCTAATTAAAGAGCTTCTGCACAGCAAAAGAAACTATCATTAGAGTGAATAGGCAACCTACAAATATTCTTTGATATATGGGAAGCTAGCTCCTGAAAAGTTTGTGAGGGAGGGGTGCAAAGTAGCCTATCACAAGCATGACATGCCTTTGAAGTCTTATATGTTATGTTAAAAATTTCTCTTAAGTTTTGCATTCTACTCCGTTATGTAGTCATGATTCTTTTAATATATAAAGTAGTGCTTAAAGCTATGATTCATAGGAAAATAGAGCAAATGAACAATGAAGGCTGTTCAGAGTCTCCACGGTCCATAGGCAGTGCTGTTGGATTGCATCCATCAGTTTGGGGAAGATGAGCTGATTCGAAGAGAACTCATGCCTCCTGTGAAGTGCAGGACCCCGGTAATTCCTTCCTTTCTCTGGCCTCTTAAAATCCAATTCAGAGTCACATAAATATGAAGCTATAAACAGCAACCATTTGTTCACTGTTTTGAATAAAGCACTGATCTAAATACTAATCAAAGTGGGTTTGGTACATTTTCAGGCTTTTTTGATTAAAATTTTTACCAGTAGCATTACCTACATGAAATTGTATCTGAAATGCCTGAAACCTATTACATAGTGTCTCTTACTATCTTGGGAAACATCTTCCAGTGAAGTCCGATGACCTATGATGCACTGTATTTTGCTCCTGACTCTGAATTTGCATCCCATGTAAATTAACTAACAGTTTCAGTACTGATGACCCACTCACTTCATCAGACTCACAGTCTTCTTTTACAAGGCAGGAACCTTGACATGTATAAGAAAACCTTTGCCTTGGAGTTGCTGATTCCAGTCTTGGGAAAATATCTGCTTATTAAATCAGTTATTTATGAAGGCTTCTTTATTATTGAAGTGAATTATGAACCTTATCTGAGTTTTTTGTTTTTTCCATTTTTTTCTTTTTGGCAAACTTTGTCAGAATTTTTTTTTTTTGTCTTTTAATCATTAAGAGCAGTAATAGATTAATTCCAAAACACTAGCCAACACCTTTCTTTAGTTAAAACAGTTTTATCTATGCAAGCATTCAAAGACACTTCGCATTTCTCAAGGCCAAGTGCTGTGGCTTACACTTGGGGAGGCCAAGGTGGGAGGATCACTCAAGCCCAAAAGTTCAAGACCAGCCTGGGCAACATGGCAAAAACCCATCTCTACAAGGCTACGTGGGAGGCTGAGATGGGAGGATCACCTGAGTCTGGGATGTTGAGGCTACAGTGAGCCGTGATAGTGCTGCTGCACTCCAGCCTGGGTGACAGTTGAAAAAGATTAAATAATATAATTAAAAAAAAAAAGAAAACAAAAACACTTCCCATTTCTCTACAAAACTGTCTAAAAGATAAGTATAGAAATGCTAATTTTTATACAATTTATCATTTTTATCATCTTATTGAATTCAATAAGAAAATTTTAAAGTAAATTCTTTTTTTTGCTATGACAGTATAACTGGGTTTAAGCCCAGATATTATTTTAAGTAGATAATATGTGTACATGTTATAAAATTTAAAAGATTCAAATGTTATAAATGAAAAGTTATAATTCTCCTTTTTTTTTTTTTTTAGCATTTTCATGAATTTAAAGCAGATGCTTCAAACTCTGTCTTTAAATTCCTCGTTCCTGTTCCCATGGACCACTTAATTTTAAAATGTTAACTCACTAAAAGGCAAATAAACGATACACTAAAAGCACATGCATGTTTGAAATATGTTTTTGGAAATTAGAAAACAAAATTGTTTATGAGACATTAGACCATAATGATAACCAACATTTCTGAGCATTTTGCATGTGCCTGGTTCTGTGTTAAATCTTCTGCAGGTGTTGGGTTCACCTAGTCCTATCAGTAGTCCCATTTTACAGGTGAGACCACAGTGTCTCCTGGAGGGTGAATAACTTGCCTAAGGGCAAACAGGAAGTGGCCACCCCAAGTCACCAAGCTTGAGGGCCTAAGCTCATACTATCTCTATTCTGATAACCTATGGTAATCAAGTTCTTCAACAACACGTATCCATAGAATTGATCTGCTATCCAAGCTTTCGTGATGGAAACGTCACATGGATGACTCTCATGGAAAAATGAAATTCTTTTGCTTTTGCTTGTGTATGAAAATAAATATGTATTTTTAGTGACACTATTCAACATCCTCCCTCCCTGAAGTTCTTGGCATTCCCTGTCATATTGTGGGACAGTGGCCCTTTCCCATTGAGTTTGCATGAACTGATGGGAATATCATTTGTGTTCCTATATTGAAATGCTTGTGGGTGTATGGTTGTTATTTTCACATACAGATTTTGAGCTTGTGCCTCCTGAATCCTGGAAAGGCAAACTATCTTAACTCCTGATATTTTGACAAAATTTTCTGTGTCTGTCTTAGAAAACTAATTGCAGAATGGGGCTGGGGTAGTGGTTCCCGTTTGCCAATACTACCTTGCTGAGAAATCAGGTGTGTTCAAGCTGTGGGGACAAGAATTATACCAAGTAGCAAGTGTGATCAGGCTTCTGGTCCTAAGACCTTTTTGACAAAGGCTCATCGCTCATTTAATAGCAGTGTACATGAAGGAATGTAAGAGTCCAGATTTTCTCAAACAGTGGCTTTAGTGGCTTAAATTGGGCCTTGGGCAGTATCCCACCCTCTCTGGGTCCAAGTCTGGGTTCCTTCTGATGAGCAGTGGAGTTTGTAAACAAACAAACCCAAACCTCTGACTTAGTTCCCCAGAACAGTGGGACATAGGAGCAAGACTGTGAAGCCGACAAAACCCAGATTGCATAATTGATGCAGGGAGGGATTGGGGTCACCCTGTGTGTAGACAGGGTCCAGGCCTGGCCACTCACCGCTGTAAAGAGCAGTGCTAAGAGCCTTTACATCTTGTTCTAGCTCAGAGACCGTGGGTAAGTCAGTGACTGCTCTGGACATGATTTTGCTACTCTATTAACAAGGAGGAGTGCTCACCTCCCACAGAGCTGTTGAGGGATTGAATAAGCTGAAATAAGTGTCAGTCACTGTATTAGTCCATTTTCACACTGTTATAAAGAAATATCCAAGACTGGGTAGTTTAGAAAGAAAGAAGGTTTAATTGACTCACGGTTCTTCATGGCCGGGTAGGCCTCAGGAAACTTACAATCATGGTGGAAAGGGAAGCAAGCATGTCTTAGATGGTGGCAAGTAAGAGAGAGCACATGTGAAGGAGGAACTGTCAAACACTTATAAAACCATCAGATCCTGTGAGAACCCACGTACTATCATGAGAACAGCATGAGAGAAACTGCCCCTGTGATCTGGTCACCTCCCACTAGGTCCCTCCCTATACATGTGGGGATTATGGGGATTACAATGTGAGGACATGAGATTTGGGTGGGGACACAGAGCCAAACCATATCAGTCACCATAAAAAGTGTTCACCAAATGCAGCTCATTTGTCTTGGGGAGCTGGAAAGCTCTACAGTTAGAAGCTGGATTCAGCTAAGAACAGAGCCTGACTCTTAGATTTGGCTAAAGACAGCTGGCACCTTTGTTGTGAGTTCAGGCACATCATCTAATCTCCCTGAAGCTTTGGTTTATTTTCTATAAATAAAAATACTATCTACAGTGAACATAAACATGATCTCCCCAAAATATCCACATTTTAATACCTAGAACCTGGGAATATGCTGTGTTATACAGCAAAGGGAAATTGTGGTGCAGATTGAATTAGGGTGGCTCATCTGCCATTATTGAGATGGAGGAGATTATCCTGGATTATTTTAGTAGAGCTTATGTACTCAAAGAGCCTTAAAACTGAAAGAGTGGTGTTTCAAGATTGCTGACTACATACATTTGGTAATCACCTCATCCATGGAGAGTGATATGGTTTGGCTCTGTGTCCCCACCCAAATCTCATCTTGAATTGTAATCCCCACATGTCAAAGAAGGGGCCTGGTGGGAGATGACTGGATCATGGGGGTGGATTTCCTCCTTGCTGTTCTCATGATATTGAGTGAGTTCTCACAAGATCTGATAGTTTAAAAGTGTTTGGCACTTCCCTCTTTGCTCTCTTTCTCCTGTTCTGCCATGGTAAGACATGCCTTGCTTCTCCTCACCTTCCACCATGATTGTAAGTTTCCTAAGTCCTCCCCAGCCATGCAGAACTATGAGTCAATTAAGCCTCTTTTCTTAAAAAAATAAATTACCCAGTCTTAAGTAGTTCTTTATAGCAGCATGATAATGGAATAAGACAGAGAGGAAACAAAATAATGAGTACATAACCACTCTGAGTAGATCATCTAAGAGAGAATACAGGAGTTCAACAGAAAAGTGATGGGAAGCACCAAAAGCAAGGAAGGAGAGGGAAGCAGGACAACCCATTTGGCTGGGATAGGCTGTTAGGAGAGGTTCCCTAATGCTGGAAAATAAAAAGTGAGAGACCCCTCAGGGGTCCAGATTCCCACAACAGATTCCTACAGTCCTAGCCATGGGAGAGCCCCTCAATCTTTCTGGCCCCTGAGACTAACATAAGGAACTGCATGGAGACTGTGGGAAGGCACTGCTCCAGAGAGGGAGTCCATTCTGTGTCCCACACCTTCTTCCCAGTCCTAAGCAGCTGCAGCAGGCTGCCATTTTGAGAGCCCAGCCACACCAGACTGCATTCTTCCCTAGGGCCCAACACCCCTTGCGCTTTTGCATCTCTGGAATCCCATGGACATTCCCCACCCATAGCCGTTGCTTTAGGAACCAAGGAGGGAGCAACTGGCAGTGACACCACCCGACCTCTAGTAGAGGGGTGACTGCACATTTTTATGTGCTGTGAGGACAAATTCCCACCCACTGCTGCAGGGTGCTGTGGGGCTGAAGTGCAAGCAAAGTGCACACCCCCAAGTTGCCTGATTACAGCTGCTGCCGCTAACAGCATCCCCACACTACTCAGTAACAGAGCTTTGGCACAGCCACTGCCACCTTCACCTGAGCATTCCACCAGAGGCCTGAGGATCACCACAACCCTGCCTACAATAGGCAGTGTCTGCATGCACCATCAGGGGGCCTGAGGACAGTTTTGCCTTTCACAGCTTCACCCCTCACCAGTACCTGAGCATGCAGCCAAGGGACCTGGGGGAATCATCATCCAACCCAGTCCACCACTGATGGCACCTTAACACTCCTTCCAGAGTCTGAGGTCAGGCCCAGTCAGCCTGCCACTACCATCACAGCAGGTACCCACCCACATGTGCCACCTGTAGGTCTGAGGGCTGGCCTGCCCAGCCCATCACTGCCACTACAAATACCAGCATGGACTGCTTGGGTTCCAAAGGGTTGTTCTACCATTGTGACTACCCATCATTCATGTCATGCCTGCTACTCAGGAGCTTGAGAACCCACCAAACTTCCTGGCCCACTACTGCCATTCTTAGCACCTGAGAAAGCCACCTAGAGGTCCAAGAGCTGGCCTGCCTGGAACAAATAAAGCCAGTGCCAGTATATGCCACCCTGGGGCCCAAGGACAGGCACATGCACTCCATCACTGCCACCAATGTGGCCCAAAGACTGGCCCACCTTGTATCCCAGTGCCCAGCAAAACTTCAGCAGAGCCTCCGTAAACAACAACATACTAAGCCACCAAGGAAACAACAGACACTATCAATGCTGTTTTATACCTGAAGAAACCATACAGAGACTACACTGCTGCACCCACCCAGAACCAAAGCCAAATTTCTCTACACTGCCAACACAATATACACATCTTTAGGAAAAAGTCTTCCCCTATGAAAGCAAATTCAAAAAATTGAAAAAAGTGACTATTATGCCAGATGCACAGGTAACAATGTAAGGACACAGGAAACATGAAAAAGCAAGGAAATATGAAACCCCAAAGGAACACAGTAATTATCTGGCAACACAGATCCCAATCAAAAACAAATGTATTGAATCCTAAAAAAAGAATTCAAAATATTGACACTAAAGTTCAGTGAGATAAAAGAGAATATTGAAAAGCAATGCAAAGAAATTAGAAAAGCAACTCAGGATATGCCTGAGAAATCTACCAAAGAAATAGATATAAAAAACAACCAAGCAGAAATTCTGGAACTGAAGAATTCATTTAATAAAATACAAAATACATTCAGAGGCTTCAGTAATAGACTAGATCAAGAAGGGGAAAGAACTTGAAGACAGATCTTTTGAAATAAACTAGTCAGACAAAAATAAAGATAAAAGAATAAAAAATAATGAGCAAAGCCTATGTGACATATGGGACACCATAAATCAATTGGATATTCAAATTTTCAGTGTCCCAGAAGGAGAATAGAGAAGGAAGGGAAATAAAACCTATTTAATGAAAATTCTCCAAGTCTAGCAAGACATTTAGACATCCAGATACAAGAAGTTCAAAGGTCCTGGCATAGATACAATTCAAAAAGGTTTACTCCATGGCACATTCTAGTCAAAATGTCAAAAGTCAAAGAAATTAAAAACAGCAAGAGAACAGCATCTAGTCACTTATAAAGGACTTCCCATCAGGTTAATAGCAGATTTTTCAGAAAAAAATATTTAAAACTGCAAGTCAAGGATGCTACACTCAAAGTTGTCTTTCATAAATAAAGGAGAAATAAAGTCTTTCCCAGACAAGCAAAAGCTGAGATAATTCATCAGCATTAGACCAGCCCTACAAGAAATGCTTGAGGGAACCCTACCCCTGGGAGTGAAAGAATGATAACTCCCACCATGAAAACACACAAAAATATGAAAACCACTGGTAAAACAACACACAAACAAAAAATGGGAAAACTCAAATGTTACCAGTAGAGAATACCACCAAAACGCAATGATAAACAATAAAATAGGAACAAAGGATATACAAAATAACTAGAAATCAATTAATTAAATGACAGGAATATACCCTCACATATCAATAATAACATTGAATGTAAATGGATTAAACTTTCTACTTAAAATATATAGACTGGATGAGTGGATTTAAAAGCATGACCCAACTATATCCTGCCTACCAGAAATGTATCTCATCTGTAAAGACACATATAGACTGAAAGTAAAAGGATAGAAAAAGATATTCCATGCAAAGAAAAACCAAAAATAAGCAGGAGTAGCTCTACTATATCAGATAAAATAGACTTTAAGTCAAAAACTTAAAAAGAGATAAAGAAGGTCAATATATAATGATAAAGGGCTTAATATAAACATATATGCACCCAATGGTGGAGCACCCAGATATATAAAGCAAATTTTATTAGATCTAAAGGGAAAGATAGACTCCAGTACAATAACAGTTGGGGACTTTAATATCCCACTTGCAGCATTAGACATATCACTTAGACTGAAAATTAACAACAACAACAACAACAACCACGAAACACACTGGTTTTATACTCCACATAAGACCAAAAGGACCTACCAGACATTTAAGACCATTTCATCCAACAGCTACAGAATACATCAGTACATGAAACATTCTCCAGGCTAGACCATATGTTAGGTCTCAACAAATTTTTAAAAATTGAAATTATGTCAAATGTTTTCTCAGGCATCAATGGAATAAAACTAGAAATCAATACCAAGAGGAACTTTGGAAACTATACAAATGCATGGAAATTAAACAACATGCCCCTGAATAACCACTAGTTCAAGAAAGAAGTTAAGGAGAAAGTCAAAATACTTCTTAAAACAAATGAAAACCAAGACACACATGCCAAAACGAATGGGATACAGAAAAAGCAGTGCTAAGAGGGAAGTTTATAACAATAAATGTCTGCCTACATCAAAAGAGTAGAAAGATTTCAAATAAACAAATGATTTACCTCAAGGAATTAGAAAAAGAAGAACAAACCAAATTCAAAATTAATAAAAGGACAAAATAATAAAGATCAGGGCAGAGCTAAATAAATGAAATAGGGACTAAACAAATACAAATGATCAACAAAAAAGAAAGTTGGTTTTTTGAAAAGATAAAATTGATATGTCACCAGCTTGACTAAATAAGAAAAAAGAGAGAAACCCAAATAAAATCAGAAATGACAAAGAAGACATTACAACTGATAACACAGAAATACGAAAGATCATCAGATACCATGATGAACAATTATGCACTAACAAACTAAAAAACCTAAAGGAGATAAATTTCTGAAGACATACAACCTACCAAGATTAAATCAGGAAGAAATGGAAAACCTGGGCAGACCAACAGCAAGTAATGATATTGAATTAGTAATAAAAAGTCTCTCAAAAAAGAAAAGTCCAGGACCAGATGGCTTCACTGCCAAATTATACCAAACTTCCAAAGAGCTAACAAAGTTTTCCTTAAACTATTCTAGAAAAGTGAAGAGAAAGAAACTCTCCCTAACATATTCTATGAGGACAGCATTACCTTGATACCAAAACCAGACAAGGATACAGCAACAAAAGAAAAGTATAGGCCAATATTCCTGATGACCTTAGACGTAAAAATTCTCAAGAAAATACTTGCAAACCAAATCCAGCAACACATCAAAAATTAATCCACATGATCAAGTAGAATTTATCTCAGGAACACAAGGATGGTTCAACATATGCAAATCGGTAAATTTAGTACATCACATCAACAAAATTAAGGAGGAAAAACAAATGATCATCTAAATAGATGCAGGAAAAGAATTTGATAAAATTCAATATCCTTTCATGATAAAATCTCTCAATAGACTAGGCATAGAAGAAACATCCCTCAACAAAATAAAGGCCATATGTGACAAAACCCCAGCTAACATCATACTGAATGGGGCAAAGCTGAAATCCTTTCCCCTAGGAACTGGAATCAGACAAGAATGCCACTTTTACCACTCCTATTCAACATAGTACTGAAAATCATGACCAAAGCAATCAGAAAAGAGAAAGAAATAAAAAAAAAAAAAACGTCCAAACTAAAAAAGAAGTCATTTGTCCCTCTTTGCTGATGATATGATATGATATCTAGAAAAACCGAAAGACTGCACCAAAATACTCTTAGATCTGATAAATCGAGTAAAGTGGCTAGATACAAAATCATCATACAAAAATCATCAGTTTCGATTCATCAATAATTAACTAGCTAATATTGTTAAAATGACCATACTACCCAAAGCAATCTACAGATTCACAGCAATCTCTATGAAAATACCAACATCATTTTTCACAGGAATAGAAAAAACAATCCGAAATTCATAGGGAACCACAAAAGAGCCCAAATAGCCAACGCAATCCTAAGCATAAAGGACAAAGCTTGAGGCATCAAAATAACTGACTTCAGAATATCATAAGGCTATTATAACCAAAACAGTATATTTTTGGCATGAAAATAGACACATAGATCAATGGGAAAAAAATAGAAAATACAGAAATAAATCCACATATTTAAGGTAACTGATTTTTGACCAAGATGCCAAGAACGTACCTGGGGAAACAACACCCTCTTCAATAAATGGTGCTAGGAGAACTGTATATCATATGCAGAAGAATGAAACTGGACTCATCTCTCACCATATACAAAAAACAACTCAAGGTGGATTAAAGACTTATATGTAAGACAATAAACTATAAAACTACTGGAAGAAAACAAGGAAAACAATTCAGGATATTGCTCTAGGCAAAGATTTGATGACTAAGACCTCAAGCACAGACAATGGAAATGAAAATAGACAAATGGTACTATATTAAACTAAAAAGCTTCTTCACAACAAAGGAAGCAATTAATACAGTGAAGAGGCAACATTTTGAATGGGAGAAAATATTTGTAAACTATTCATCTGACAAAGGACTAATATCCAGAGTATACAAGGAACTCAACAGTAAAAAAAAAAAATAAAAATAAAAAGTGGGCAAATGACATGAATAGATATTTCTCAAAAGAAGACATAAAAATGACCAACAGGTATATGAAAAACTGCTCAACATCACTAATCATCAGGGAAATGAAAATCAAAAGAACAAGAAGATATTATCTTACCCCAGTTAGAATGACTACTACTAAAAGGACAAAATAATAGCAGATGCTGGTGAGGATGTAAAGAAAAGAGACCTCTGATACACTGTTGGTGGGAATGTAATTCAGTACAACTACCATGGAAAACAGTATGGAGATTTCCAAAAAACTAGAACTACCATCTGATCCAGGAATCCCACTACTGGGTGTTTATGAAAAGGAAATGAATCAGTATATCAAAGGGATACAGGCATGCCAATATTTATTGCCACACTATTCACAATTGCGAAGATACGGAATCAACCTAAGTGTCCATTGGCAGACAAATGGATAAAGAAAATGTGATACATAGACACACTGGAATTCTATTCAGCCGTGAAACAGAATGAAATCATGTCATTTGCAGCAACATGGATGGAACTGGAAGTCATTATGTTAAGTGAAATAAGCCAGACACACAAGGACAAATTGTGAGTGTTCTTACTCATGTGCAAGAGCTGAAAATATTGATCCCATGGAGATAGAAAGTAGAATGGTAGATGCCAGAGGCTGGAGAGGGTATGTAGATTGCAGGGGGTGAAGAAAAATAGATCTATGTGTACAATTTTAGATGGAGTCTCACTCTGTGGCCCAGGCTGGACTGCAGTGGCGCCATCTCAGCTCCCTGCAACCTCCACCTCCTGGGTTCAAGGGATTCTCCTGCCTCAGTCTCCTGAGTAGCTGGGATTACAGGCATATGCCACCACATCCAGCTAATTTTTATGTTTTTAGTACAGACAAGGTTTTGCCATGTTGGCCAGGCTGGTCTCAAACTCCTGACTTCAGGTGATCCGCCCACCTTGACCTCTCAAAGTGCTGGGATTACAGGCGTGACCACCACGCCTGGCCCCAATGGAAGGTGTGAGTTCTAATGCTCCATAGCAGAGAAGGGTGACTCGTTAGCAACATTATATTGTATATTTCAAAGTAGCTAGGAGCTTGAACTTAAATTGTTCCCTTAAAACTTAAAATACTTAAAATACTTCATATTTCTCATAGAAATGATAAATACTCAAGGTGATGGATATCCCAAATATTCTGACTTGAACATTACATATTCTATGCACATTAAAAAATTGTATGTACCCCATAAATAGGTCAAATATGTATAAATTAAATTTTTAAAAATTAATATAAAAACTAAAAAATAAAGTGAAAGAGGGAGGCAGAAGTGGGTGTCAAACTGATGCAACATGAGAAAGACTCAAACCTTAATCCGCTGTAGCTGGCTTTGATGATTTCATGAGCCAAGAAATGCAGACACCTCTAGAACCTGGAAGAGGGAGGGAAACATTCTCCCTAAGAGCCTCCAGAAGGGACACAGCCCTGACAAAACCTTGACTTTCCATGCTGTTCTTCTGACCTCCAGATACATTTTGTTGTTTCTATCCGTGAAGTTTGGAGTAATTTGTTAAAGCAGCAACAGGAAACGAATCCTCTACCCCACAGGGATGTTGAGAAAACAAACTGAAATAACGTGTGATGCATGTTTAAGCTTAGTACCTAGTGAGTGATCAAAAATGTGAGCCACTGTGAAAATGCCCACTGCTATTATCGTTATAATATATGAGGACCTTATATATAAGCCTGCCCCGTGCCCATCTCTCCAGACTTGACTCTTGCAACCCTCGTCTGGCTCCATGCACAGACCCTAGTAGTCTACATGCCCAGACTACCTCCATTTCTTCCAAGTTCATATGTTTTCTACCTCTCTTCTTCCTTTGCATGATTATCTCTCTTTAAGAAATGCTTTTATTTGTTCTATCCACCTGGTTAACTTTTTCTTATCTGTCAGAACTTATGATGAGATTCTGAAGGCACTGGCAGAATTTATCAACCTTGACATTATTGATATTTTGGACCAGATAATCCCTTGTTATGGGGGCTGTCCTGTGCACTGTGGGATGTTTAGGTGGAGCTGTGGCTTCCCCACCCTAGATGCCTGAAGCATCTCCCACTCCTTTCCCCCAAGTTGTGATAATCAAAAATATCTCCACACATCATCAAATGTGCTCCAGAGAGTGATATCACCCCTGGAGGAGAATCACTACATTAAGAAGATATGATACCTGAATCCTTCCCTGAACCACAGCTATGCAACCTCTCAACTTCCTTGAGGAACACAATCCTACAGAAACCTCAAGCACCACTTTATTTATAGCTGAGCTGGAGCCCTAAACCTTGATGAAGACATTTCTAGGAGCAGCAGTGGAGGACAGGGAACCTCATTCTGCTGAGCTAGTTAGGACTCAGCACCTTCAGACCAGAGGCCAAATGTACCCAGGAGGATGCCACTGAGAGAGGCAGGCACTGGGATTGGCTGGTTCCATGTCAAGCACTGAGCAGACCCACACCCTGGCTGTGACCACCTCCCTGGGCAGGGCTGCAATGTGAGAAATAGATCAGGGAGGAGGTGGCTTTATATCTGACTGCATGGAAGGGAGAGACAGATGAGAGACACCTTTCTTGCCTTCTGGTAGCATTCCTCAGCCTGTGGCAGCATCACTCTGATTTCTACCTCCATCCTCACATGACCCCATCCTCCCTGTCTTCCTGTCTCAAATATCTCTTTCCCTTAAAACAGCACCAGTCATTGGATTTAGGACCCACCCTAAATCCAGGATGATTTCATCTCCAGATACCTAATTTAATTACATCTTCAAATACGCTATGTCCAAATAAGGTCACATTCACAGACAGCAGGGTTAGGACTGGGACATAGATTTGGGAAGACACCATTCAGCCCACTACAATCATGTTCTGGCTCCAGGACTACTGCTTTGCGAAGATTCCCGAGTGCCCCAGGAAGAGCTGGGTGGACCCCTCTTTGAGCCTTGTTATGCGCTACATTCACCCCTTCACTAGGGCTTCCCTGCAGTCGCTTATTGTGTATATGACACATCCAAATTTGCAACCAGGCGGTCCTTCTGGAATTACCTCTATTTCCTGGTTACCTATTATAGGTCTCAGCACACGGTAGGTGTTTAATAAGTGTATATTGCTGGGCGCGGTGGCTCACGCCTGTAATCCCAGCACTTTGGGAAACCGAGGCAGGTGTATCACCTGGGGTCAGGAGTTCGAGACCAGTCTGGCCAACATGGTGAAAACCCATCTCCACTGAAAATACAAAAAATTAGCCAGACGTGGTGGCACACACCTGTAGTCCCAGCTACTCAGGAGGCTGAGGCAGGGGAATCACTTGAACCCAGGAGGTAGAGGCTGCAGTGAGCCGAGATCGTGCCATTGCACTCCAGCCTGGGCAACAAGAGTGAAACTCTCTCTCTCATATGTGTATATATATATATATACACACACACACACACACATATATACACACACACATATATACACACATATACACACACACACGTATACACACACACACACACACACACATATATATACACACACCTTGAGTGAAGGCTTGAGGCCCCAGGAATTGAAAGGATTTGCTCACACAGCAAGTTCTTTCTGCCCTGGCAGGCTCTGAAGTAAACCAAATGGCAGGTTCACATTCAGTCAGTCACATTTAATTGGAATGTACTGTGTTCTAGACAGCGCAGTAGAAACTACAATGGATAAATACACGGTCCCTTTCTTCAAAACCCAGACACTGTGAGTACGCTTTGAGCACTACCATGTGCCTGCCATGGGGCTCACAGTTGGCCTAGGGAGGCAGGTGTGTGATGACAACTACAGTTGATTTGGGAGGTGCCAGGTCAGAGTACAGAACACCAAGGAGCAAGGATAAAATCTGGCATCAAGGATCAACCAGGCTTTTAGGAGATGATGACCCAGATTGGGTTTTGCATTTTGAGGGAAGGGGATGTTTCCTAAGACAAAACATTCTAAAAAAAAAAATGTTCTCTGGGCAGTCTGAACATATATTTACTAATGGCAGTAAAAACTGTTACAGCCCTTTTGGAATGACATCTGGCCATAAGAATCAAGTACTTTTTAAATATTCACACATTCTGACCTGCTAGTTTCACTTTCTGGTGTTAGTATGTTGTCTATCACATACTAAGCCTCAATAAGATCAATAATGAGATAGTAATAATTAGTAAACAGGGGGAAAACTGATAACCTATTTTTGTATCCCAGATAGCTCCCCACCACACCTCCCATCACTGTACCAAAAATAAATTGCCAATTGTCATCTGGTTAAAGAACGACTTAAGCAGTACTCTTTCATTACCCTGTGGTTCAGGGGTCATATCAACTAGAAAGAAGTATTCAGACGAAAAAAAATGGAAGACATGCAGATGTGTCATTTAGGATGAAAATTCCAATTCAATTTAAGGCACAACTTAGTCATTTCTGGGCACAGAGCTTTGGTTTCCCTTATGTCACAGGCTAGCATTTTGAGAATTTATGGTTCTGTGATGACAGAAAAGTGAGATACAAGAGAATCCAATTTATTCCCTAAAGGGATTGTTCCATCTCCTAGGTATAAATTGCACCCGCAATTGGGTGGAGAGTGTTTATGTTAGATAATAAATTTTGGAAATAGGGACTTGGGTCGTAAGTTAACGTCAGAGAAACTGGAATGAAATCTGAGAGCAGAATATGAAAGCAGGAAACAAATCTTTAAAAGGATCCAATAAATTAGAAACTGTTTTACAGAAGATGTTCAAAAGCAAGACGATGAATGTGGCATCAGTAAATCGGGTCAGCATTTTGGAAATGTCAGCACAAAGTGAGAACAGTAAGATGGTTAAAGCTTTATTCCCGTGTTCTCCCTCCAGCTCTGAATCTCTTCCCCAAGTGGAATCTTTCATTCGTTAATCTAGGCACTCAATACACAATAATGGGAACGTTTCAAAGCTTGGGCATTAAGAACAAAGACATTAAGATGGAAAAAAAAACCCTCTACCCTTGAGAGGCTTCAATCCTTGTGGAAGGAGATCATTGGATATTGATAATAGCAGATAGCATATTTGGGCTGTTACCTCCAGGACATGCCAGGACACATTCACACACATGCACACACACACACACACACACAGGCACACAAAGGCACACAGTTGCATATATTTATATCATGTTACAATCCAGTGCAGCCTCCCTTTCCCCATCTTGAAAGTGAGGAAAATGTAGGGCTAGAAAAGGTATGAATAATAACAGAGACAGGTAGTGACAAAGTGCTCTGAGACTTCTAAGGAGTGGGTTAACACATATACTTTATGTTTTGCCTGGGCTCATACAGAAGCTGAGCTTTGAAGTCTGAATAGGATTTTGATAGGTACAGATGGTGGAGAACATTTTTTCAGGAGGAGGAATTAACACAGGAAAGGGGTTGGCAGATTCATTGATCAGCAAATGTTCTACGTGGGCTCACTTCAAGTCTTCTTGTGCAGGACCTTGAGTGCAAGGTTATTAAATGTGTGCTTTATCTTGTAATAATTGCCATAAGCATTTTTGAAACCGTTCCTTAAAGTCAGATTGGGGTTAAGAGCAGGAAATTAAAGAGGAAAATGGTGTATTTTTCCATATTTATAGGTTGGTGATACTACCCATGGAACTTGCTGTTCTATTCCTCATGCTCAACCTGACAGCTTGTGCAGTCTTGGAAAAGCTGAGCTATTCATTCATCCACTCACTCATCTACCCATCCATCCACCCATCCACCCATCCATCCACTCATCCAACCACTCATCCAACCCTCCCTCCCTCCCTCCCTCCCTCCCTCCCTCCATCCACCTGTGCACTCAATAGTGATGTACCAAGCACCTACATCATGCCAGTCTAATGATGCAGCAGTGAACTAATGATCAAGTTTCTGCCATCTTAGTGCATATGTTCTAGTGGAGGGAGGCAAACAACAAAGAAAAATCTGTGTATGTAACATGTCAGGCAGTGATAAGTGCTGTGAAATACTATAGGAGCACAGAAAGGGCCACAGGAGGGGGTCTGTTTTGCTGCTGTATTACAGAGACCAGAGAAAGACCTCTCTGATACAGGGACATGTGAGTAAAGAGCTGGAGGAACTGAGGGGTGAGGTGGCAACATTTCCAGGCGGAGGTATGGAGGCTCCAAGAGGAAGTGTGCTTGGTTGCCTCAGGAACAGCGAGCAGACCAGTGCAGCTGGAGCAACATGAATATTGGGAGAGTGGTAGGAGGCCAGGCCAGGGGGAAAGGTGAGACATGAGGTAATAGGGACTTATCAGCCTCTGCTTTTACTCTGAGAGAGTGGAAAGCTATTGCCAGTTTTCAGCAGTGAAGAAACATGGTTCAATCTATGCTTTCGATAGAGGAGCACACTGGCTGCTTTTTAGAGGATCATTCAGGCTGCTGTGTGGAAGATGGACTACAGGCAGGAGGAGAGTGAAGCAGCCTTTCTACCTACAGGTGATGAGAAGGCAAGGCTCTTGCTGGAGATCAGAGGAATATTCCAATGGAAGCTCAGATAACCCGCCGTATACCTCTTTTGGCCAAACCAGCCACAGTTCAGTTGCCTGGAAAGACAGACTCAAAGAACACTTGTCCATTTCAAAAATTCCATTGTGAAGTGCCAGACCCAGTGCCACGTTCTGGGATGACAGAATTAGGGCACAACCATGCCAACCTGAAAAGCACTCCATGGGGGCAGAACCATGCCAGCCTTCAAAGTACTCCATGCCCAGCAGGGAAAAGACTAGATACGCTCACAGATTACAATAACAACGAAGACAGTGCCAAGTGCTTTGAGAGGGAAAGCCCTATGTCAAGAGAATGTCACTGGACCAGCCAGAGGAGGGAGTGCAGGTGAGATCAGACACCCTTTGTAGAATAGACCGTGTGTGCGCTCTACTGTGAGGGGCTGGTTGTTGTCTGATAATTGGAGATGTGGGGTGTTGGGGCCATTACTGATGCAAGAGGTACACAGCATGTTTTATGGTTTTATAGCTGGGAGAGAATGAAGCTGGAAAGCTGGAATAAAGATGTGGGGTTTTTAAAAGTTAGCTGGGCATGGTGGCACATGCCTGTAATCCCAGCTACTCGGGAGGCTGAGGCAGGAGAATCGCTTGAACCAGGGAGGTGGAGGACGCAGTGAACCGAGATTGTGCCATTGCACTCCAGCCTGGGCAACAAGAGCAAAACTCCGTCTCAAACAAACAAAAACAACAACAACAAAAACAAAAGCTGTGGTAAAATACACATAACAGATAATTTAGCACCTTAACAGTTTTTAAGAGTATTAAGTCCATTGTCAATGCTGTGCAACCAATCTCCAGAACTCCTCATTTTGCAAAACCGAAATTCTGTATCCACTAAACAATTCACTCCTCTACCCAGTCCCTGGTAACTGCCATTCTACTCTGTCTCTATGATTTTGACTATGGGTACTAGGTACTTCATATAAGTAGAATCATACAGTCTTCGTCCTTTTGTGACTGGCTTCTTTCACTTAACATAATATCTGCAAGGTTCATATATGTTGTAGCATGTGTACATCTATGCAGCATGTAGAATGATATTGCATTGTATGGTTGTATCACATTTTGTTTATCCATTCGTTGGTCAATGGACACTTGGCTTGCTCCCACCTTTTGGCTATTGTGAATAATACTGCTGTAAACTTAAATGTACAGATATCTCTTTGACACCCTGCTTTCAGTTCTTCTGGGTATATATTCACAAGTGGAATTGCTGGATCATATAGTAATTCTATTTTAATTTTCTATTTTTATTTTTGATTTTATTTATGGTGTCATCCAGGCTGGAGTGCAGTGGCATGATCGTGGCTCGCTGCAGCCTCGACCTCCCAGTCTCAAGCAACACCCGCACCTCAGCATCCCAAGTATCTGCGACCATAGGTGTGTGCCATCATGCCCAGCTAATTTTTCTATAGAGATGGGGTCTCACTATGTTGCCCAGGCTGGTCTCAAACTCCTGGGCTGAAGTGATCCTCCGACCAAGGATCAATGGCATAGGCCATATTGCTTGGCCTATTTCAATTTTTTTTGAAGAACGTCTGGACTAGAATTCTGTAATAAAGAGCTTAAACTGGACTAGAATTCTATAATAAAGAGCTTAAACTGCTGGACTAAGGAATTCTGATTTTATTATATAGGCCATGGGAAAGCAATGGTGTACTCTGGGAAGACATACATAGCGGGTATTCTAGGAGGGTAAAGATTTAGGTCGGGGTAGATCATTAGGAGATGGCTACAAATATTAATATCATGTGATACACATATAAAACATAATGTCAAAATCAGCATTGCAGTTTGGAAGATGCTAACCATTAGAATTAACCTTTCATATTCATACTAATTGAGGTTGCTTCCTTTTTTCACCACCATGAAACGAACTTGAAAATTATAAATGTTTTGGTGCAGAAACTAAATTTATCTCTGGAATAGTAAACAAGCTTACTTTAATGTATGAGAGACTTCATCATCATCAAGATGTATAGAACACATTTTTAAGCAATAAAAATTGTATGTTGGGAGCGAGGAACTCTCCGTGGTGCTGAAAATAGACATTTTACTTGTGTTCCTCGATTTAAAGTTGGAATCGCAGATATGAAGGCACAAATAAGTCATAGACAGTCAGCTAAGCCCCAGACATTGAATGAATAAATTTCAGCCTTTATGCACTCATGATCTATTTGTAAATTGTCAAGTGCCCCAATTCTTCCTCTCCCATTCCAACATCCACTGAAATTCAAAACCCTCCTGGTTCACCTCTCTGCCTCAATGCATCACCATCTCTCATTTGGGCTAATTGATGCGCCTTTGGATAACTAAGGGTACAGGTAGAAGACAGAAACCACCATGAGTCTTTGAAACAGAGGGCACTTTGTACAAGAAATTAGTGACACAGATGCCTTTCTTCTGTATTGTGGAGCAAATGGGATGATGGAACAGCCCTGAGATTAGCAGCAGCCAGGTCCCTGCAGTGGAAACTAGACCTTCAGAAGACCTGCTTGGTGAAAGCCTGACAGCCACCACGGAGGCAGGGGCTGTTTGATAAAAGCTGGAAAAACAGCAATGGAAGAGATGCATTTCTTCCAGAGGCATACCCAAAGAAGGCTGGGGTGAATACCCTGAATCCTCCCCAATTTCCACTCTCTAGTCTTCCATCTGTGCCTTCCCTGAGGCAAAGGCACCTGGACACTGGAGATCTGATCACTACCAGGCACATGACTAGTATAACCTTGTCTCTATGGTTATACTTAGTGCTTTCATCAATTCAACCTCCATACTGCCTGGGTGATTTCCCAAAAACTTTGTTGTGTTGTCACTCCAAACTCAGGCATTATGCCCTGCATGACAGCTACCATGACTTCACAGGAAACACATTGGAGATCTCAGTGCTTTGCCCTCTCTGCTGCCAAAGCATCTCACATACAACCACATTCCTGCCATCTTCACTTAACACATTTCTTCCACTAGGTTTCTGTCCCATGTTCTCATCATCAATATATCCCCAAAGCCTAACACGGTGCCTATCAGGAATGTTTAAAGGGTGAGCATAGAATGCAGTCATGAAAGTATACAAATTTTATAAATACATCTTTTATATAGATGTTTCAACAGTTTGAATTTTAACTTTAAAGGGTCTTGCATCATTTAATTTAATTTATGCACCTATTATTTCGCTTTGGCTATATTTTATGATTCCACTTTTTTTAGAGGTGTAGAAAATAAAGATTCAGAAGCTATGACTTGCCAAGGCCACAGGGTGATCCAGGGTTGGCACCAGATCCTGCCACTGATGTGTGACTGAGAGTCCAAAGCCTTGATGAGCTGTGTCCTGTGGGTTCTGGGCAGATTTTAACCATTAAAGGCAGACTCCAGACTTGGTGCCAGGTTCATGTCTTAGCTCAGTTACTAAGCCTGACATTGCTTTTTTTTAGAAATTACAGGGCTTGTCAAAGGCTGAGGCTTTTAGGCCACAATAGAATGACTTTTAGATCAAGACTATGAAGATCAGCTGGAGCAAACATGCTCTAATCAGCCAAAGAATTATGGGTGGAGAAAAGCATTTTTGAGCCTTTGTATTGTGACTATTTTTTGTTTTCTTTATTAATAGACGTGCTTGCTAATTGTGACACATGTCCTCTTACCTATGGGGGTTCTGCTGTGTGAGAGATTTTCCTTTGAAGTGTTTACCCATTATTTGCCATAGAAGAATCCAATTTTCATTGCTAATTAAATAATCTTAGTTACCGAGAAGGAAAACTCCCTCCTGGCATATTCAGATGAAATCAGCAGTTTCAAAATATGTATTCTCTCTCTATCCCTACTAAGTAGGTTAAGGTTCTGTCAATATTTACATAAACTAATGAATTATGAGAGATATATTGATCCATCCCCCTGCTGGAGGCATCCTTTTGAAAAAAAAATCAAACCATATCACTTTGCTTCTTAAAAACATTCACTGACCCCCCCCACTGTCCACAGGACAAAGTCTTAATGCCTTAGCACTGTCATTCAAATCCTTCAAGATTTGACCCCCTTAATTCTCACTTTTCCCACTGGTGCTTTAAGCTGCCAGGGTACAGCATCTTGTCATAATTGTTTGCACAAAAATTCAGAATGATAGAAACCCAAATCAAGCCAGTTTAAGAAAAAATAATTTTATTTTAGAAATAAAGTTCAGCATATCTGTTATTATTATTATTGGGCCTCAGTGAAAGAGAGAGAGAGAAGGGGAAAGAGACAGATCCTGCTTTGCAGGTCCCTGCTAGCTTCATTTGTCAAACATGCACTCTTCAGTGGGCTGGCAACATGCCTGCCAGCAAACCCCCACTGCCTGTGTCCAGCTGGGCCATTACAGTGGAAGGGGGTTTCTCTTTCACCAAATTCATATACCAACCCAAGAGAAGACTCTGATTGGTTATTTTTGAGTCGCACAACTAGCCAAGAGAAAATTCTGATTGGTTCTGCCTGAGTCACGTGACTATCCCTGAATGAGTTGAACCACGTACCACCTGTCTGGTGGGCTGTGCCCCAGGGACAGCCCCTCTAGAATCATATTCAGTAGGGAGAGGGATCCCCAAAGGAGCTAGAAGAAGAGAGCAGGAAATCATGCTAAGCAGAAGAAAAATGCTACTCCAGTCCCAACCCACACATATACCTTCAGGCCTCCATGTGTTCACAATGGTCTTTCAGCCTGAATGTCTCACTTCTAGCATTCTAGCAACCCTGCCTGGAAAAAAATGTTATTATTATTAATTATTATTTAGATGGAGTTTTTGCTCTTGTTGCCCAGGCTGGAGTGCAATGGTGCAATCTCGGCCCACTGCAACCTCTACCTCCTGGGTCCAAGCGATTCTCCTGCCTCAGCATCCCGAGTAGCTGGGATTACAGGCATCCACCACCACACCCGGCTAATTTTTGTATTTTTAGTGGAGATGGGGTTTCACCATGTTGGCCTGGCTGGTCTCAAACTCCTGACCTCAGGTGATCCACCCACCTCGGCCCCCCCAAAGTGCTGGGATTACAGGCATGAGCCACAGCATCGGGCCAAAAAATATTATCTCTTTAGTAAGCCTTACCAAATTCTACTGAACAATGTAATTACTTCCCCTTCTATGTTTTCACGGAACTTTGGCATACTTCTGTAATAGAAAAGATTTATTTACGTATCTGCCTCCTCCACCAGACCAAGGGTTTACTCATTTGAACTGTTTGGTGCATTTTGCACTCTTCACTGTGTCACACAGTGCCTGGCACACAGTAGGTTCTTGGTGTGTCCAGAGGAAGTGAGGGAATTGAGCAATTAGAACCTCTAACATTTCTCTAAAGGAAACTAAATATAACCTCTTTTTATTCTTATTGTAGAAGTCTGTCAATGTTCTCACCATTCATTCTGTTCACCTGCATTCTTAAAAAGCTGCATATCAAATAACACTCTGTTTTACAGCAGTGAAATTAGAGTCTGGGCTGGAGAGGAAACTTTCATGTTTGCAAACCTTCAACCCCACCAGTTGCATGAAAGTACAAAGAGTTTCTATTGAAAGTGGAAGCAGGTGGCATTCTCAACATTTTAACACCCATTTTCCCGTGGAGCATTGAAAAGTTAACTTGGGAGCTTGTCTTTGCTGTTGATGTTACTCATTTTTCAAAAGGGACTGATGAGTGAGTCACTGGGGAGAGGAAGTTACAAACGCGAGCGTGCATGTGTTTGCATGTCACAAAGGTATGCTGTTAACAATCAGGCCGAGGGCGTGGGATTTTAAAGGGCAGCGTGAGAAAGGACTTGATTTAGAGATTGTGACTCAGCACTCCACACTCCTCAGTGTTTACAGATGTGCCTGAAGAGTTGATGGGCAACTCACAGTTGCGCAGACTCTGGATACTTCCTCCTGCCGTGTATTTATTTCTGTAGGATGCATGCCTACCTGGAACCTACTTACAAAAGAAACTAGGCCAACCTGTCAATGGAAAGAGAGCAGGAGAGGTGGTGAGCCAAGGGCCCTTGATCCCCCACCTATTGGCTGTGCTCCGAGCAGAAAGTGGCCTCAATCCCCTGGGCCTTGATAGAGTTGGCATCCCTAAAAATGGGGATGGGGATGACAGCCTCAGAATTGCTGTGAGGGTTGAAGCAATAAAGGGAAAGAGTGCTGAGACTTGGGTGTGTTCCTTCACAGTTCATTCTGTTTGCTCGCACCTTCTTCCTCTTACCTTCCCAAAGGGTTTGACAAGGAGGAAAAATTAAAACAGAGTGGAATATTTATGAAGTAAAGCTTGAGCTTGGAGCTTGGCTCTGCCACTTGATCTCTGAGTCACAGGAACAAGCTTATTAATCTCCTGGATACTCATTTTTTTCCGTTGCTGACAGTGGAGATGAGACAAGATAACACAGAAGATTCTGGATGCTTTGGAGGTGCCAAGGCAACACCCATGAGGGAAAAATGTGCACAGCAACCCTACCGAGGAGGGCAAGAGGCACGGGTGGCCCAGTCACCCGGCCCAGGCGATGACTCAAATGGCTTATTAATGGGCTCTTTGCAAACATCACATTGAGTGAAAGCCCTGGGCATTTCACAAAAGCAGACATGGGTCAAAATCCTGACCTTGTCTTTGTTGAGCTTGATGCCAGATTCCTTGACTACTGAGTTTGGAAAGCAAATCTGAGTAAACGATATCAGTAGTGGCCCTGATGGTAGCTGCCATCCGTTGCGTACCCAGTGTGTTACAGGGTTCTACTGGGTGCATCCTGTGTACCTTCTCATATAGTCCCCACCACTACCTGGTTTGTTGCATTCTTAGCCACACCCCTCCCATTTAGCAGCTATGAGCATTAAGGCCCAGAAAAGTTAAGTAGGTTGTAGAAGATTAAAATGATAGTAAGTAGTGAAGGGAGTTTAAACTCACATCTGCCAACTCCAGTGTCCTCCACCTCCCCTTCTCTCCATGTTTAGATTTTAATTGCAGAAGAAAAAAAAGAAAAACTTCTTTTTCTCCTGGAAAGAATTCACATTTCCCCCTAGAACTAAGCTAAAATAGAAATGTAACACACGGGCCTTTCGTAAGACATTGAAGTTGCTCTTGTCACCGTCCAGTGAAAGGTCGGTTAGCCTCATGGTTTGGAAATACCACAGGGCAGCTCCAGGATAGTTCTTTATGCCTTTTGATTTGTCAAACAGAAGAGGAAAGATGCTTAAATGTGTGGTTGCACAGACAGAACTGGAGCAAAAGGGTGAACGTGACGGGGATGGTGGGTGGACTCTGCATCAGGTAGAGAAGGGTTTTGAGCTATCCATTCCTGTAGCCAACACTCTTTCGAGACTGCAGCTTGCTCCTTATTGACCACATGTTAGTGGAGGCTGGGGGGTCGCTGAGTAGGATGCTGTAGAAAGGACGGGTATGTGAATGGAGCATAGGGCTGGAAGGCCAGCAGACTCAACTGCCTCAATGCTAAAGCTCCCTCTGGCTTGTTGATATCAACCCAGTCAAGCCACCCATAGGGCTGCTAAACCCTGCTGAGTACAGGTCAACTTTTAAAAGAAGAATGTGCGCATGGCCAGTTTATTATGTGATCTCTGCCACTGGTCTATTTAAATAAAATAGTCTTTATTTTTATTGTATCCTTTCCCGTTTGTGCCATGGCAAATGTCTTTTCTCTGCTGGACAGCAGAGCCCATCTTGGGTGGATTCCATTATATTCCAGAAAACTTTAATAATTACAAGTCCAATCTAGTCCAGTTTAAAACTCCAATCTCATATAAGATTCAGACCTCTCCCTGTCCACATCGCCGCCCAGGGGTGGCTTAAGGAACCTGAGGTGGGGAGGGGGCTTCACTGCTCCGTCGTTTCTTTTCCCTCTGTCTCTTACCTTGAAATGTGAGTGTGGAGGTCAGGGTCTGCCTCTGAGATACCCACCCCCGATTTCTACCTCTTCTGGGTTTCTTGCATCTCTAATGTGTAAGTCAAAGAGGGGAGAGATGGAAAGGAAATGGAAAGCAAAACCCATGTTCGTCCTTTTGCTGTTGGGTGACTGGATTTTGACATCCTCTACCCGGAGGTGTCCCAATAGTAATCACAATGGCAAACTCACCACTTGTTAGGTCTGCCTCTAAGGGCTTTGCTTTCAGTAACTCACTAATCCTCACACAACGTCATGAGTTAGGTCTACTATTATTCCTAATTATAAATAATAAGGGCTTTGCTTTCAGTAACTCACTAATCCTCACACAACGTCATGAGTTAGGTCTACTATTATTCCTAATTATAAATGATAAGGGCTTTGCTTTCAGTAACTCACTAATCCTCACACAACGTCATGAGTTAGGTCTACTATTATTCCTAATTATAAATGATAAGGGCTTTGCTTTCAGTAACTCACTAATCCTCACAACAACGTCATGAGTTAGGTCTACTATTATTCCTAATTATAAATGAGAGCACTCAGGTACAGAGAGGCACTGCAATGTGCCCAAGGTCATAGGGGATGTAAACCCAGGTAGCCTTGGTGGTCGATGGCCTCATCTCTCATGAGTCATGAGTGAGTTCTTAAGAGGGCTGGCAGGGACTGCTTGGCATGAGTATTCCAGGGTGAACCCTCCATCTTCCACCTTCCTGCAGTTCCTGTCCTCTGAAAAACACCCCAGAAATCCACTGCTGGTGTCCTCTTGCCTGGGGACACTGTGCAAGCCCAGCTAAATGCTTTCATATGCTCCGCAGGAAGCTCATTCATCCTTGCCATGCCAGATGCTGGGGCAGAGGAGGGGTTGCTTTCCCACTCTCCTCTTCTCTTCCTTGCTGTGGCAAAGATGGCTACTGTCCTCCAGCAGCTGTCCTTCCCATGGTCTGTAGTATTAGAATTGTAGCTGGGCATGTGGACACAGAGCTGTCCACATCGCACCCCACAATCCCTGCCTCCCTTGCATTAGCTGTGATTGTGTGACTGGGTCCTAGCCAATGAGGTGTGAGCGGAAACATGGCAAGGCAGCTTCTAAGAACTCCTTGAAGATCTGGCTGACACTTACTCTTCGCCTCTCCTCCCACTCTTCTTCCATCTCGCTGCTTGGATTGGAGATATGAGGCCCAGAGCTTCATCCTAGTGGGTAGAGAACCACACCCTAAGCATGGCAGAGTGAGCCTGGTTCCCCCAAAGATTTCACAGTGCCCAGCTGAGGGACCAGCTCCAAATCATTTACCTCTAGATTTCTACATGAGAGAGACATAAATTTCTTCCTTTAGTTAAGCCACAGTCATCTAGGAGCCAAAACTAATTCTTGCTCATCTGTCTACATCTCATTTTCATTCTTTCTTCTGCTGCTTAGATCAGCAGAGGGCAGGCAGCAGGCTCACTGCCCAAGAAACCATGCAGCCAGGGGACAGAATGCAAATCATCAGTTCTTGCAGGCAGCTCTGATGTCTACCTGTGGGACTCTTTAGCCCCTCTCTTGGCTTCAGAAGGTGGGCGTCCTCATGGGCAGGGGAAGAAAAGGTATAGCTCCTTCTTCATGCTGACACATCATGCCTGCTTGTTTCTGCTCTACCCTCATGGTCTTTGTATTAATACATGAGAGTTTGGGGTGAGGGGTGAATGGTTGCCAGGCATCAGACCAATTGTGCCAAGATTTGATGCATCCCTTCCTTGAGCCTGGTGGCCAGGCAACATGAGGATTTCAATCATGATCCTATTAGGTGCAGTTTCCAGATACAGGCTAAGAGTAATCATCAAGGTAGCTATCAAAGAGTATATTTTTTTTGTTTGTTTGTTTGTTTTTTTTTGAGACGGCGTCTTGCTCTGTCGCCCAGGCTGGAGTGCAGTGGCACGATTTCTGCTCACTGCAAGCTCCGCCTCCTGGGTTCATGCCATTCTCCTGCCTCAGCCTCCCGAGTAGCTGGGACTACAGGCGCCACCATCACGCCCGGCTAATTTTTTGTATTTTTAGTAGAGACGGGGTTTCACCATTTTGGTCAGGCTGTCTCGAACTCCTGACCTCAGGTGATCCGCCTGCCTCGGCCTCCCAAAGTGCTGGGATTACAGGCGTGAGCCACCACGCCCGACCCTCAAAGAGTATATTAAGCAGAATTATATGGAGCAATTCATCATATAATTATATGGAGCAATTCACCAGGCTGCAAGCTCCTTGCAGACATCTTGTTCGCTGTGGTATTATCATTGGCTGACTTGGTACCTGCCACATTGGAGCTGCACCATATTTGTGAATGAATAAACACATCAATGAATATATTCTTTAGAAACTCTTTGGAGAGAGGTAAATCCTAAAGAGTGACTAATGACATCAATGGGTAAAGATGGTTGTGAAGAGAGTGAGTCAGAGGTTTGTTTACACTTCTGTAATGATGAACAATCTTATTCAAGCAAATGGGAGCCCCACGTCAAGCCCAGTGTTCAGTGTGTAAAAGAAGCTTCTGGGCTTGGATGCTTCCAAGAAGCAGGTGACACAGAGCAAAGTCACTGGACTTCACTGCCACAGAACGTGGGTTGGAGCCCTAGTGTTGCTATGTACTGGCCATGGGACCTCAAATGAGGTTTTCACCTCATCTGTTAAAAAAAATTGTTTAAAAAAATTATTCTGACAGCCGGGCATAGTGGCTCATGCCTGTAATCCCAGCACTTTGGGAGGCTGAGGTGGATGGATTGCTTGAGCCCAGGAGTAATCCCATCTCTACAAAAAATAAAAATAAAAAAAATTAGCCAGATGTGGTGGTGCATGCCTGTAGTCCCAGCTACTCAGGAGGCTGAGATGGATGGATCACTTGAGCCTAGGAGGTCGAGGCTACAGTAAGCCATGATCATGCCACTGCACTCCAGCCTAGGTGACGAAGCAAGACACTATCTAAATATATATATATGTGTGTGTGTGTATATATATATATATGTATATATATGTGTATATATATGTATATATATGTGTGTGTGTGTGTATATATTCTAACACTTGTTAAAATGGTAGGGAAGACTTTATTCAGGACTATTGCAGTGAGTGTAAAGTTTATCACAATGTTGCAGAGAAATGGAATTTAGCTCAGAATCACAGCAAAGACAGCTGGGATTACAGCCAATGAGCAGAAGGAGGGATCAGTAGATGGAAAATGACTAAGAGGAGACATCAAGGTAGGGAGCTTCTTGATAAACTGACTTAACAGGATTCCTGCTAAAGACAGGCCAAGGGCTTATACATCAAAGGTAGGGGAGGAGGAATTGGATCAGATATGGAGGGTGATCCAATATCAAAGGTGAGGGTTTCTTGCTAAAGTGACTTAGCAGGAATCTTGCTAAAACTGGATTTAGCAAACCAAAGATGGGTCTCGAGGATGAGGCCTAGGAGAAAAGCAGGTTCAGGGGAGCCTGTCTAAAGTTTGGTTAAGGAGAGAGTCTTTGTCATTCCTGAGCCTGATTCTTGTCTTATTTCCCTCGCGCGGTTGTTGTAAAGACAACACCAGGCCCAGCCGGCTGAAGGGGAGGTGGGAGGCTGGAATCCAGCCCTGGCTGTGCTCTGCGTGCCAAGCAAACATTTGCCAAAGGGGCCAGATCATAAATATTTCAGGCTTGCATACCACAGGGTCTTTGTCAAAATTACTCAACCCTGCCACTGCAACAAGAAAGCAGCCGTAATAAACAGTGCATCTGTGAACAGCATTGACTGAGTTCCAATGAAACTGTATTTCCAAAATCAAGACTTGAGCCCCAGGACAGAGTTTGCTGACCTCTCTCTCTGGAGGGAGTCTTTTCCCAATTCAGACAAAAGTACTGTGTAAGCTCATTTCCCAGGTGGTGGCAATACCCCATGGGGCTGAAAGCACCTCCATGCAGAACACACACAGGTGACTGCAGAGATGTCCTTCTGGGCACAAGCCACTTCTCTCCAGCCCTGGAAACAGGCCAGGATGTGGGCTGCATTGGTCACACTCATGCCTGCAGGCAGGCGAGCAGATACAGCAGATGGCACAGAAGGGACAAACACTATAACCTTAGCCAACAGCTGAGCAACCCCTTGGAGGAGAATGCATACCTGCAGTCAGAAGGGCTTACATGTGAGAAAGTAAAGTCAAAGGATTGGGGACCGTGGCAAGCAGCAACAGAACAGTAAATGTGGAAACAGAGAGTCAGGTGCAGATTCTGATGAATGTCTGACCCATGAGTGAAGGAGGAGCAGCACCTTTTGAATCATGCTGTAGCTCTGGGTACTTCCCTGGGTCCTGCCATCTCTGTCCAGCCGGGCTGTAGGTGGACTTGGTTAATTTACCGAAAATGCCATGATGGTGCTGTCATTCTTTTTGCAGGAGCCCTGAAGCTTCAGGTAGCCCAGGACTCCCGACCTCTCACTCCCTTAGCACACATTCACATTCGAGACACGGCCATTACTATTCAATATTACCATCCTATTAAGGAAAGTGTCAGTAATCTAATATTTCATCATACACTAGACCAAAAATTTCAGAATGTTTAAAAAGGAGAAGATGACAACTCTGTTCCCATCTTTTCTGGGTCAGTGGACTATTTAATAAAATTTCAGCTCTACCTGTATCATTACAGTAATAACTGCATCTACACACTTCGAGCTCGTGGCCTCAGCAGGAGAAAGTTGGGGGGGGGGGCGGTTATTTCAGACTAATAGGTCCAGCTCTTCCTTTCTGCCACGCATCAGTATTTCTTTCTTGAATTCAGATTGATTTTTGCAAGGGATTTTATGCTATGGAGCATGAAAGCCTAGTTTTCTGCCATGAGCCCAATAAAGTTTATGATTGGGTTCAGCATGGTTGAGCCTCTTCAGGACATAAGACCCATGACCCAAATGAGGAATCCTCATTTCATTCATTTGAAGTCAATAAAGATTGAATATTGAATATATGTCAAGTATTTCATTCACAGCAGTTGGGAGTCGTGATTGGAATTGCTGTGGGGTCAGCCTATAAAGCCAGAAAAAGCTTTGTGGAGGGTGGGGAGGGGAGAAAGCTTTGAAACTGTGATTTGGCCTCAAGTGGGACTCAAACAGAAAACAGAGTAAGGAAAGGATGCTCTGGTTTCTAGGCACTCATGCATATAGCTCGCCCAGCTATATTAGGATTCTCCAGAGAAACAGAACCAATAGGATATGTGTGTAGGAAGGAAGGTTTACCATGAGGAATTGGCTCAGATGACTGTGGAGACTGGCAAGTCCCAAGATCTGCAGTGGGAGCCAGCAGGTTCAACACCCATGTGATCCAATGGTGTAGTTTCTGCCTGAAAGCTGGCAGATTCAAGACCCAAGAGAAACCCCCATGTTTCAGTTTGAGTCCGAAGGTAGTAAAAAGCCAATATCTCAGTTTTAAGGTAGTCAGGCAGAAAAAACTCCCTTTTTCTCAGGGGAAGATCAGACCTTTTGTTCTAGCCAGGCCTTCAACTGATCGGACAAGGCCCACCCCCTCTTAAGGGAGGCAACCTGCTTTACCCAGTCCACCAATTTAATTATGAATCTCATCCAAACACCTGGGAATCACTGGGAGCAGACACCTGCATAGCAGCCCACACACCTTTGTGTCCCCCTTATCTCCCATCTGCAGGGCCCCTAGGAAATATCTCAGGAATCCGCCTCTCTCCCCATCCCACCGATTTTGTCCCAGATCTTGACTGATGCAGTCTTCTCTGCCATTCTCACTCCACACAGCAAAGTGCTGTCTCTGCAATCTGAGTATGTGGGTCCCCCATGATCATGCTTCCAAGATGGTTTCAACCTTTGTGATTTCTGCTCTATCTACACACCAACAAATACTACCTACTGTAATTGAATTGTGTTCCCCCAAAAGTAATGTCCACCTGAGACCTCAAAAATGCAACCTTAATTGAAAATAGGATCTTTGCCGGTAAGAATAAGGATGAGGTCATACTGGATTACAGTGAGCCCTAAATCCAATGACTGATGTCTTTATAAGAGACAGAAGAGGAAATGCAGAGGGGAGAAGGCCATGTGAAATGGAAGCAGGGAAGTGAGTGATGCAGCCACAAGCCAAGGAATGCCAGGAACCACCAGAAACTGAAAGAGGCAAGAAGAGTTCTCCCTTAGAACTTCAGGGTAACACCTTGACTTTGAAATTCTGGCCTTTGTATTTTGAAGCCACTCAGTCATGGTCATTTGTTACAGAAGCCCTAGGAAACTAATTCTCTATCTTCATGATTTTTGCTTTATCTGGAAATCATCTGTACTACTATTTGAATAACATTCTATAATAGACAAAATGCTTTTTGCTAAGATAAGTGTGTTTCAAAAAGACGCTTCACATCAGTCCCTTAAAGAGGAAAGAGTTTGTCATAAATATAAGGACTAATAATAGAATGGATTGATGTCTTAGCCCATTCAGGCTGCTGTGACACAATACCTTAGACTGGTTCATTGATAAACAACAGAAATCTATTTCTCACAACTCTGGAGGGAGGAAGTCCAAGACTGAAGAATCAGTGTCTGGCGAGGGCCTGCTCCCCATAGAAGATGCTTCTGTATGTCCTTAAGTGGTAGAAAGGGCAAGGCACCTCCCTTCAGCGTCTTTTATAAGGGTATTAATCCATTCACGAGGGTGGAGTCTTCACAGCTTAATCATCTCCTAAAGGTTCCACCTCTTATACTATTGCATTGAGGCTCATGTTTCAACATATGAATATTGACGGGGGCGGGGGGGGAACACCAACGTTCAAACCACAGCAGTGAGCATAAAAATAAATACAGTGAGACCAGAAAAATGCTGTTAAGTGCCAGCTAACACCACTGCCTGCCAAGGGTGCCTGACAATGTCTGTTCTTTCTTCCCTAAAAGCGGAGATTAGCAAGCGTCCAAAGTTAAGGAGATACTAGAGTCCAATTGAGACTCCTCTTTGAGGTAATTAGAAGGATTGAGTAGGAATTTCTAGAGAAGAACCTTCTCCTCCCATGAGCCAAGGAACCAATGAACCCGAGTGAGGTCAATGTGAGCGCCTGTAAGTCCCCTCCCACCCCTGGTGGTCTCACCATCTGGCTTCTGAAACTCCAGGCGCCCAGCCTGCCATGCACACCCTTCCGTGATCTTGCCACCCCAACTGCTGTCCAGCCTCGTCCCCCACTCTGTCTGCTGCATCCACCCCCAGTCCTTCCAGCTCACTTGCAATTTCACAGCCATGCCCTTCTGCTATTCCCCACCATGCCTGTACACAGCCTGCTCCTAGAGCCCCCACACTGACCCAGGAACACACAGACCCCTCTGCTTCCACGGTGCTCTCTGCCCCAAACTCCAATAATTTGGATAGTAGACTTGTTGATAAATCTGCTATTTTTCTTTATCATTTTTCTCTTATTTTTCCATCTCTGGGACTTTTTACCCTGCTTTCTGAGAAATTTTCTTGACTTCATCTTCCAAACATTTCTATGAATTTTTTTTCAGTTCACATATACTTGATTTCCAAGAGCTCTTTCTTGTCCTAAAATTACTTCTTTTTCATCACATCTTCTGTGTTTTAAGAACACAATATCTTCTCCTACCTCTCTGAGGATATTAATTCGAGTTATTGTGAAGTTTCCTCTTTGCTGCCTTTGTTTCTGTTTCCTCTGAGGTCCTTTTCTCCCTTTGTTTTGGCCTCTGTTTTTTGAAGGTTTTCCTCAAATGTCTACTGATGACTGTTCCTCAGTATTAAGAATGAGACGGTAGAAAGTTGATGGGTCAGTCTGGGGCGGGGAGTGCTCCACAATGGAGAATCAAGCAGCAAGAGCCTGGAGGGCAGGTTCCTCTGTGGGATGATGAGGAGGGCAGGGAAGGAAGTAGGGGTTGGAGACACCACTCACAGTTCAGACCTTGGCTTACTCCCCTACCCACTTACAGCCTATGCCCACCTCCACCCTCATCTCTGCATGTCCCAGCACCACAGGACTGCAGAGTAGATTTGTGAGTCCAACACTCTGGACGCAGAGTTCCCACTATCCAGCCCCCAGCACACCCCATCTTCAGTGGTCCCCTCCCCTTCTAGGTCTGGAGATTTTCCAGGTCCTGTGGGGGTGCTCTGCTTTGCTGGCATCCCCTCTGAGAGCCCAAAAATCAGAGTTCCTCCACTCCGCCGGACCAGGTTCTCCATCTGCTTTTGCTTTTTAAACACGTGCTATAGGAGTTCCTCCTTTGTCCCTGTGGATTTATGCTTCCTTTATTCTTTTACAGTCTTGCTGGGGGACTCATTCATCGCCAAATAAATATTTACTGTATGGCAGGTGCTCAGATAGCACTGAGCAAAAATACAAAAATATCTACCTGCCAGGACACTTTCTCTCTCTCTCTTTCTCTCTCTCTCTCCCCTGCCCCCCTCTCTCCCTCTCATTGCTCCCATTTTGGCCTAGGCGTCCACCTGCCAGACAGCAGGTTGGAGAGGATCCGCTCAGAGCACTGGCAAGACCCAGGGACCATGGACCCTACCCATCTTAGAAAGGCCAACACTTACTGAGATTTACCTCTTTCCTCCTCCATAAGGGCACACGGATCCCTGGAAACTGTCAGAAATAGGGTGATTTGTCAGCATCAGGATGATGGAAATGAGGCTGGAGGGAGCAGAGGACCCCCAGGATATTAAGCCCCATTTCAGGTCGTTGGTCAGACTTCGTGTCCACACCTCCACCCCGCACTCTCCAATGCCAAATAGACAGGTCACCACCATGTTAGAAATTCTACAGTGGCTTCTCTTCAAAAAGCCTAGCCTCCTGGGCCAGTTCTCCCCACATCCCCTCTGGCCCCATGCTCTGCCCTCGGCCTGCCCCAGCCTCCACCTCTGCCATACCCACCTGCTCTCCTGTTTGATGGTGCCCTGCAGTCTGCCCAGGGCCTCTGCCCCTGCTTCAATTTCTGGTTAGTTCCCAGCTCCAGAAAGTCCCCTCTGAGCCCTCCCTACCAAGAAGGGTCCGACTGCTACACCCCTGCCCCCAGCTCTCCCCACAGCCACCAGAGCTTCCTGGCAGCTCTCTGCACTTCATCCTGAGGACTGCAGTGCTCTATCTATGGCCAAAGGAGTCTTGATTCTAGAGGGAGTCATTGGACTTTTATATGGTATGGTGCGGTGCATCTAGAAATATTCTTTAAAAATACCCAACCCCAACGCTAACATTTCTCCATTAAAAATTCACACTTTTAAATTGAGGCACAGCAAAGAGTCTCAAATTAAAAATAACAGCAAAAGGGGTGAAATATTAAGAACTTACCTTCAAAGGGATTAGCTTCCCACATTGTGTTCCAGGCTGGCAGATGGTTAGAGAAATGGTTCCCAATTTCAGATTCAGGAAACTCTTTCTCCATGTCTGTCTTATCACAACACCTATAAGCGCCTTCTTACTCTTTTTGTCAATTCTTTTTCTTTCACTTAATGCACTTATTTTAAAGGAGGACTTTATATCAGTATCCTCAGTGGCAAACCAATCTCACCTGCTTTCCACAAAAGATATCCAGTGATATGGTTCGCCTCTATGTCCCGACCCCAATCTCATCTCAAATTGTCATCCCCATAATCCCCACGTGTCAAGGGAGGACCCAGGTAGGAGGTGATTGGATCATGGGGGTGTCTTCTCCCATGTTGTTCTGGTGATAGTGAGTGAGGTCTCATGGGATCTGATGGTTTTATAAGGCAGTTTTCTTTGCTCTTGCTCACTCTCTCTTGCCAGCCACCATGTAAGACATGCCTCTTCCCCATCTGCCATGATTGTCAGTTTCCTGAGGCTTCCTCAGCCATTTGGAGCTGTGAGTCAATTAAACCTCTCTTCTTTATGAATTACCCAGTCTCTGGTATGTCTTCATAGCAGTGTGAAAATGGACTAATACAACCATAAAAAATAAATAAAAACAAAATAGTAGTACCAAATTCTGGTTAGACTGGGTGCCCACCAAGGATTTGAGATGGATTCTACTCTCGCTTTGTATTAAAAAGGGTAGTGGGAATTAGCAAATGTTACTGAGATGTTAAAGACGTAATAGTACCAAGTTGAGACATTCTTCCTGACATAATTAGGAAAATTAAAAAGAACTGAAAAAGGAGTAACTGCCTCCCCGTCTGTCTGAGTGTTCATTCATGTCCAGTCCAGTAGCGCCCACTGGTGACAGCAGGCACTTTATGAAAGACAGACGTTAGAGGGGAGGGAAGACAGGCAAGGAGGGAACTGATGAGCGGGGACAAGGATGACAGTCCATGGTAACGGTTTTCACACTTGAGGCTGCAGATCCATCACTTGGATCTGCAAAAGGCAGACCAGTAGCCAAGCTCCTAGAGATTCTGAAGCCCTGTGCCTGGGTCGTAGCCCTGGACTTTGCATTTTATTTTATTTTTTTCCTTTATGACGTGAGTTAAATCATTTACAATTATCATGATTCCTGATACATTTGAACTTGTTTATTTCTAATTCCTATGCCCTTTATCTTTCTGTTTTCTTCTTTTTTTGCATTCTATAGTATTGATAGGGTTTGTTATGCCCTTTGTCTTCTCCACTGGTTTGGAAGCCCTTTTTTTCTAATTTTTATGGGTACATAGTAGGTGTGTATATGTATGGGGTACATGAGATGTTTTGATACAGACATGCAGTGTGAAATAAGCACATCGTGGAGAATGGACTCTGCATTTTAGTCAGCACACCTGCTGCTGGTTGGTGGAAATGTCTTTGAGAAACGCTGGCTGGGTAGATGAGTTTGTGACGGGGAGGGTTTCTTGGAGCCCCATCCCGAAGACTCGGGCTTCACTGCTGACTGGGGCTTGTGATCCTGGCACGCTGCTGCCATCCTTGCAGCATTAAAGGCGTCATCTGCAAAAGGGGTGACAATTCTACCCTGCCTCTGTGAGACCCCAGGAGATGGCTGACAAAAAGCTCTGTGGAGAGAGGTCAGGCCCTGGCTGTGCTGATGGTGAGCTCTGAAAGAGATTCCAGGGTCAACACTAAGGTCAGGGAGAAGGGAGCACCAAGGAGAGAAATCCCAGAATTTAGCCCTGAATGAGGCTGCCCCCTCCCTACCTGTTGGTCAGTGATAATGATGAGGTTGGTAGTAGCGAATGACTGGGCATCTACTGTATTCCTTAGGAGACTGTCGGCGGAGCTGGACTGGAACCCAGGTCTCCAAAGCCCGTGGCATCGGCCTTTGTGCTACCCCTGGCTGCCCTTCCCCACATTGCCTTTCTTTCCAGAACTTTCACCAGGGCCCCCTTGTATCCAGCACATGGCCCACACTCTCCAGCAGCCTTGTCTCTGTGCTGACTGCGTGCTCCCCTCCTTGATTTCAGGAAACACAGCTCCTCCCGGGCTCTCTATTCCCCAGGAGGTGTCCAGAGCAGGAGGCTCCCCCACTCTGGTACCCTACGGTCCATGGGATTCCCATCTCTCCACATAAAAGTCCTGTGAGAGAGTGCTATGGGATGGATTGTGCCCACCACCCCCAATTCATACATTGAAGCCCTAACCCCCAGTACCCCAGAATGTGATTGCATTTGGAGATAGGTCTTTACAGAGGTTATTAAGTTAAAGTGAGGTCATTAGGATGGGCCCTAATACATAAAATATGCCTGGTGTCCTTACGACAAGAGGCCATTAGAACACAGACACACACAAAGGGAAGACTGTGGGAGGACGCAAGGCAAAGATGGCCACCTGCAAGTCAAGGAAAAGGGCCTCAGAAGGAACCAACCCTGCCAACACCTTGATCATGGACTTTTGGACTCTAGAATGGTGAGAAAGAAAAGTCTGTTGTTTAAGCCCCCGGTTCGTGGTGTTTTGATATAGCAGCATTCTGTTCTTCTCCTGCTGCACTTGATAAAACTTTGGGATCACCTTGCTTTGGGATCACCTTAGCGATGACTGCCAAGCTGGGAACAGTTCAGAGCAGCTTAAGGCTATGGCACTGTGACTCCCAGGGCTGCAGCTGTAGCTACCACCGTCAGAGACAGGCCCTGAGGAAAACCACTGCCTCGATCACGGGGCTATGCTCACTGTGCAGAGCATCTCCCCAGCCCACTGCTTGCTTCTCAGGGGCAATTTGAATATGTTTATTATTCTGGTGAAGCCGCTCCTAACCAGACCCATCCTGCAGCTGGCTGTAAGCTATTTCATTATCTCTTCACTTAGCAGATAAAAAAGAAAATGGAACTGAACATGCTATGTCAGAGCAACCCCATCCCCATGGCCACGCACACCCTGATCTATTTAATCCAGGCCCTCGCTTCCCTCCCAGCCCTCCTCCCGAATCTCTCCAACGCTACCCAAGAGAATGCAAAAGGCCAGGCTTCTGCATTTAAAATTATACTATGAAATAGAAGAGCATTACTCTGAAGAGGTACAGGAATTTTCCTGATGCTATGTCTAATTTTGTGAACAGATATTTTGTTCACAGGACAAGAATCCTGTCCAAGCACCACACTAATGGGACCTTGAGCCAGCAACTTCTTGCTAAGCCCCTGATGGTGTGCAAAGCAGGAAGTGCAAGTCCCACCCCATAGGAGCAGCTGGGACTGAGTACCCATGACACGCAGATGCCTTTACCAGGGTGGCTGGTGGCACAAGGCCCCACATGAAGGAGGGTCCGTGTTTGATTTAATGCCCGGTACTTGCCATCGTGAAATCCTTAAAGCTTTGAACAAAGGGCCCTGCATTTTCTTTTTGCACTGGACTCCACCCATTTTGTAGCTGACACTGCTGTTACCTACAATCATGCAGTCCTTACAACAGCCTACAAGTAGAGCTTAGATCTTCATGGTGTGGTAAAGAAATTGAGACTCAGAGGAGGGAAGGCGCCTGTTCAAGGTCCTGCAGCTCATCATAGTTGTCAGTGCCAACGTCATCATTATCCTCTCCAGCAGCCCACCCGTCCTCCCAACTCTCTGGCCCACCGCCTGGGAAGCAATTTGCAGAGCAGTTACACAGTGTAAATGACCACGCTGATCATTTGTTTTCCTCCCATTCCTTGTCTTTCCCTACTGGAATGTAATCTCCATGCAAGTAAGAACTTGCCTGAGTTTCGTCCACTGTATTTTAAGTAGACAGTAGTGCCTGGCACACAGTAAGCTGTGAAAATGTGATAGAATGAATGGAAATAGATGATTTCCCAAGACTCCCTGGTTAGGAACTGTGCTGTGACCTTGGGTCCTTTATCTTCATTATTCTTTAGTTCTACACCTCAAGGAAGAACTGCTGTCCCTGTTTGATGGATGAGGAAGCTAGACTTAGAGCATTTAAGTCTCCAGGTCAGATTGTTAATAAGAGACAGAGCCAGGCTTAGAAACCAGGTCTCTCTGATGCTGTTGGAGGGAGCATTTTCTCATGGTATCTTCAGCTGAGCACCAACCAAGACAGCAGCTGCCCTCTCATCTGCAGCACTAACACAGTAACAATCCCCACAGCCCCAAGGGGCTTTCGATTGAATGAGATCATGCCCGTGCAGTAGCCAGTTCAGTGTGGCATGGAAAATGTGGTCAGCACATGCTAGGGGCTGGCCATCTTTGTCCCTCCACCATCCTATATGGGACTCTGTTTACTTCTTGCCTTCGCTACCCAGAGGTGTGGATTCAGGAAATAGCACATGGATTATTTGTAATACATTTCTTTTTCTGAAAGTGGCTCTGCCATATCTGCCCCCACCTTGCTCCCACCCTGTGTCCTTGGGGCCCTGTAAAGATGGTAATGGGTTCTGGAAGCAGCTGTCTGGGTTTTTAATCCTGGCTCTTCCATCACTTACTAGTTGAGTGTGGTAGTCAAGATTCTCCAGAGAAACAGAACCAACAGGATGTGTGCGTATGAAGGAGGGAGGGAAGGAAGGAGGGAAAGAGATTTATTTTAAGAAATTGGCTTATGCGATCATGGAGGTATAAGTTCAAAATCTGCAGACAGGCCAGCCAGCAGGAGACTCAGGAAAGAGCTGATGTTGCAGTTCAAATCCAAAGGCCATCTGCTGGCACGATTCCCCCTTGCTTGCGAGAGGCCAGTTTCTGTTCTGTTAAGGCCTCTGACTGGTTGGATGAGCCTGCCTGCATTATGGAGGGCAATGCGCTTTACTCAAAGTCAACTGACTTAAATGTTAATCTTACCCAAAAATACTCCCACTGAAACATGCAGAAGAATGTTTGCACAAATATCTGGGTACTGTGGCCCTGTCAACGTTAACTCATAAAGTTAACCATCCCGCTGGTGACCCTGGGAAAGTCACTCAAATTCCTTGAGCATAAGACTCCTTAGCTATAAAATAAACAAAATGAGTCAGCATATCCTACACCACAGAAAACTGCTATGAGAATCAAATGAAATAATACATGTAAAGTGCTGTGAACGGTGCCGGATAATACAGCCACAATGTCGCCTTGGGGTCATCTGCATTCCTCCAAGGGCAATTGGCTCCTTCCCTCTCATCTGTGTCCTCCTTCCCCTTGGGTGGCAGGAATGCAGGGAGATGTGAAAAGGTCCCCTGGTCCCTCTCTGTGGTCAGGGGTCCCGCTCTGTGGTCTTCCTAAAGAGCAAAATTCCCAAGAGTTCTCAGTAAAAAGACCCCAGCTTTTATTCCCAGTCTCAGTTTTACTGCTTTCTGTAAGACTCTGTCTGGTATTTCTCTTCTCCCGAGCAAGGTTTTCTTATTTGGAAATTGATCATGTTTAAATGTTTGATGTATTCATTAAGCTTTCACCATATGCCAAGCCTGGACTCATTCTTTTTTATGCAACATTGCATTTAATTCTCACAACAGCCGTTACAGACAGACATGATTAGCTCACTTTACAGATGAGGAAACTGAGGCTCAGAGAGGTCAGGAACCTGGGGCTATTGCTTCATACAGAGTTAAGGTCCCTTCCAGTGTCAACAGCCAGGGCTCTCTGACTCTTATGCGTTTTGGCAGCATGTCCCCTTGGAGGATACTCACAGAGAGATTGGGCCCTAAAAATAGCAATTCTTAAAATATTAATTCACCGGAAAGGTCTCCACGTCGACTCTGCTTTCAAACCAGGGCTCCCACATTTCTAGTAAAATCAGGAAAGAGAAATCTCTGGTTTTGTGGGGCCACCCTGGGCCCTGCAGTCAGCCGTGGGTAGGTGAGTGTGGGTGTCCGGGCCTGGAGGGTGCGTATTTTTCAGCTGATCTGTGCCCACCGCGCCAGCTTGTCTGACTCCCACATACGTATTCATGCTGTGCCTCAAGAGGTGATGCTCCTGCCCTCCCCTGTCACACGAGGCAAACTGAACATGCCTGGCTCCTGGTTCCACCTACCCCTGGGACTCAACAGCTGTGACAGTCATCCCAACCGGCTCCCAGAGGAATCCGAGCTGACCACTGGAGCTTCATGTTTTAATGAGGCTATGCCTATGTGCCAGAGGTTGGCGACTAAGAATTCCAAACAAAATCCTCCCCTGAACGAGCCCAGGACTCGTAGCATCCCATTGTGAGCCAGCTCAGATGATCTTTCTTGCCCAGAAGCAGAGCAGGCCTCTCAATCCTCAGGAGGCATTGGAACTGCACAGGGGCTTATGGGAAATGGAGGTACCCAGCCCTGCCACAGAGGTGGAGGCTGTGACCAGCCTGGGGTGCTGCACTGGTAATAGGGACCCTTGTTTCTGAAACCACTAGGCAGTGGACTCACCCTGAAAAGACAGGTGATGAGGCATCAGCAGGGGCAGGGCCATCCTGAGTCCTGGACCTCTGGGGCTGTGTCTGATTCATCCATTCAACTATCCACGCAGCTCTTTACTGAATGTTTTTGTGTCAGACTCTGTTGTAAGTCCTTGTGATACAGCAGTGGGGGGATAAAGTCTCTGCTGTCATAGTTTTATATCCTAATGGGGAGAGAGACACAACACGTGGATACAGTGTCAGGCATGATAAGGGCATGGAGAGAAATGAAGGAGGGGAGGTGATAGGGAGCGCTGGGGAGCTGGGCGATCATCACAGGGAGAGAGGGAGGGGTCCTGTGCACATCTAGGGAATGGGCCTTCCAGGCCAGGTAACAGCAAGGCAGAGGCCATAGCGGGGGACAATGCTTGGCTCAGCAGACCAGTGCAGCCAGACGAAGTGAGTGGAAGGAGGATGGAGGGGGTAGGCCCAGCTCATCAGGGCCCTGGAAGCCTTTGAGAGTACCTGGGTTTTACTCTACGGAGAAGTCCCGAGAAGGGTGTGGGCAAAGGCTGACAGCTCTGCCCTGGTGAGCATGGGCTGGAGAGGAAAGGGAAGATGCAGGAACTCTGGAGGGGAAAATGCTCTGCAGGTAGAAGCAGCAGGGTTTGCTATTCAGGCAGATGTGGGGTGTGGACAGTGTAGTCAATGGTGACACCGAGACTTGGGGAGTAAAAGGTGCTGGAGGTTTGAAAAGAGAGAGAATGCCCTCTAAAATGGAGAATGAATGAACAAGGAGGATATCCCAGGGTTGGGGCAGGTCAAAGAACCCACAGAGACACTGTTAGGGATTGGGGATTTAGAGGGAAACTCAATTCCCTGGTTGTATTTTTCTGCAGCCACGTTCAGCTGGGTGGGCGCAGTGCGGAGTCATCAGGAAGTAGAAATTAACCAGGCTTTGGGTTCCGCCAGGTGAACAGTCAAGGGAGTCGAGGATGTGGGAAGGCGTGACTTCAGTGAGAGACCATGGAGTGTGGGCTGGGGAAGTCGGTGATGACCCTGATGGATAGCAAGGAGGTAAAAGGTGGGTGGATTGTGGGTGCCCGTGGGACTGAAGAATTGCAGGAAACAGAAGGAAGGGGCTGTGACGATTCCAGAGTGGGATGTTTGAGGAGACAGGAGAGGCCAGGTGTGGCCATGGAGTGAGTGGCGGAGGCAGGTGGAGATCGAGATCCTAGGAGAAAGAGGAGTCAAGAACTTAAGAGGCCAGATGCCCAGTCACACGGTTGTTGCCATCACCAAGGTCATTGCTGGAACTGTGTTGCAGATGGCAACAGTGACCAGGAGTGAAACCCTCGAGTCGTGGTGGGACTTTTCCGAGCGTCCACAGGTGACTGCAACAAGGAAGGAAGAGACGGGTGACGTGATGGCCCCAGCTCTAAAGATGGTAGGGGTTGGGTAGGAAGGAGCAAGGGTGAGGCTTTCCCTCCTGGCCAGAGCTAGAGGGAATGGGGGAGAAGAACAGGAGGGTTTAGATTAAGGCAAGAGGGTGGGGGAAATGTTTGAAGAGAGGGACCTGATGCTGACTGTGAATTCCGAGGGGACAGAAGAAGGTCTGGGTGTCAGGGCAGGTGAGGGAAGAAGTCAGATGGGGGGATGTGCCTGTGTTTAGGACAGGATTCCAGGAGACAAGAGTGGCTTCGAAGCCCCGTGCCCATGTAAAGGGATAAAGGGCATGGTCCCAAGGTGGGTGACCATGCTGAGGTTGTGAGTGTTGGAGGGAGGGGGGTTTTGGCGTTTGGCTGGGGGTTCTGGCTCCCTCTGCTCCCACAAGTGGAGATGGCTACATCAGGAAAGGCAGTGTTTCCAGAGGCCAGGCATGCTCCGGCAAGATTACTAGGTTGGAATTTTATCACCTGGGAAATGAAATGACCACACTCCTCCCAGGGCTGCTGTGAAGACAGGTGTGGTGTGTAACCCTTCTCCTCTGCAAAGATCTCCAGGTCGTTTGTTGCACTTAGAGCAGAGATCTAAGGCTCCTGCACTCAGTCCATCCTCATGGAACCTACACAGCCTCCTGTGCTGCTCCACCTCTCCTGGCCTATGGCCCCCACACACACCCTCAACACACAGCCACAGCCACAGCCTCGCCCACAGTCCCACCCACAGCTCCACTTAAAGCCCCCACCCACAGCTCCACCTACAACCTCACCCACAGATCCACCCCTAGCTATACCCACATTCCCCACCCACAGCCCCACCCACAGCCCCCACTCACAGCTCCACCCACAGCCCCCACTCACAGCTCCACCCACAGCCCCCACCCATGGCCCCACCCACGGCTCCACTCACAGCCCCTACCCAGAGCCCCCACCCACACCCACAGCCCCACCCATAGCCCCTACCCAGATTTCCCATGCAGAGCTCCACCCACAGGCCCCACCCACAGCTCTTGGCCCACAGTTCCTGGCCTTTGTACTCCCTGGACTCTTCCCAGCCGTCTGTCTCTCACACAGCACCCTCACTCTCCCCCTCTATTTCCCTCAGCGTATCATATTATGCAGTTTTATCTTTGACTGTCTCTTGTTTTCTTAGCTCCTGGGTAAGCTCCAGAAGGCAGGTCTCAGTAAGTATATGTTGAATGCTGGAAAGAGCTCCCGGCTGGTGTGAGTCCAGAGCCCATGCATAGTGCAGGGTGGAAATGGTGGGCCAGAGGGAGGGGGAGTGGGAACCATGGTAGAAGCAGGAAAAGGTAATTCTTGATGGTCCAAGAGCACTGGCCATGGAGAAAGATTGATCCAGACCTGAGCCCAGTTTGAAGTGCACATATTTGTAATTTGACCTAGTAACTGAACATCTCTCAGCCTCATTGTCTTCATCTGTAAGGAGAGGGAGAAACACAATTATTTCTTAGATCCCTTTTGGCTCTAAAATACCTTTCCCAATGACCCAGATAAAATCCACACTGTCAAGTTTACAAGAGTCAGGAAAGCAAATTTCAAATCCCAGCTCTGGCACTAATTTCCCAGACAACTCGAAGGAAGTTACTTAACTCATCTAAACGTAGGTCCCCTCATCTGGAAAATGACCAGGTCGTTCCGGGTGGTGGCTGGACCCTCCATTGGGTCCAACTCTCGGATTCCAATAGAAGTCACGTGGATAGAGTCGGATTCAGCCTTGATACGAACTTGAGATCTTTCCCGCATTGTCCTCAGAAAGCTGGATGAGGAACATGAGGCCGTGGCCTGAGCGTCTTCACAGAAATAGGAAGCTCTCGAAGAGTCGCAGCATCTCACAGGCCCAGCCACTTGGAGCCCGCTGGGAAGGCTGGATCCAGGAGGAAAATGAGAGACCACGTGATCGTGGCAAGATGCACACTGCTGAACGTGAATGACATCAGACGAGAGCTGGGCGGTGGCCCCTGGGAAAGCTGGGGGTCACAATTAACTATGATTAACTGTCAGCAGGAAGCGCTCGAGGATCCCAGCCTGGACCAGGGCCTGAGCCCCAAGCCAGGACCTGACGCTGATTGGCCTTGTACGGAAGCCTGGGCCTCTCTGGTTGCCTCATGACAAATTTACAGACGGGATAATGCCACCAGTGTCTGTTGAACACCTGCTGGATGCTGGATGCTGTGCCAGGGCTGCAAATCTAGGAATGGGCCCTGATTCGATGGAACTCAGCACCTACTGGGAAGGACAAGCCTCAGTCAGATAATCACACAAGCACATATACCCTGTGCTCACTGCCAGGCCAGTGACATGCAGTGAGGTACAGGGAAAACTCAGACTGCAACCTGGTGCACCCAGGGCTTGAAGGAGGGCTTCTCAGAGAGAGTGATGCCCAAACTGAGAGGTGACGGGTGCAGAGGAGTTGACCAGGCAGAGATTGGGGCCTGGAGGAGGGCACTCCAGCCGTGCATGCAGACACAGGACCCTGGTGTATTTGAAGCATGCACAGGTCGGTCAAGCGACTCTGCCCCTAACATCTCTGCCCCACCCAGAGGATGGAAATGGAAGAGCACCAGATGGGCATCAGAGGAGCTGGCATGCTTCTGCCACTGTTTTGTTTTTTTATTCGTTTGTTTGTTTTGAGACAGAGTTTTCTTTTGTTACCCAGGCTGGAGTGCAATGGCACAACCTTGGCTCACCGCAACCTCCGCCTCCTGGGTTCAAGTGATTCTCCTGCCTCAGCCTCCCGAGTAGCCAGGATTACAGGCTCCTGCCACATGCCCGGCTAATTTTTGTATTTTTAGTAAAGACGGGGTTTCACCATGTTGGCCAGGCTGGTCTCAAACTCCTGACCTCAGGTGATCCCGCCCGCCTCAGCCTCCCAAAGTACTGGGATTAGAGGCATGAGCCACCACTCCCGGCCACTTCTGCCACTTTTTAACTATGACCATGGAGAAGTCGCTTCACCTCTCCAGGCTGCAGTTTCTTCATCCATCAAAAAGAAGATAATGCTGGGTCTCTAGGGCTGGCAGGTGGATTAAATAAATCACAGTATGGGAAGGGGCTTTGTGAACTGCAAAACTGCACAAATGTGACAAATGGTCATCATCATTTTGGCGTCCACTCCTCCATGTTTCTTTCTGCCACCTCCTTTTCCTTCTAAACTCCCTGCTAAGTAGGGATGGGTGCAGGGGATGGGAGAACTAATCATCACTTATTGGGCAACTTCTATATCCTAGGAACTGAGTAAGTCCTTGACATACAGTATTTCATTTTATTCCCATTTTACAGATGAGAACAACTGAGACCCACACAGTATTGGAGTAAGGATTTGAACTGCTGTTCATGTGTGAGGGGCTTCAGAACATGACACATACTCACAGGCTGCCTTGCAGTCACTGCAGGACCGTAGGACCCCAGCTCTCCACACCCTTCTATTGTTTTCCATATGCTACTACCATGGCTCCAGCCTTGGGGAGCTCAGGGTCTGGTGAAGCAGGCTGACTCACGGATCTATCATTTCAATTTAGTGTTCTAGTTGGAAGTAGAAAGAAAGAAAACTGAGATGGGTGGGTCTGTGTTGGCTGCGTGGACCAAGAAGGTCCAAGCTTCTTAAGAAGATGACTCCCTCATTGGGCCAAGGGAGGGATGTCACGGGGCTCACCCATTCATGAAGGAATTAATTGACCCTGGTGCATCCTTGCACATGTTTGTGAATCCCAAAACCTTTGAAATCTCCCTGAGATATACTTGGGAGTAATTAGCTGAATGCAATTGCCTTAGTAGCCAAGTTAACATCCAGGCCCCATGGAGTGGCACAGCTTTTGAACTGAATTAATCATTGTCATCCAGGCTGATGTTTGTTCTTTGCAGGATTAAAAAAAAATCAGCAACCCCCAAGCATGGCTTGACTGGATGCATTTTCTCTCCCAAAGGACAAAGCAAGAAGGAAATGATTTGAGTAGCAGCATGGGGTTTTACAATAGATATAAGACAGAACTACATTATTAGGCTGTGTGTACATTTAAAAAATTGTTTCCATGCCTTCAAATTAAGTCACGGATCTCTAACTGGTATATCCTGGCTGTCCCACATACGGACTCCATGATGACTCCTCTCACCTTGGTTTCATTGTCCAGTAAAATAAGGGTAACAATACTGCCTACCTGTGTTTGTCTGCTAAAGCTGCCATACAAAATACCACAGGCTGGGCAGCTTAAACAACAGAAATTAATCATCTTACGGTTCTGAAAGCTGGAAGTCCAGGATAAGGGTGCCAGCAGGTTTCGTTTCCTCTGAGGCCTTACTCCTTGGCTTGCAGATGGCTGCCTTCTTGCTGCTCTTCACAAGACCGTTCCTCTGCACACAGGGCCCTGATGTCTCCCCATGCATCCTACTCTCCTCTTCTTATAAGGACACCAGTCAGATTGGATTTGAGTCTACTCTAATGTCCCTACTTTACGTTAATCACCTCTTGAAAGGCCCTGTCTCCCAACTATGGTTGCATTCAGAGACACTGGGAATAGGGACCTCCACAAAGGAATTTGGAGGAACACGATTCAATCCATCACACTACCTGGAAGGGCTGTGCAATAGACTGAAAATGCCCCCCCCAAAGATGCCACATCCTAATCCTTATAATCTGTGCCTGTGTCACCTTACAGGGCAAAAGGGACTTTGCAGATGTGATTTAGGTAAGGATCAAGATGTGGGAAGAGTCTCCTGGATTATCCAGGTGGGCCCAATGGAATCACAAGGCTCCTGCCAATGAGCAGATAGTAGGGTCGGAGAAGCAGTAGGAGATGCAGCTGCAGGAGCAGAGGTGGGAGTGCCGCAAGGGGGTGCCAGCAGTCAGGGAACCTGGGCAGCCTCCAGAACCTACAAAGGCAAAGAACAGAGCTCCTCTGTGGGCTCCAGAAGGAAGGGACACAGCCGGTTTACTCTTTGCCCCTGAGGTTCACTTTGGACTTCCACCCTCCAGAACTGTGAGAGAATGAAGGTGTGTTGTTTGGACTCACTCCATTTGTAGTGGTTGTTACTGCAGTGGTGAGGGAGTCCCTGATATGGGTAGTTGTGAGGATTACACAAGGAGCACATGCCAAGTGCCTGGAACAGTCATTGGCAGAGAAGACACACTCAGTAGGGCTCAGCTCTGCTGGCCATGGCCCAGCCACAGCCATCCCAGTTATAATGGGCGTTTGGGTAGAGTGTCCATCGACAGGAGCTGCAGAATTTCCCCTTTCACATTAATGCTTCCTGTCCCATTTGTCAGGGTGAAGTCAAGGTCCCAGAGGGTTGAGGACCCTGGGAGCTTCACAAGCTTCAAAGTTGGAGGAGGCCGTGTTCAGCCCTTATGTAAGGTCTTTCATTTTTTCATATTTTCAGTAACCCTTTTCTGAATAGCAGCCTGGCCCTGCTCAGAGGGCTGGTGCTCTCCTGGTCCCTCTGTCTCTGTCTTCAGGTGGCCTTCTCCTCTGTGTGTACCTGGTCTCCTGGCAGCAGGGAGTAAATGGACAATGTCAAGCTGTACAGTATCAGGACATAGGAAAGCAGGGAGGTGCACGGGGTCAGAGGAGGTCTTTAAGTAGCACAGACTGGATGGCTTTAATCAACAGAAGTGTATTCTTTTACAGTTCAGGAGGGGAGGCCAGAAGTCCAATATCAAGATGTTGGTACAATTGGTTCTCCTGGAAGCTCTGAGAGAGAAGTCCCCTGCCTCTCTCCCAGTTTCCAGTGGTCTCAGGCAATCTGTGCTATGCCATGGGCTGGTAGATGTGTCACTCCACACGCTACCTCTGTCCTTATGTGGCCTTCTCTGTGTCTACCTGTGTCTCTTTTCTATCTTTTTTTTTTTTTTTTTTTGAGACGGAATCTCACTCTGTTGCCCACGCTGGAGTGCAATGGTGCGATCTCGGCTCACTCTGCCTCCTAGGTTCACACCATTCTCCTGCCTTGGCCTCCAGAGTAGCTGGGACTACAGGCACCCGCCACCACACCTGGCTAATTTTTTTGTATTTTTAGTAGAGATGGGGTTTCACCATGTTAGCCAGGATGGTCTCGATCTCCTTAACCTCATGATCTACCTGCCTTGGCCTCCTAAAGTGCTGGAATTACAGGTGTGAGCCACGGTGCCTGGCCTGTTTTCTCTCTTCATATAAAGACACCAGTCACTGGATTTAGGGCTCAGCCTAATCCAGGACAACTTCTGTTAACTTAGATGCAAGACAGAACTACCTTACTAGCCAAGTAACAGTTTTCTGGCAAAGACGCTATTTGCTGGCACATATAGACACACACTTTCCTGCAAAGACAGTATTTCTAAATAAGATCACATTCTTAGGTACCTGGGTAGACATGAATTTTGCAACCCTTGACAATATCCCAGGAGAAGATTGCAACTGAGCTGTATCCTGAAACCTGGGTCAGAGTTCAGTAGGGAAAAGGATGTGGCATCCAGAGATAAGGCCAGGGAAAGACCGAGGCACCCAGAGCACCCAAGATGGTCTGGCCTGGCTGGGCCACAGGGTGCAGAGGTCAAGCCTACTGGCCAGATCAGGAAATGCCTGAAGGCCTTTGGAATCTGGCCATTGGATCAGTGCTTTCTAAACACTTGACCACGAATGGGCCTGGGACACGTGACAACTGTGCTTCCATCTAAAATTGTGTCTTTGTGACTCTTCTGGGCTAGAATGGCTCCCTCTGCCTCCCCTCTCATGCATGTATGATGGTAGCACTTGGCGGTTATCATTAATGACCTTAGTTGTCAGATTTTAAAGTGGACAAGCACATCTCAGTGTTCACTTTTCATCTCTGAGATTATATTGGAACATCAAATCTGGAGTCTCGCACCAGCACCATAGGCACCACAGGGCCATTAGGAGGATTTATGTAGAGAAGGGACAGGGTCAGATTTGTGCTTTGTAAGGATATTTGAATCATATTAAAAAAGAAATGCAATCTTGCATGTGGATGGTGTAATAAATGATAAGTTTCCTGAAATGTGAATAACATAATTTTTTAAAATCAAATCAGAACAAGCATGATGGCTCACGCCTGTAATCCCAACACTTTGGGAGGCCGAGGCGGGTGGATCACTTGAGGTCAGGAGTTTGAGACCAGCATGGTGATACGCCGTCTCTACTAAAAATACAAAATTTAGTCAGGTGTGGTGGTGCACGCCTGTAATCCCAGCTACTTGGGAAGCTGAGGCATGAGAATCACTGGAATTCAGGAGGCGGAGGTTGTAATGAGCCAAGATCATGCCATTGCAGTCCAGCCTGGGTGACAAAGCGAGACTCCATCTCAAAAAATAATAATTAATTAATTTAAAAATCAAATCAGATCTTTATTATAAGCATGTTCCTCAGATTATTACTGCCTACTTTAGAATTCTGGGAACCCCAATTTATTCCTAATTTATTTTTTTTCATTTCCCCACCCACAGAGAGAGAACATTGATCTAGAGACCAACATGAGAGTAGGTCTTACCTCTACCGGTGTTTGACCTTTGACAAATCACAAGGAGGAACCAGACATACCACTGACCCTCTGTAAATAGTTCTCTCTTTATCAGTAAAATAGGAGTAGCAATACCTATCTCTAAGAGTTGTGTCAAGATAATGACATATGGAGTGCCTCCCCAGCACCTGGTAACAAATAGCCACACTGCACATGGCTAAATCCACATAACACACTTCAGATTGTCCCTGACACACAACCAACACTCAATAAAGTTTAGCTGTTAATACTGTCAGGACTGCTATTAACACTGAAGCACCGTGTTGGGGGCTGCTGTTTGTACTTGGTCCCCATGTCCACAGGAAGCAGGAGACAGAAGGGAGAAAGAAGTAATGTTTAATGAGTAGAGATGATGTGTTGTCATTTCTTAATTGTCACTCAGTTTCTAGGAGAATGATCCATGCCAATACAATGACAGATTCTAAGCATCCTATCCCACATCAGCTTGCTGATGGATGGGTGCCAAGTCCCATTCAAGTTGGCTAAGGCATAGGTCAACAGCCAAGGTGAAGCCCTCCCATTCCTCCCCAACCCCCAGTAAATGCCTTTGGTCATCCTTCCCTAGTGCCTGTTCTGTTGGCTCAACCTCCTACTGAAATGTCTTTGCCCCACTCTGTTATTATTCATAATCGCACCTTTCCATGTGCCTGGCCCTGTGCTGGTTGCTGTCATAAGAACCATCTCATCCAATCCTCACTGTAGCCATTAGAGAGGGCATTATTATCCAACTTATAAGTGAGGAAGCTAATGTTCATTGTCTTAGTCCATTCTCATGTTGTTATAAAGAAATACTGGAGACTGTTGTTTATAAAGAAAAGAGGTTTCATTGACTCATGGTTCTGAAGGCAGTACAGGAAGCATGGCAGCATCTGCTTGGATTCTTGGGAGGCCTCAGGAAACTTACGATGGTGGCAAAAGGCAAAGTGGAAGCAGGCATGTCTTACATGGCGGGAGCAGGAGCAAGAGAGACAGTGGGGGAGGTGCTACACACTTTTAAACAACCACAACTCACTATCATGACAATAGCACCAAGAGGATGGTGCTAAACCATTCAGGAGAAACCACCCCCATGATCCAATCACCTCCTACCAGGCCCCTCCTCCAACACTGGGGATTACAATTCGACATGAGATTTGGGCGGGAACACAGATCCAAACCCTATCACTCACCCAGGGCAGCGTTCTCCTGTCTGCATGGCCAGCAAGAGGCAGACTCAGGACTGGATCTCAAGTCTCTCTTCTCTGTCCTTTGCTACCTCCCTCTCCCTCTTGCATGCATATGGATAGCATATTCCCTTCACTAGTTGTAAAATAGCCGCAGATTTTTACTTCGCTTAGTCTAGCTTTCCCCTCCAGGTTTTTGTATTTCTCTTTACTGCTGCATAAGATTGCCAGCATAGAATATTGAGAAGCCCCCTGCCAAAAGACACATGCAGAAACATCCTGGTGGCCCTGCTTTGCAGTCTGTGCATGGGTACCTCTGGATCAGAGCCATTTCTATGCTGTTTTTTAAAATATCCCAGCTGACATTTTATGCTTTGTTTTATTTGAGGGCTGGGGAATAATTCAAGAGCAGCACCGGGTTTTATAGCCCTGCATGCGTACTTTCCATCAAAGTGTCATTTTGCCCAACTCTGAAATTATGGGTCTGTCCTCAGGAAACATCGTCACCGCCTTCCCATCCATGCAATGCTCCTGATGCCCTTTCTGAACGTTCAAACCCGTTTTCAACAGGATGACGCGCTGGAGCTGAGATACGATCAATGTGAAAAATAGAGCTGGAGGAAACGGTCCTGAAACTGGCTAAACTAAAGGCTCTGCTAAGATGCTTTACCCATAAAATGCTATTCTTATTAAATCCCAAGTGATTCAGATTCTCCATCTCCTCCACGCTGCTTTGCAGGCATCTGCCCAGCAGTCTCCTGTGAAAGAGACCTAATTTGCTAAAGGCTCAAGAATCTGCCAGTCTGCCTCTGAGTTCTCCCTAGCTCCTTTTGAAAGAGCAATGACAGTCCCATCACTGTGACTTATTTCAGCACTTCTTCCACACTGCACTGGGACTGTGTGAAGTGCTGAACAAATGTCATCTCATTGTACACTCAGCAACAGTGAGATGGCTGTTGCTGTTCCCATTTCCCAAATGAGGAAAACAAGGCTGAGAGTAAGTGGCCCAAGATCATATAGCTAGAGAATTAGTTTTCTATTGTTGTGAAACTAATTACCACTAACTTAACAACTTAAAATAACTCACATTTATTTTCCCTCCATTTCCGTGGCCCAGGAGTCCAGGTGGGCTTAACTGGATCATCTGCATAGGATCTCACAAAACTACAATCCACATGCCCACCGGGCTGCACTCCTTTCTGGAACATGGGGTGGGGTTCTCTCCCAGGCTCTTGTGGTTGTTGGCAGATTTCAGCTCTTATGGCTGCAGGACTGGGGTCCCGTTTTCTTGCTACATATAGGCCAGCGGTCACTCTTCCTCCCAGGGACAGCTACATTCCCCACCGTGTGGCTGGCTCCACACAGCAGCTCATGTCTTGAGCTCTCACTCCAGTCTGCCAAGACAGAGTCATATAATGTAACATAATCCCGGGACTGCCATCCCACCAAGTTTGCCCTGTAACATAACTGAATTAAGGGGGTGACACCCATCACCTTTGTCAGCTTCCATGGCTAGGACCACGTCACAGGTGAGATCATTTATTCTCTCATCCTCCTACTTCCTCATCTGCAAAATGAGAACTTGCTCACTACATGATGCACAGCTGGCCTTTTCTTGCTATTCAGATGTCAACCCAATGTCACCACTTCTTAAAGGTCTTCCTGACCATCTACCAAAACTAGGGTCCCTCTATTAGTCTTTTTTCTAGACTCTGGTTTGCCTTCTTCACCTGCCACAACTTACAATCCTGCCATTGATTCATGTGCCTTCTGGTGTGCCTCTCTTCCTAGAATGCAAGCTCCATTCAGTTGGGTCTGTCTTGTTCACGACGTGTCCTTCATGACCGCAAAGGGGACACCCCCGTAAATGCTTGAGATTCCACTCTGTGCTAAGAGCCAACACAGAAGCAATGTGTGTTATGTATCAGGTATTTAATCCACACAGCAAAGGAAACTGAAGCAGAGGCAGAGATCATGCAGGTAGTCAAAAGTGAGACTGGAGTTGGAACACAGACTGTCTAGATCATGGGCTGAATTCTCCCAAACAGAACAGCCCCTTTCCTTGGCTCTGTGGGGTCTAGGGACCAAGGTGGCCACATCCGTGCCCCATTCTGTTCTCAGGATATGAGACAATGTGCGCCGGTGCAATGTGGATGTGGGGGCGTGGCCAGGCCCTGGGCTTGTCCAAGGCCATGCTGTCATTAATGGGGCCCTAGCTGCCCTTTGAGGTTTGCCCTCAACTCTATCAGCTCTCCTTCCACCGTGCCAGTTGTGTTAGCTTCCGGGGACTGCCACAGCAAATTACTGCAAAATCGGTGGCTTAAAACAATACAAATTTATTCTCTCATAATTCCGGCCAGAAGTCCAAAATCAAAGAGGAGTCATGGCTGTGCTTCCTCTGGAGGTTCAGGAGAGAATCCGCCCCTGGCCTGTTCCAGCTCCAGGTGGCTCCAGGCGTTTCTGGTTCATGGCTGCATCACTCCAGTATCTGCTTCCATCTCCCCATGGCCTTCTTCTCTCCTGTGCCTGCATCCAAATCCCTCCCCCTACTTTCCTCCTATAAAGACATGAGTCTTTAGAGTCCTCCCTAAATCCAGGATGATTCATCTTGAGATCCTTAAGTAATTACCTCTGCAAAGACTCCATTTCCATATAGGGTCCCATTCTGAAGTTCTGGGTGGACATGAATTTTGAAGGGACACCATTCAACCCAGTACGCCAGATCACATCTTCTTGGGTCTGTCACCCCACCCTCACCTCACCTGTGTCCTGACTCTAACTCTATCTTTAGGCTGTGGCCCTTGTAGGCATTTTGTAGCTCACATTCCCTGGGCCACAGCCATCTCCTCCCTGGTCCCCACACCACACATTAAATCATCTCAGTCCCGGTGATACCTTAAGAGATAAGCTTGAACATTTGCTGCTGTGTTTTCATTCTTGACATGTATTTTATTATCTCTTTTCTCATCTTTTGTTGAGAAACCCTGCTGGGAGCCACCCTGGGCAGGGACCAAGCATTTGCTGACTTCATCCGCACTTGACTCTAGGTCTTCTGCCTTTTGTTTTAATTTTATAAGTTCTCAAGTTCATCCCTCCCATGTGGCTCCCTACGGGTCTCTGCGGTAATCTCTTTGTTCACAGTGGAGGCTTTGTGACCTCGGCAGCAGGGGCCCACGTACTCAATGCTCCTCGGTACTCATGGGTTTGAAAAGTCACAATGAAAATAAAAATTTAAATGTATAGGTTGAGCGCTTCTTTCATCCCCAAACCCGTAGATATTGCATTGCATTACTACAAATTACCACAGTGTGTTTTCAGGTAGAATTAATATTTGATAAACTCAGGAGCAGTTGCTCTTTATTTTGAAGAAAGCTATCATTAGTCTCAGTAGATTTGACATTAGTTATAAATGAGTGAAAATTTATGCATTTGTAAAATCTATGGTTTTAATGCAGAGCTTCGCCAAGTGTGTACACGTCAATAATAAGTAAGCTGGGGTTGAAGTTGTTCTTCTCTCACTTTCATTCCTCCATCCTTATACTCAGTGGTGTTTCACGTGTGTCTACCACTGTGTCGGGCGCTGTGCTAGGTACAGGCATGTGGACGTAAAGAAAGCAAAGCCTCAGCCTTCAGAATGTTTCACTTGGAATTGAGAGGCCTTTTGCTATAATGGTGATGTAGAGAAGACCTTTCCAGAAACTCCTCTGCCCAGATTTTGTCCCATGTGGGTCACTATGTTACCCTTAAAAGAGGTCAGCAAACTTTCTCCATAAAGGGCAGATAATCAACATTTTAGGCTTTGACGACCACATTAATCTCTGTTGCGTGCTCCTCTGTGTGTCTGTGGGTGTGTGTACGTGTATATGTTGTTTTGTTTTTACAGTGCTTTAAAGATGTTAAAGTGATTCTTAGCTCCCAGGCCATACAAAAACTGGCCCAGGGCTGGATTTGGCCAAGAGCCGTAGTTTGCCCATCTCTGACCATGACAACTTCCAAACCCTCATTGAGCTCGAGTGGATGCCATGACACCTGCAGGGAACCCTGGTGGGATGGCTCAGCTACCTCAAGGTGGGCAGGTGCTTCCCCTTGCTGGTGCTGATCACATGCTTAGTGAGCAGTCACTGCTGTTACCATTACAGCTGGAGCTGAGAGGCTAAAAATTAAGAATATTCAGGAAAAAATATTCAAACAATCTACTTGCACTTCCAGGAAAGAGAAGAGGCGATAAGAACACAGGTGTCCCATTATCTTACCAATTATTCTCCCACTCCATGTCTGAGGCTTCAGGTCAGGGAGAGGTGAGCAGCCTGGGTGTTCCAGCATTTGTCCTGATGTGGTGCTTGTCTATGTGCTCATCTGTGGGCTCAGGAACCACATTGCCAGCTTCTTTGTTTTCTTTTACAGAGACATCAAGCCAGACAATATCCTGCTGGATGAACACGGTAAGCCTGCTACTAATCCTTTACAGGGACTCTCAGTGGAAAGTTTGAGGCACTGGGAAATAGTGCGGGGGTGGGGGTTGGGTCTTGCTGAGTTGGACATTAGCATTGGCTAGAAACCTTCTCTTGTTTCAATCCTGGTGGATCAACATCTGTGTAAATTTCTGGTCCATGTCCTGCCGTGGTAAGTTGAATCAAAGTTATTTAAACTGTTCGCATCTGAAGTCATTGCTGTTCATATCCCCGTGTGAGGAGGACAGGGCCGCCGTGAGGATGAGCCCGGGGTTCCAACCCCAACTCCCTCACCTATGAACGTGTGGCTTCAGAAGTCACCCACCTCTCTGAGCCTCAGTGTAATTTTCTGTAAACTGGGGAGAAGGCACCTCCCTTGCAGGGTGTTCATGAGGGTGAAATGAGAGTACACACTCATTTCTAGCAAGCAGAGCTTAATACTTGATAATCCACTAAGCATTTACTCATCTATCGGCTATGTCAGGCTTCTCAAAATTTCCTTTATGTGCACACAGATCTCCTAGGCATCTTCTCAAACTGATTTAGTAAGTCTGAGATGGGACTAGACTCTGCAAAGTCCAGAGTCTGCAAAGCTCCCAGGTGGCTGATGCTGCTGGTCCATGGACCACACCTTGAGTAGCAAGGCACCAAGTCAGTGGCTCTCCAACTCTGGCCTTACCAGAATTACCTGGGGGACCTGGTAAAAATCAGAGGTCAGGCCCGGTCCTGCTTCAGCAAGCCTGGGCTCCTGTGTTCTGGATCCTGTGTCCTGTGTTGGGATGGAATGCCCACAAAGTTTAAGAACCATGAGCCTAGGGCTCAGATCAAGAATGCTCAGTGGACTTGACAATCAATTGTGGCTGATGCCAACAGGAGACTTACAGCCTTCAAAACTAAATTCACTGGCATTGCTTCAGGGGCCCGTCTCTCAGGGCCTAACATGGGGTTGGCTGGAGGGAGCAGGTGCGAATTCTTCTGAAGTAGGGATTCTCATCCCTGCTGAGGCCTTCAGGGATGAATGAGTCACATTTTCTACGCAGCTCCCCCACCCTCCTTCCCCACCTCTGCAGGCTGAGGTCATGGTTCTATCTCAGAGCTCCTCTCGAACCTTCCATGAGCCAGCAGCATAGCTTGGGGCATCCTAACCTCATAGTGTGCATCCCTATGTACAGGAGTGGTGGATGGGACCATTTGCATCTCTGCATCAGATGCTGGAACCAGACTAAGTGCTTTGGGGGCAGTAGGATTGAACTCACTGTGCTCCTGAATGGAAGGTCAGCAGCAGCCCCAAGATGCCTGGGGCATGGACAGAGCTGAGGATCCAAATCAAGGCTGGAAAGGAAGCGAAAGCAACGTCTCCAGTTTGTATCTAAAAGTCAGGATCTTCAGATGTGGCACTCAGCTGAGCCCCCAGCCAGCTGAATGTCCTTGGGCCAGTGGCTGTACCTCCGTGTCTCAGCCTTCCCAGCAGCGATGCAGAAGTAATTGACCCACCTTGCAGGGTGGTGAATGTCTCATCTCGGGTGAGACTCGAAGGTCAGCCACCCATCACAGTATGCAAGCGCTCGGGAAGGGGTAGATAACTCGCCCTCTTCCTGTCCCCTTTCTCTGCTCAGGGCCAGGCAAGGTCAAATCACAGAAGCAGGGTAAAGAGGTGAGAAAACACAGAGGCTGGTTCTGCTTAGCTGTCTGGAAAGCAGGGGTCTGGAAGGCTGGGTTCCAGGCAGCATCCTCAAGGCTCTGTCCTATTAAGAGAGACCGCTAGGGGGAGACTTCCTGGCCCTGCAAAGCGGTCCAGAAGCAAAATTCAGACAGAAACATCAATAGCAATAAGCTAGCCATTGCACTGATGAGGAAAAGTGACACAGAGAGTATGGGGGTAACCCAGGACTGCCTGGCTTCATAGTTCTGGCTCCATCCTCACAGACCTTGGCCACAGCTCCCCTGAAGCTGCTGCACAAAAGATATAGGCAGGCGGGCTGCTCCCAGGCAGCCTCCCCTAGGTTTTCTCTTTCCTGCCTTTTGGATTTCCATCCATCCCATTCCGCCTCCCTTTCTGTACCCATTCTCAGCCTCCACCTCAGCCTTCCCCACATTCTTTCTGCATCTCGTTCTGCCCCCTTGAGCTCCTCATCTTTTTCCACCCCCTGCTTGGCCTTCACAGTGTCCCAGCCCTGCCTTCTGGCTATGCAGCACCCCACACACTCCCCAAGTGCCCCTGCATCCAGTCTTCTCCCTCTCCAGCCTCCCATTTCATCGAAAAGTCTCTGCTAGCTGGTGGGACAGAGCGTTGAATATAATATTTCATACTGTGAGGTGAATGGCTGATAACCCTTCCCCACTCCAACACTCAATGAGTGGCTTTGCAGGTGGTACAGAAAAGAAATTTAGGAGCAGGGAATTCCGCTCAGAAAAAGAAGAGTCTCCTTTCTGGGGAGAGAAGAGAAAGAGAGAATTCTATGCCCATGGCCCTCCTTTACCTGCTCTTCTGAGGGGAGCTGATCGGCTTTTTGAGCAGAGCCTGAAGCTGGCCATTCTTGCCTTTGTCTTTCCCTCAGTAAACATCTCTTGAGCACCTGCTGTGTGCCAAGTTCTGGTTAACAGAATGATGAACAAGGCAAACAGGGTCCCAACGCTGATGGGTTTCATGGTGTTGGGGAGAGTGTGGGGAAGCTCAGGAGAGGTCGGGCAGAGGGGAGAGGGAAAGGTGTGTGCGGGGTTGTCTTAGAGGCAGCCGCATGACAGTGGGATCCTGAAGGCATGACAAGGCCAAACAGAGGAAGGTGCCTGGATGGACAGGTGGTAGAGACAGTGGGGCAGAACTGCAGAAACAAGAGGGGAATGGCTGTTTGAGGAATACAACAGCAGTTTATTTTGTAGGTTTATAACATTTAAAATTAATCTTATGCCTTCAAAACCTTCACTGTGAAACATGACCTAGCCATAAGATGAGCAGGACAGTATGTGTTCCTAAATGAGTCCTAAGGGCACCCCATTCGTGCTGGCATCTACTTGCACCTTTTGTAAACTGCATGACAAAACCTTTTACAAACCAATAACTGTGTATTGCTATTTCAAGAGTTCCATCATTGGTTGCATTGAATACTTTCTCAGAGAACAAGTTGGTCAGTTGTGTTTCAAATGAAATATAAACATAATTAAACAAATGCATTAATATTTTATTAATGATGTCCAAAATCTGCTAGTTACACAAAATCCAAGCATCTCTCACAAGCTTCTCTGCTCCCCTAGTGTCTGCCTTACTTTCTGATCTTTCAGGGTTTTATGTCTTGGAATGGACACTTTCATTCTGCTCTGAGATTTGAGGTCTCTGAGCCAGCTGCAAAAGCAGAGAGATACCACGCATTGAGGTAAAATAGAGTGAAAGAAGATACAGCATCTCAGAACAAGGCAGGGAAAAGAGCTGAGTGCATTTTAGGCTGAGGATCATAAGATCAAGACAATGGGGAATTTAAAGACATAGAGGGAGGGGGGAAGCAATTGTATTGATTTTCTATTGGTACAATAAAGCTGGGTAATGAACCACATAACTTAAATCGCATAAACAAAAAACATCCCGTTAGCTCACAGCATCCTGGGGTTGAGGGACTCTAGGCTGGGCTTGGCTGATCTTGGCTGGGCTTGCTCCTAAGACCAAGGTTGGGTAGGCAGGACTGTTGATGTTGGCTAAACCCACTCCAATGTCTGAGGCTCAACTGGCTGTCAGCCGATCCCCTCTGGCCTTGGCTGGCTGGCCGGGTGACTCAGCCCTGCTCCTTGAGCTTATCCCCTGCAAGTTCATCTGCATGGTCTGCTCATGGCCATAGCAGGAGCAAGAGCAGGAGAGCCCAGCCACTCAAGCCTCCACCTGTGTCGTGTTTGCCACCAATGCAGGAGACAAAGCGAGTCACTTGGCCAAACCTAGAGTCAGAGAGACTAGACATTGCAAAGGCACATGGCAATGGGGTGATCCAGAGAGGGGTGAACAATTGAGGCCATTAATGCAGTTGCCTAACAGGAGGGTGATGGAAGAGGCCAGTGGAAATGGAATGGATGGAGCCACAGGCACAGGCCGGTGGGTTAGTGCTTTCCACATGGGAGGTGGACTTCCCCAAAGGTGGGCAAGGAGAGAAGAGTGAGAGACAGAAGGAAAGAGGCTGTATTTTGCACTTAAGTGCCACTGAGGGCCCTGGTTCAAAGGTCATTTATGATGACCATAAAGAATGTAGTCTTCGTCCTCTTTGGGAAGTGGTTCGCTTGTTGCACACCTGCCATGGCCAGGCATTGTGTCCAGTGACCACAGAAGGCAGAGTCCCTGTGGCCGAGGAACTCATGGTCTGGGGTGACTGTTCTCTGTCCTGGTGGCACATCACCTGGGTCCTAAGACCCCACCTTGAGAAGCTCTCATTTGATTCCTCTTACAGGACAGAGTGCTGAGTAGTGGGATCTTTTACAGTTCCCAGGTGGATCTAATCTGCAGCCAAGGCTGTGGGAGGAGTGGAAATGTAAACAATTGATGATGACCCGTTGGGGTCAAGGCCAGGACAGAGCAAGCATGGGGCTGTGGGGCAGCAGAAGGTGGCTGAGGCCAGGAGAGTAGTGCAGGAGGGCTTCCTGGAGGAAGGGACATGTACATTGGATTCTGAAGCATGCCGGAGGTCAGTAGGCATTCCAGAGGTACACACTCATTTCTTGTGGCCGTGGGATGGGTACAGTGGGATTCAGAAACCTGACCTGGATCTTCAGCAGCTGGCAATGCAGCAGCCGCGTGGTCAGAGTGGATTTGTTTTCTTTATTTAATATTCCATTTCTTGTATTTTCTGTATTCTGAAGCTTTGGCCTCTGGAGCCTTGCTAAGCTGATGGACTGCCCTGCCCAGGGCTGGCCAATCCTAGGGCTGGTAAACAACCTGCCCCAAGGCACACTTTTCAGATGCCAACCAACCAATCCAGAGCCATACCCCCAACACCTCCTTTATCCGCTCTCCTAGGAATTTTATGTTCCAGGCCCCTCCTCACTTCCTCTAATTCCCCTAGGTACCAGACAACTAGAGACAGCCCCTAAAACCCAGAGCACACTGAAATTACTCAGACCAGTCAATCATAAGTCTGCTAACCTTGCCTCACCCATTCCTTCCCATGGAAACCACAATAAAGGCTCTGGCCCACATTTCCCCACTCCCCATCCTCCTGAGCGGCCCTGATGCTTCCCTGTCTCCCCTGCCCATGACATAGCCTGCGCCCTATTCTTGGGAACTGTAACAAACTATCAGTCATCTCCTGATCTGGTGGCCTTATTGTACCTCACATTTTCTATTAATACACTGTATTTTATAACACTCATTAACTGAACTCGTTTCAAAGAATTGCCTTTCCATCTGTTGCTAACATATTTGTTGATAAATGTGATGAGTGCTCCCCAAAATGGCCATGGCCATCCATGTCAGCACCCACTTTTCTCTTGTCAAAGCATTGTATGTGCTACCCCCAGCATGCCAGGAGGAAGAGACTCCAGGAAATTAAAAAATTAGGCATGTACTGCTTGTGAAGCATCAGATTTGGGGACTGTAGCAGTTGAGAAGGAAGGGAGAGGAAGCCACTCATACAAGATGGAAGACTGAGATGTTTCTGTTAAGCCTGAGGAGCCAGTGGTGGATGTCTTGGAACCATATGGGTCCCAAGACTGTAAGGATAAGTACATAGTAATGCACTTTAAAGCTGTTCTACGTGTCCTGGGGAAGATTGTAGTGAGATTCTTTCCAGCGAGCTGCCAGAAATGGGGTTTCTGCTGCAGCACTGTGCCAGGGGAGGGTATTAAAGTCCTACAGACATGGTATGTGAGACACTGAGGACACCAGCAAATGGCCCCTGTATTTTCTAGGGCTACCATAACAAAGCCCCACAACTGACAGGCTTAAGCAACAGAAACGTATTGTCTCACAGTTCTGGAGGCTGGAAGTTCAGGATCACGGTGTCAGCATGGCCCTGCTTCCTCTGAAGTGGGTGGGAAAGGCTCTTCTCCAGGGCCCTCTTCCAGCTCTGGCAGCTTCTTGGCTTGTGGCAGCATAACTCTGCTCTTCACATGGCATTTTCCCTGTGTGCGTGTCGGCGTCCAAATTTCTCCTTTTGATAAGGACACTCATCATACTGAATTTGGGGCCCAGCCCATTTCAATATGACTTCATCATAATGTGTGTATATAAGCAAGTATTAGTTATCCCTCAATCAACTGTTATACATTTGCATACAAATCAGTCCCACACGAATATCGACCACTACTGAAAATCCTTAACATTACATAGTACATTCATTCATTCACTAGACATAGCACATTTCAGTCAAATCCAACCTCATCAACATGGATATCCTCTTCCATATTTTGGTCTCTTAATCTACCAACCTCCGAGAAATCATCATCCCACTCAGGCGTGTTACCCTCCTCGCTCCGGGCCCATAACACTTGGGAGCATAATGACCTCATCATCTGTGATGACCTTATTTCCAGATAAGGCCACATTCTATGGTAATGGGAATTTGGACTTTGGTATGTGAATTTTGGAGGAAAAGGGACTCAATTAAATTCATAACACCCCTGTGTTCTCTGTATGCGATTTTTTTTTTTTTTTTTTTTTGAGATGGAGTCTCGTTCTGTCACCGAGACTGGAGTGCGGCGGTGCCATCTCGGCTCACTGCAAGCTCCGTCTCCCAGGTTCATGCCATTCTCTGGCCTCAGCCTCCTAAGTAGCTGGGACTACAGGCGCCCACCACCACACCTGGCTAAGTTTTTGTATTTTTGGTAGAGACAGGGTTTCACCGTGTTAGCCAGGATGGTCTCAATCTCTTGACCTCATGATCCACCCACCTTGGCCTCCCAAAGTGGGGATTTTCACAAATAAGAAATAGGCTAGGATGTGTGTGAGACCTAGTAAGGGCTTCCTAGCACGGGACCCAGATAGAGGCAGATTCACCACCGAGATCCCCAACCCTGCCTGTGTGGAGTGAGGGACTGCCCAAGTCAGACCAAGAGCTTGGAGGACCAGGAGAGAGGTCCCATTCCTGGTAAGAGGAACCTGGGCAGAGCCAAGCTAAGTAGGGCCAGTTTGCTCACCCTAAATTCACCCGTCACATCATCACTTCACCTCCCTTGGTGAGGGAGTGCTATGGTCTGAATGTTTGTGTCCCCACAAAATTCAAAGGTTGAAACTGTAATCCCCAAGGTGATGGTGTTAGGAGGTGCGGCTGTGTTAGTCCATTCTCACACTGCTGTGAAGAACTACCTGAGAGTGGGTAATTTATGAAGAAAAGAGGTTTAATTGACTCACAATTCCACAGGCTGTTCAGGAGGCATGGCTGGGGAGGCCTCAGGAAAGTTATAATCATGGCAGAAGGTGAAGGGGAAGCAAGCACGTCTTCACATGGCTGGCAGGAGTCAGGGGAAGTGCTACACACTTTTATAAACAACAAGATCTTGTGATAACTAATTCATTATTATGAGAACAGCAAAAGAGAAATCCACCCTTAGGATCCAATCACCTCCCACCAGGCCCCTCTTCCAACACTGGGGATTACAATTAGACATGAGATTTGGACAGAAACACAGACACACACCGTATTATTTCACCTTCTGCCCTTCCCAGATATCATGTTCTTCTCACATTTCAAAATACAATCATGCCTTCCCAACAGTCCTCCAAAGTCTTAACTCATTTGAGCATTAACTCAAAAGTCCAAAGTCTCATCTGAGACAATACCAGTAACTTCCACCTATGAGTCTGTAAAATCAAAAACAAGTTAGTTACTTCCAAGGTACAATGGGCATTACAGGCATTGGGTAAATACAACTGTTCCAAAAGGGAGAGATCAGCTAAAACAAAGGAGCCTCATGCAAGTCCAAAACCCAGCAGGGCAGTCATTAAATCTTAAAGCTCCAAAATAATCTTTGACTCCATATCTCACATCCAGGCCACACTGATGCAAGGGGTGGGTTCCCAAGGCCTTGGGCATCTCTGCCCGTGTTGCTCTGCATGGTACAGCCCCCTCGGCTGCCTTCACAGGTTGGCATTGAGTGATTGTGGCTTTTCTAGGTGCACGGTGCAAGCTGTTGGAGGGTATACCATTCTGGGGGTTGGATAATGGTGGGCCCTCTTCTCACAACTCCACTAGGCAGTGCCCCAGTGGGGACTTTCTGTGGGGGCTCCAACCCCACATTTCCCCTTCACCCTTCCCTAGTAGAATTTCTCAACGAGGGCCCCACCCCTGCAGCAGACTTCTACCTGGACATCCAGACATTTCCATACATTCTCTGAAATCTAGGTGGAGGCTCCCAAGCCTCAGCTCTTACCCTCTGAACACCCACAGGTTTAACATCACATGGAAACTGCCAAGGCTTATGGCTTGCACCCTTTGGAGCAGTGGCCTGAGATGTATCTAAGGCCTTTTAACTATGGCTGGAGCTGGAGTGGCTGGGATGCAGGGAGCAGTGTCTCGAGGTTAGGCAGGGCAGCAGAGCCCTGGACCTGGCAGCAGAACCAGTTTTTCCTTTTAGGCCTCCAGGCCTATGATGGGAGGGACTGCTGCAGAGGTCTCTGGAATGCCTTTGAGGCATTTTCCCCATTGTCTTGGCTGTTAACATTCAGCTCCCTTTTACTCATACAAATTTCTGCAGCCAGCTTTAAACCCTCCCAAGAAAATGGGTTTTTCTTTTCTACCACATGGCCAGGCTGCATTTTCCAAACTTTTACATTCTGCTTCCCATTTACATATAAGTTCCATTTCCAGGTCACTTTTTTACTCATGAATATAAACATAGGCTGTTAGAGGCAGCCAAGCCACATCTTGAACATTTTGCTGCTTAGAAATTTCTTTTACCAGATGCCATAAATCATCACTCTCAAGTTCAAAATTCCACATATCTCTAGGGCCTCCAACCTCTTTGCCAACACATAAAAAAAGTGACCTTTGCTCCAGTTCCCAATAGGTTCCTCATCTCCATCTGACACTACCTCAGCCTGGACTTCATTGTTCATATCACTCTGCATTTTGGTCACAATTTAACAAGTTTCTAGGGAGTTCCAAAATTTCCCTCATCTTCCTGTCTTCATCTGAGCCCTCCGCACTCTTCCAACCTCTGCCAGTTACCCAGTTCCAAAGTCGCTTACATATTTTCAGGAGTCTTTATAGCAGTGTCCCACTACTGGTACCAATTTTCTATATTAGTTTGTTGTCACACTGCTATAAAGAACTACCTGAGACTAGGTAATTTATGAAGAAGAGGTTTAATTGACTCACAGTTCCACAGGCTGTACAGGAGTCATGGTTGGTGAGGCCTCAGGGAACTTATAATCATGGCGGAAGGTGAAGGGGAAGTAAGTAGGTCCTCACATGGATGGCAGGAGTTTGGGGGGTGGGGGAGAAGTGCTACACACTTTTATAAAACAGTCAGATCTTGTGGGAACTCACTCACTAGTACAAAAACAGCAAGGGGGAAATCCAACCCCATAATCCAATCACCTCCCACCAGGTCCCTCTTCCAACACTGGTGATTACAATTGTCCCTCTTCCAACACTGATGATTACAATCAGACATGAGATTTGGGTGGGAACACAGACGTAAACCGTATCAGAGGCCTTTGAGAGGTGATTAGGTCATGAGGGTGGAACCTGCATGAATGGGATAAGTGCCCTTATTAAAGGGACCCCAGAAAGTTCCCTCACCCTTTCCACCATGTGAGAACACAGCAAGAAGTTGCCACCTCTGAACCAGGAAGCAGGCCCTCCACAGACACCAAATCTGTCAGGGCCTTGATCTTGGACTTCCCAGCCTCCAGAACTGTGAGAAACACATGTCTGTTGTTAATCAGTCTATGACATTCTGTTACAGCAGCCCAAACGGACTGAGATGGGGAGTGAAGGGCTGGAAAGAAGCTAATAAGGTACTTAGGACTAATCCTTCTGGTATGGTTTGGATCTGTGTCTTCCCCCAAATCTCATGTCAAATGGTAATCTCCAGTGTTGGAGGTGGGGCCTGGTGGGAGTTGATGAGAGCCTGGGGGTGTTCTCATGAATGACTGAGTTCTTGTGAGCTCTGGTTGTTTAAATGCAGGTAGCACCTACCCCCGTCTCTCTTCCTCCTGCTCCATCCATGTGACTTGTCTGCCTCCCCTTCGCCTTTCACCATGATTGTACATTTTCTGAGGCCTCTCCAGAAACCAAGGAGGTGCCACTATGCCTGCTGCACAGCCTGTAGAACCATGAGCCACCAGTTAAACCCCTTTTCTTTATAAATTACCTAGACTCAGGTATCCTTTTATAGCAATGCGAGAACAAACTAATGCACCCTCCTCGTGGAAATTGAAAGTGAAGGACAATCCTTCCCTCCTATATTGCTGCTAACACTAGGTCCGATTCCAGCTCGGCCTGGTAAGAATAATCTTAATTATGCACTGTTCCCAGGACAGTATTTGATACTGATCTGGAGAAACATGTGACCTAGCCCCTGTCTTCATGAGGCACACCTGTCTGGAAAAGAGCCCCATATGATGGAATGAGTTAGGAGCAGAGTAGAGGAAGCAGTGGTCTTGCCACCCCATGACCCAGGGTGGAGGCAGTGCCATCCGTGGGCAGCTGCCTATTCTTAGTTCATTTTACTTGTCGGAGCTTCATTGCCCTCAAGAGAGAATGGCTTAAAGAAATAGGAAGACAATGGGGCTCAGAGTGAAACCTACCTGGGGCTTGAATTCTGGCTGCAGGAGCTTGGGTGAGACAGTCACTTTCTCAACTGTTTACACCACGGATGGGATGACTAGACAATGTTCAGACAGGCCCTGCCCCAGCGAACTCCTCCATCTATTGAGATTGTTCTGCCCCCAAAAAGATGGCCTCTGCTTGGCTTTCATGAAGTCTCACCTGAGTGCATCTCATCAGCAGAATCGAAATCTCGGCCAGAACCCTTGCTGCAAGAGAGTTAGAAAATGCATTTTCCCCCTTCTGGCTCTTGTGATACAGGAGGTAGCAAAGAAAGGAGTGGGAGAGGATGCTAAGTGTGAGAATCTAGTGTCCAGCATGGTGCCTCCTGGAGTCATTGCAAGGAGTAGATCATAGTAGGGAAAGCGTTGCAAAAACTTCTCCAAAGTGTTACTAATTGTGATTAATATGATTCATAAAATCACATGCTCAATACTGTGAGATAGAAAGGAAGTGTATTAGTCAGGGAGCCTTGGCTCTGCAGCACTAATGAACGTCAGAAGCTACTGGCTTGACATTAAGAATCATGGACATAGAGAAATGGTGGAATAACACTAAAAATTTCTGAGCTCTCTCAAAAGCCTTGGACTGCATGCTTTCCATGCAGCATCAGCTCAAACTGGGGGCACATGCCTGGCAGGCTTTATGGAATCACAGGGCATGGGGGCACCAGAATTAGCTGGGGATGGAAGTGTCCTTCCCAAATCTCAGCGAAAGAGCTCAGTAAAGCCCAGAAATGTTGCATTTCTTGTCACTGGTTGTTGTTTTCCACTCTTCACCTGTGCATGGGGGCAGCCTGGAGCAGACAGATGATTTTTTAAGGCCCTGCATTCCTACCCCACGACCAAGGTACAGAAGGAAGCCAAATTAAATGGAACAGAAAAAAAATCAAAGGCTCATTTTATTCTTTATCAGGCAAAGACATGTGCTGAAAACATAGTCTTCCTACTGTCATAAGCCAAAAGAAGCTTGGATAAGCTAGTGCCATGGAATTTGATTGGGCTTCTTTTTTCCTTTTACCATTGTCCTGTGATAAGTTTGCTGTGATCTCCATGAAGATAAATGAGAAGAAAAGAATAGTTCTGTGTGGTGCCCAGAGTGTTTGATCCTGTGTTGAACAGTGGCAGCCAATGTTACAATCAGCGCCCACGGCTCCAAAGTGCAATTATTATTAGCAGAGAGCCAGGGTTGCTGGAAACGGCTGGAGCCTACCAGGGGAGGGAGCTGAAGGGCCCACAGCCCTGATTCTCATCTCTTTTGGGCTTCAGCTGCTTCTTTGAAGCAGCACCACTTTAACCTCTGGCTTAGGCATAATTTGGGTCCTGTAAACCAGCTGAGATGGGGAGAGATGTTCACCTGAGATTTATTCCGAATTCAAGAATGATGAAAGTGAAACCAGCCAGAGAATACTTGAAAGCAGATGACCGTGTGTAGTTTCCCTTTCATCCTAACTCTTGGTCTTCCTTCCTCTAGAGGGAGCAATATTTGCACCCACTCCCAGGAATTTCTAGGGAAGCATGGCACCCATAAAAGTGTTCATAAAAAGAGCAAGGCCTGCCCCTACAAGCAGACGTCCTCTTCTCCCAGGCTGTGGTCTTGGAGGTCCCAGTAAGACTGCTATACCAGGCTACAGCCAGGCTCGAATTCCTTTGATAAACACCACGTGGGGTTATTCCATCAGGTTGCTGCAGTATTAAAAATCAAGAGTTAAAATGGAATGTTGTCAATACTCCTCTGACTATTATGATATCCCTACAAACAATAAGGAATGAAGAAAGGTGATAGGATTTGACTGCTCAAAGGTCTCTTTCATTTCTGGGTAGTTTATAAATAATAGAAGTTTATTTCACACAGTTCTGGGGGCTTGGAAGTCCAAGATCGTGGGCAGATTCAGTGTCTGGTGAGGGCTGCTCTCTGCTTCCAAGTTGATATCTTGTAGTTGCGTCCTCTCATGGCAGAAGATGGAAGATCAAAACGGTGAATGCAGTGTGAGGCCTGTTTCATGAGGTGAATAATCCAGTCACCTCCTAAAGGCCCCATCTCTTTTTTTTTTTTTTTGAGATGGTGTCTCACTCTGTCACCCAGGCTGGAGTGCAGTGGTGCTATCTCAGCTCACTGCAAGCTCCGTTTCCTGGGTTCATGCCATTCTTCTGCCCCAGCTTCCCAAGTAACTGGGACTACAGGTGCCCGCCACCATGCCCAGCTAATTTTTTGTATTTTTAGTAGAGATGGGGTTTCACTGTGTTAGCCAGGATGGTCTCAATCTCCTGACCTCGTGATCTGCCCACCTCGGCCTCCCAAAGTGCTGGGATTACAGGCGTGAGCCACTGTGCCCGGCCAGGGCCCCATCTCTTAATGTAGTTGGTCCTCTGTATCCATGGGTTCAGTTCAACCAGCCGTGGATAAAAAGTGGTCAAAAATGATTTCGTAGCAGACAAAAAGTAACAATGAAACAATAAAAAATAATACAAATACAAACAATATATACAACTAAAAATAGCTACTTGCATAGCCTTTCCATTGTATTAGGCATTATAATTAATCTAGAGATGATTTAAAGTGTGTGGGAGGTTGTATGCAGGTTAAATGAAGTACTAAGACATTTTATATAAAAGGCTTGACTGTCCATAGATTATAGTATTCCTGTGGTGTCCTGGAACCAGTTCCCCATGTGAATACTGAGGCATGGCTGTAACTTATTTGATTAAGTTTCAACATATGAATTTTGACAAATACATTTGAACCATAGGAGCCTCCACCAAGAACCCAACCATGCTGGCACCCTGATCTCAGACTACTGGACTTTGCAACTGTGGGAAAGAAATGGCTGTTGTTTAACTCACCCAGTTAAGAGCATTTTGTTGTAGCAGCCCAAACTGACTAAGACATAGAGATACCACTCTCTGTGGTAGTGCATTTCCTGGTAGTGGAAGTATGAGCGCAAAAACTAGAGTAGAAAAAGCTAGTCTATCAATCGTGTAAGTCCTGGGGTCAGTTTTGAAGAATTAGTGAAAATCTACCAAGAAGTCAAGAGGGAAGAACATTCCAAGGGGTGTCAAAGGGTTGGAAATGAGATGAATTTCCATGTGTTCAAAGAAAGAAGAGATGCATGTCTGGAGTACAGGATACGTAAACAGGCCTGGGAGCACGGTTATTGATTATCGATACTCCATTAGCATTTGTATTAATGGGTCATACACAATGTCCTGATCTCCTTCTCTTTGATTTTTGGATGTTTTCAGTTTATGGAAAGTAAACCAGTTCGTATTTTCACATTCTATAGTAAACTTTCATTCTCCTGAGAAGGAACTCATAGGAAATCTTGTTGGGCACTAATTTTCACTTTCCTACATCTTCGGTTGCCCATTAGATGAGGCCCACTGGGAAGTCACAGCTCATCAGTTAGCATAGCCAGGGGAAAGCAGAAGTGGAATCCTGCTGTCTGTCGTGCAGGGTGTTGCCCACTGTACCTGAATTCCTGGGTGGAAGCAGCATGTCTGTTCCAGAGCAACCCTGAAGGCCAGGAGGTAACGAGATCAGGACTGTTTGACCCAGCTCTGTAGGAGGAGAGTGGGACGGGGAAAGCTCCACTCTGGCTTCTGCATATATCAGCCTTGAGACCTTGGCCCCAACACTAGTGACTGGAACCTCAGGTTATTATTCTGTAAAGACAAGGTTAGTAATACCCTCCTCTCAGTAGCACTTGAAGGATTAAGATGAGATTTGACACCTATTCTGCACCAGTTATTAACCCTAAATAACAGTGGCTTAAAGGAGCCAGGGGTTGCATTTTCCCCCTCTTTATGAGTTTCCCTGCTTTGGTCCTTGCCCCTGTAATCCATTCACAGCAGCTGAAAGAGTATTCAAAATTGAGTCCGATCATATCAAAACCCTCTCACTTGGAGTAAAGCCACCATCCTGTCTCAGCCCAGAAGGTCTGACACATTTTTCCCTTCCCTTCCTGAGCTCCTTTCCTACTCCTTCCCTTTTTCTCCCTGGCATCTTTGCTGGTTCCCCACACAGCCCTTGTGCTGACATTCCCCTCTGTCAGCTGCCCTCTTCCTCCAGAAACCCTGTTGACAGCTTGCTTTCCTCTTCTTCAGATCTTTGCTCAAATGTCATGTTCTCAGTTCCTAACCATCCTGTTAAGCCCTATAACTACCCCACAAGGCCCTATTAATATTATCCCCTTCTTACAGTTGAGGAATCTGAGGCTTTCAGAGCTTAAATAACCTGTCTAAGTCACATAGTCAGTAAGGGTCTGCATCAGTTGGGATACTAGCAGTAGCAAGGAACAAAGAGCCCAACTTAAACAGTCCTAGATAGTAAAGGGTATTTTTTAGCTGAAGTTCAGTGGAATCAGGCTTCAGGCAGGCTTTGATCAGGCTCTGGCACCATTTCTCTGCTATACTTGAAGCTCTGCCTTCTCCATGGACAGCCTACATCTTTATGCTGTTTTTCCTTGTGGTCGCAAATAGCTTCTGCAGTTCTAGGGAATCATATCCATGCATGACACTGTCCAAAGACAAAGGATATCATTTTGGGTAGCTCCTGAAAATTGGAAAATTATAAGAGAAACAACACTTAAAACAAAATTAACATTATTTGCATTTTTAAAACTTCTTTATAGCAAAAGGCACTATAAACAAAGTCAAAACACAAACAATAGGCTAGGAGAAAATATTTGCAATACACATAGCAGAGAAAAGGGCAAATGTATCTTGAAGACAAGGAGCTCCCAGTGAAAACTGACCAAGGGTCTGAGAGGCTGATCACATGGGAAACGGGCAGCCTCCTCTGCAGCGAGGTAACATTTCTCACCATATAACTTGCAAAACAAAACCACTGATAACAACTAGTGCTGGCAAAGTGCAGAGAAATACACATGCTCATATTCTGTTTATAGTGCCATCAATTATAACTTTTTGGAACATAATATGCGTACCCTTGGTCCCAGCAATCCCACTTCTGGGGATTTACTCAAAATAAAAGTACTAACATGTAAAGATATATTCAGGAATTCTTGTCACATATTCTATAGTAACAAGACAAACAATTAAGCAAGCAAAATTGGAAACAACCTGAATACCCATAATAGGGAATTGCTGAATAAATGATACATTGTATGATACAGACATCCTATGGAATACTGTGTAACTATAGGTCCATGGCTTCTTATCTGAAACCCTTGGGGCAGATATGTTTTCATAATTTAGAATTTTTTTCAGATGTAAAAATTCATTTATATTAAATAACATATATGATAATAATATAAAATAACGTGTTTAACACAATATGTAATAATATCTTAAATAATATATTTTTATACTATGTAATACTCCATACAGGTTTGGAGGAACACCTTGTAATCAAATACATTAATATTTCTACCGCAAAACGTGGATATTCATCCAAAATGGAATAAATAAAACTAAAAAAGAATGTTTCGGGTCAAATCTTACCACCAAAATAATTGTGGAAAAAATTGGACTTAGAATGGAGGATAAAGGATTGTGGATGTCATAGATAGACCTATGTATACTAGCTTGGGGGACATTGGGGAGCACTGTGGGTATATATTCTTAGGCACACTCCATGATACATGGCTAAATTCAAAAGTAATTTTTAGAGTGACCCATGCAGTATGATCTCATTTGGTTTGCAAGAACAAACCAAAGCCCCCATATATATGGATATACATTTGCATAAGCAAAGAGAAATCATATATACATTTGCATAAGCAAAGAGAAATCATGGAGGAGCCAGATGAATTGTGTGATTGATTACATGGGGGTGGGAGAGACATTGAGGGGCTTAAAGGGGTAACCCAAAAACATGTCTGTATTCTTTCACTTATTTTAATGAGCTGGCATCACTTTCATAATGAAAATACCAAACTTTTGAAAGAGGGAGAAGGCGCAAGAAAACCAAACAAAAACCATATTTGAAGGCTTCATAGTCCTCTTCCAATGCTGACATGTGTCACTCTGTTTGGAACTGTGTGGGTGTGGGGTACAGCAGTGACTACAACATACACTCACCTTCACATGCCTCAAAGTGCAAAACAGTAATGAGTTTGCTTTCTTGTTGGTATTAGAAATAAGGGAATAGGAGGGTGCAGGAGATAGATTTGTCCTGGCTGGAGAAGATGGGTTTTGAGCCACTCCTCGGCAGGATAATAATGCTAAAAGCAAACACTTATGAGAAGCTTCTCTACTTTCTGCATGTCACCATCACTCTAACCGTTTCATGTGTATAAACTCCCTGATTTCTGCGACAGCCTTCTGAGATGGGTATTTTATTATCATCATCCCATTTTATAGGTGAGGAAACTGAAGCCCAGGGAGATTAAATTATTTGCCCAAGGTTATACAGCTACTCCCAACAAAGCTGAGGCCCAAACCAAGGCAGTCTGGCTCAGAGTGTGTGCACCCAACTACTACTACACACTGCCACTTTTCAGACAGGACCATGGATGGTTGAATAGAGACATACTCATCGCAGCCACAGGGAGGGGCCTGAGGAAGCCCCAGAGGCTAAAGTAGCCTGGGTATGTTCTAGGAATGTTGCCTAGGTAGGAATACTGTGCATCCCAGCAAAGACCTGGTTGGGTGACTTCAGCTTCATCCACAAGTATCTGAAGAGTATTATGGATCCTCACTGAATAAATACCTTGCTGCTGCATCTCACCTAGGATCACTGGACAGATAGTTGGCTGAGCAGCTTGCTCACATGTCAGTGCTGGCAGTTGAGTCTGAGATTAGAGGGTGGTATGTTAAACTGCTGGTGCTTTTTTTGTCCACTGTAGCCGATCACATCAGGCATGCCCCTCCCATATGTAGTCCCATGGGCTTCTCAGCATGCCTCAATGCACCTGCTCCAGAATGTGTTTTCCCATCTCTTGGTGATGCCTTCCAAGTCCCTCAAAGTCAATTTTGCATGTGCCACCCATCTATGCATTTAAGTCCCACATGCCAAATGCCACTCTTAGGTTTGGTGAAAATCCAGCCAGCCATTTTCACATGATGTGATGACAGACAAATAGAGAGAAATGTAATTGCAGTTATAACTATTATCCAAGGCTTTCTGAGCTGGAGTCTTATATGTACCAAATTCCCCAAAAAGCAAGTACTGACCAAAATTTCCCAAAAAACAAGTACTGACCATTTGGGTGTTTCCTTCCTCCCTGTCCCCTTCCTTCCTTCTCTTCTGTTTCCCTCTTTTATCTGCACATCACTTAGTTTCCTTCCCTTCTTCTCTTTCCCTTTTCCTTCCTTGTCATGTTTCTTGAACACCTACTTTGTAGGTGCACCCAGCCTATCCATGCCCATCTGCTGCCATCACTTCATCCTGGATGGAAGGTGGTCTCAACACCACAGCCTTCTCCCTACTAAATTCCTCAATTACAGTACTAAGGTCTCCAATGACCATAGCGGACAAACAGCAGAACAAACAGTGTCCTCTGGGTGGGAGAATCCTCTTCACCTACCCCCGCCCCAGCCATAGCCCACCTACAGTTTTCCTGAGAGAAGGCGTCTGGAGTGACCTGTCTCAGTTATTTCTAGGAGCTTTAATTCTCCACATCAGTGTCTCCAAACTTTTAATTCATAAAAAATGTATCCTGCCCCTCAATATATTTATGTAAAAATAATATGCATAAGTTACCAAATGAATTTACATTCTGAAACATGCACACAAAATAAACATTTTTAAAGTATCAGATACGATAGTATTATAAATAGAAGTTCTAATGTTTTCTTCACGGTATCTCACCTTGCAAACCACAGCTTTAAATAACCCAGCTGCCTGCAGCCCACGCTAACTGGAGTTTCTGTTTCTGTATTTGCAGGACATGTTCACATTACAGACTTCAACATAGCGACGGTAGTGAAAGGAGCAGAAAGGGCTTCCTCCATGGCTGGCACCAAGCCCTACATGGGTGAGTGTTCCAGGCCCCTTCTTTTCATGTGATCGGGCTCACTGCCTAAGACTCAGCATCCTTCTCTTGTTTCATCTGCCACTGCCCGCTGCCACATACCCTCCCATGCTCACATGAGGTTCCACAGTTCCCAGTAGATACAATGCTCCCTCGAAGCTCTGGACCTTTTCCAAGCTGTCTCCTCTGCTAGACAACCCCTCTCCTCTTGGTTTTCTAGAGAACTCCTGCTCAGCCAGAGAGCCATGGCTCAGGCTTGAGAGGGTGGCAAACAAAACAAGTATTTTCTTTTCCATTTATGTTCAGTATTTTCCAGAATTTAACTTGGTGGTGGTCATTCTAGGTCTACATTCTTAGGCACACAGTGTTCTTTCAATGTGTAGTTTTAAATGGTTTTTTAAGGAATTTTTATGGGATTATTGTTTTTAGTTTGCATTCTGTTCTCTTGTTTTTATCTTCTTGGTTATGGATGCCTCTTATCTGAATGCTGGATCTTCTTTGCCAATCTTCAGCATTTGTCAGTGTCCCTCAAATCTTTATTACCTCTTCCTTCATTTCTTTAAAAATGTTCTCATTGTTATATTTCTCTTCTCCCAAGGCATTATCTATTGTGTTTATTTGTTTTGTGTGTTTTCTACTGAAGTCTTCATTTCTGAAATCATTTTCCCTTTATTTCTTTCTCCCTAAGTTCTCCCACCTGATTTCTGAGTTTTTTATTCTAATTAATGTTGTTTTTCAGGTCTTATATAATTTTGTTAATATCTTTATTACGTGTTAATTCTGAATGTCTATATTGTTATCAATTACTGTGTAACAAACTGTGTCAAAACATAGTGGTTTAAGACAATCACAACGTTATTTCTCACAATTCTTTTGGTTGACCAAGTGGTTTTTCCTCAGGTTTGGCTGGGCTCACTCATGAAGACGCATTCAACTGGTAGGTCAGCTGGGAGCTAGGTTCAGCTAGGACAGCTGAGATGAACATATCATTCTTTCTCTATGTGGTCTTTCATCATCAAAGTGGCTAGAGTGAGCTTCCTCACATGCAGTTTCAAGATGGTAGAGCCAGTTCTCCCATGCTTCTCAGGACTCTGCCTGCTTCACATTTCCTGGTGTTCTGTTGGCCAAGGCAAGTCACATAGCCAACCACGTGGAAGGGAACTGCATGGAGCATGGCTATCAGAAGGCTGATGCACTGGGGAACCATTAATGAAACAACCCATCACTGTGTCTTTTAACTCTTTTGAAACGTAGGCTATAGTTTCATTCTGTTTTATCAGCACATCTTTCTGTGTGTTTTTATTGCAATGATGTTATTCTGCTCTTCATTCTCCTTTTACTTATAATAACTTGGTATGGAATTTGACTTTGATACTTTTCTGTTGCTCTTTTGTTTCAGTAATTGTTGATGATTATTAATATATCATATGCATGAGTTTTATGCCTAGATAATCCCCATTTACCATTGCAAATGATATAAGAAATACATGTTTAAGGCTAGAAAATGTAATCAGTGCTGCACAAAGGTGCACAAACATTTAAAGCCCATATTTCTCCATACCTTTCTTCCAATGGTTACTGCTATTAATGTTTTTCTTTTATTTTCCTTTTTCAAATGGAAGAAGGAGGCCTTAGGAAGCATAGAATCTGATAACTGGATGAAGCATTTATAGGCGGTACCTAACCAGAGGTACAACTTTTGCCGCAGAAAACTAACCACTGGGATGAGGAGTCCACCATCTTGGCTGAACTCTCTGCTGCTGTCTGTCATTCAGCAGTGAAAATGCCCTGTTCCCAGTTTGGCCTCACTTAACTCTGGCCAGGTTGTGCCTTATAAGGCACTGTATATTGAATTAAACAACCAAAATCTTTCTTCCCTGACCGCATAAACAGTGCCTAAAACCGCCTGGAGGAGTTAGAGTTGCACATGGGTATTGCAGTGGGGGAGGAGGCTTAGTTTGGACATGGTGGAGGGTTTGAATTCCACATGGCCTGAGGAAGAAGAGACCTCCCTGAGCCCTTGGCAAAGCCTAAATTCCAATCTATCTTCATGAACACTAGGTTTTTGGGGATCGGCTATAACTTTCTTATTGTCTTCCTTACAGATATAAAAAGAAATGACTATTTCCCTGGAAGGATAAATTCCACCTTTAGACTTGAGATCAAAATAGAGCCAGCTGAGGGGCCTCCAGCAAGAGAGAGGGGTAGAAATTGCTCATTTTATGTGAACTTTGTTTTTCTAAACTTTTAGAAGATGGTGTGGTTCAGGATAGCGTTCCTAACTTAACAGACCTATCTGTTGTATTGTTTGGTGAAGTGTCAAAATCTAAGGCAGCTTGCTATCCAGGTTTCCTGGCTTTGTTCTCCTCTCCCATTTTTATCTGGAGTTCTTCTTTCCTTTGTCTGTAGGGTCTCTGTCCTGAGGCAGTTTGGTTCTACTTCACACAGTTTTTCCTTGGGGCTTTTTCCTGGAAGGAGTTGTGGCTGGGTGGATTATAGACTTTTGATGTCCCAGACTCTTCAGTCTCCTTCAGAATTTATCAAGAGCCCTTTCAATGCCCCTGATACTAGACTGTACAAACTCCTACCAGCTTCAGCCGCTGTTCTCAAAGTCGTTGTCTGTGTTTCCCAGTGAATACCTGCTGAGTATTTTGGAGTTCTTTGTTTTCTGGTCCATAGAATGCTGCTTTGTTGCTTCTCTTGGTTTCTTTCCGTGTAGAAATCACTACCATGCGCTTCTTGTCACTGTTGTGTTTTGCTGCTACCCACCTGTATTTTGAGGGTTGTAAGGAGAACTTATTTTTGTAGCAAATGCATCCATGAGTTTTTGGTTTAGTGATCTATTTGCTCTGTTTTATATGCAGATTTGGGGAGATTCAAAATCTATACCATCATATCCCTAGAATCCACTACTCATGTCATTAATCTTTGATTTATTAAATAAATAGAATAAATGAAGTTTGACTATAAATACCTGCAATGGTATAAATAATAGGCAACTTGTTTTTGGGTATTTACTATATGTCAGGTACCGAGCTAAGTGCTTTCCACCTATAATTTCATTTAACATGAAGACAGGCACATTAACTATAACCTATAACTTCTTTTAATGCCCTCGAACATGAAATAGACACAAGTATTTCTTTCCATTTTAGAGTTAAGGAAATGGAGGCTTAGGAGGTTGGGTGACTTCCCCATGTTGACATTGTTGGCAAGAGTCAGACCCAGGTCAATGTGACTCCAAAACCCAAGCTCTGAAGTACATCTCAACCTGGACTCCCATGACAGCAACTCCTTTTTAGCAAAAATACCAGCAGATATCCATATAAGTGAATTCATTCACTTATAAGTAGTCTTCATGGGAGCCTGAACACTTACTCCAACAAGGCTTTTTTTGTTGACGACCTTTCTGAGATCGCTTTCTGGAAGGACCTGGAGCTGGGGCAAGTCTGACCAAAGAGGTCACTGCCTTGAGATTCAAGAGAGATCAACTGGGCGAGATTCAGCAACTGATGGGATGGAGAATGGGGGCAACGGCAACTTCTCGGGTCTCTGGATTGTGCAGCAGAGTGGTGCTCACTCTGTAGGGGACCCAGCAAGAGCAGTAGGTTTGTGAAGTGGCATGATGCAGACTGGACATGTGGATGGAGAACCTGCCAGCACTGAGATGCAGCACAGCCATGGAAGTGGACAGGATCCCCCAAGGAGGATGCAGGAAGGCAGAGAACCGATTCTGAGGCTCAAGAATGCTGTGCTGGAAGGGGCACGTGGAGGCTGAGGGGGACATCCCACAGGGGAGTGCTGAGAAGAGAGATGCCAGGTAAGGGCAGCAGCTCCCATTAGAAGCCTCCTCTGTATTCCTACCGATTCGTTCTGACTGCTTTCATGCTGTTTCCGAAAAGCAAATTGATGTCAAGGAGTGTAGATCCTGGACCACTGGAGAAGTTCGAGACAGTTTTTTTGTTTTGTTTTGTTTTGTTTTTTTAAGACAGAGTTTCACTCTTGTCACCCAAGCTAGAGTATAATGGCATGATCTTGGCTCACTGCAACCTCTGCCTCCCAGGTTCAGGCGATTCTCCTGCCTCAGCCTCCCAAGTAGCTGGGATTACAGGCACATGCCACCATGCCTGGCTAATTTTTGTATCTTGTTTTTGTTTTTGTTTTTGTTTTTGTTTTGAGACAGAGTCTTGCTCTGTTGCCCAGCCTGGAGTGCAGTGGCGTGATCTCTGCTCACTGCAAACTCCACCTCCTGGGTTCATGCCATTCTCCTGCCTTAGCCTCCCAAGTAGCTGGGACTACAGGCACCCGCCACCACGCCTGGCTATTTTTTTTGTATTTTTAGTAGAGACGGGGTTTCACTGTGTTAGCCAGGATGGTCTCAATCTCCTGACCTCGTGATCCACCAGCCTCGGCCTCCCAAAGTGCTGGGATTACAGGCATGAGCCACCATGCCTGGCTAATTTTTGCATTTTTAGTAGAGACAAGGTTTTACCACGTTGGCCAGGCTGGTCTTGAACTCCTGACATCAGGTGATCCATCTGCCTCAGCCTCCCAAAGTGCTGGGACTGCAGGCATGAGCCACCACACCTGGCCAAGTTCAAGGCAGTTTTCTACCAGCCCTGATGTCTCTGCCTGCATGTGGCACCATGCCTAACAGACTCACTCGAGCCTCCTCAAAGGCTCTACTGGGGCTTCCTGACCTTGCTCCTGCCTCACACTGTCTGAGGCAGCCCAGTCCAGGTTCTTGGTCTCCAGGAAAGCAGAGCCATGGGGACCCAGCTGGGCACTCTCCTCCATGGCCCTGCTTTCAAAAGGGAGAAGAAATCTGACCTGTATTGGGACCTCGCTACCTGCCTGTCTTCACATTTAATCCTCAGAAGATTCACATGACGTTTCTACATCTCTTATTTTATGTGTGAGGAACCAGAGGTCTGGAGAGGTTAATTAACCTGCCCAGGGCCACACAGCTGGTCAGTGAAGGAGCCAGAATTTGAAGCCAAGTCTATTTTGATCTGAAGTCTATGCTTTTGCTACTACACCAAGCTGCCTTTTTGACACTGAGCTCCTGAATTATAAAGACGACTTTCTCAGCCAAGAAATAAGTTCATTGTCCCAGCTGTATGTGAGAGTCGGGGTTACTGATGGAAAAAGCTTTTCCAATTAGAAAAGCTTCAGGCCTGACTTAATGGCCAAATGTACAGAAGAGATTTTTATAGGCTTTAGAGGACACAGCTGATTTTCCTAATGGTTGTATTTTCAGACACTGTAGTTGGGGAATAGTACCAGGCAGTGGGAGTTTAGTGGGGAAGGTGGAGTTAAGGGAGAGCTCTCTCAATAAAGTCAAATCTTGCAGCTCCTGGGGCTGTAAATTCCTAATGCCAAGTGGCAGGTTTGTTTATTTCACTCACTTGAGCTGTTCAGTTCAAAGGCCCAGTAACAAGTTCCCAGAATGTTCCCAACACAGATTCAGAAAATGGGCTGATGAGTAAGCTCCCAGAGGTAACTCACAAAAGATGATCCCGGAAGAAAAATTTGCATAGGGCTGAATTTTCATTAATTGAAAGAGCAGATGGAATTTGCAATTGGAGAAAAAAAAAGATCTCTCTAAAATGTGCCAGATTAGAAGTCAGAATGTTCCAGCAGCCACGTGGGGCTTCAGAGTTTATTAATTTGAGGTGAAATGAAGAGCAAGGCATTGATTCAGTAAACATTTACTGAGTGTTTAGGAGGTACAGGGCTTAGTTAGGCACTGGGGCTGCAGAGCGGGGTACTGCTCTCCCAGTCCTCACACAGATTGTATGAACATAGTTGTACACAGGGCACAGTCAAGGAGGACGATGGTGTGGCTATTGGAAGGAGGTGCTTCTGGCATGAAGAGGGGGAGATGAGATCTTTTTGGACAGTTTTAAGACAGTTTCCTGGAGAAGGTGACAATCTGAATTAGACTTTAAGGATGTGCTCTGCTGGGTAACGATAGAGAGAGGGCATTTAGGCAGACGGAACAACCCATACAAAGGCATTGGGGAGTGAAGCACCATTGTGTGAAGGGAGAACTTGGCAGCTCCATTGTTTTGCAGCTTCTGGGACAAGAGGAGGTGGGGAGGGAGAGAGCAGACAGGGCAAAGCACAGGAGTCTTGAATGCTGTGGTGAGAGCCTAGGGAACCAGTGGAAGGTTCAGTGCTGGAGACCACTATGATCAGACTCATAGGATTAGGGCCTCAAGGGTGGTGACCTTGGAGAAACCGATGAGTAACAGGAAAGCATTAGGGGTCAGGCTCAAGGGGGATGGTCCAGGTGAAGTGTGGGCTTCAGCATGAGGCAGCTGGGTGTCTTCCACTCAGTGGCTGAGTGAACCTGGGTGATTCTCATTACCAGACATGGTGCACATAAAGCACTTACCATGATGAACACTCAGGAAATGTTGGCCACTGAGCCACAGGACCTCTCAGAATCCTCGTCTGAGAAATGGGATTAATGGTTTATGCAGTCAGCCTCAGGAGGTTGCTTTGAGGATTTATTGACATTAATTATAGAAGGCATATAGCATAATGCCTGATGAAAGGTAACTACTCACAACCAGTAGCCAATATTAATGTGGTTGTTCTGATTGCTAATAGTTCGATAATTATTTAGTGTATGCTAAATACTGGGAACACAGAGCCAAATCCAACATTCCCCTGCCTTATGGAGCTCACACTCTAGTTGCAGAAACAGACTAACGAAATCCCAGTTCACTGCAGGGGCTGGGTTGGCCAGGGGATGGTGGGTGCACTAGGGAGATGATGGGGCTGTTGCATTGTCAGTGCTCACCAAATGTCAGTTCCCTTCCCCCAGGACACTGCAGTGAGTCCAGAGGGGTGGTGGTGGTGATGGAAGCAGAGGCCTGTCTGCAGTGCAGGAGGCGCAGCCAGGGCTCCATGCTCCACAGAGCCAATAGGAGCCAGGAGCAGGTGGAAGCCCCGCCGCCCCCTTGTGAGTTGGAGAGGCGGGATTCCTGCCCTCCTGGGTGCAGCTGTAGATACTCAGCTGCAGCTGCAGACCTGGGCATCCCTGTGCTCTCAGGGAAACCCCACTCCCCCCGTAGGCTCAGGGGCACCTGTTCCTGCTGCCTGGACTCGCCCTGCTCCTGGTACCCACTCTGATTTCAGAGTGGGGTTGTGGCCAAGCCTGGGTACATACCAGCCAGGTATGCACATGCTCAGGGCAGCACTGACATGCCAGCCCCCTGCTACCTTGGCCCCCTTTGGACATTGGGCACCAACAAGCATGAGAGAGAGGCTGAAGGGGTGCTGAGGGTGGCTCAGAATTGGCCTGCAGGAGCCCATCAGCACAAACAGCCTGGCCCCCATGAACAGTGGCAGGAGGCAGACAGGCTACTAGGTGGAAATGAGTGGGTCCCCATGAAGCCCCACTTTCAAGCCAGGGATGGTCTGAAGCCTGGGGGCTGGGTCACCAGTTCCACTGACCGGAGTGAGAACTTGTGATGCTTTTTCCAGGCCCACCCATGGCCACCCATGGACTAATCAGCACATACTTCCTCCCCTCTGAAGCCCATAAAAACCCCAAACTGAGCCAGACTGGGGCAGATGTTGGGAAAACCTGCCTGCGGAGAGGAGCTACCTGCTGTGGGTCTCCACCCAGCTGAGAGCTGAACAGACATCTGCACAATCTGCCCGTGGAAAGGAGCTACCCACTTCAGGTCTCCTGAGAGCTGTACTGTAGCTCAATAAAGCACCTCTTTGCGTTGCTTACCCTCCAGTTGTCCATGTACCTCATTCTTCCTGGACACAGGACAAGAACTTGGGACCTGCTGAATGGTGGGAGTGAAAGAGCTGTAACACAAACAGGGCTGAAATATGCCCCCTGCTCACCACGTTGTGAACACAAGAAGGAGAGAAGGGAGAAGGAGAGAAGAGCTGTAGCCCTACAGGGAGCCCAGACTTAGGAGCTCCCCAAGCCAGGGCTGTGATGCCCTCTTTGGGGCTCTGCATTTCCTGGCATCTCCAAGCTTCTGGGCACCACCAAGTTCCCCAGTGGCCACAGTGGAAGCCACTTGCGGTATGCCTGGTCCAGACGCAGCCTTGGAGGGAGCCGGCGCTCGTGCCAGTGCCTGGAGCTGTTCACCCCGCCACAGCCAGGATGCCTAGCTGTGTGCAGTGGCCGGACCCCATGCTCGCTTGCTCACACAACCCTCATGGCTCTGTGCCTGGCTTGCCCTTGGCAGGTTTGGGATCTGGACCAGTAGCACAAGCTGAGTGCAGCCTGCCAGGCCAAGTGAGCAGAATGAGCCATTCAGGCCCAAGCAAAATGCAGGTGAAGGTGCCACCAGCCACAGAAATTTCTGGTTGGTGAAGCAACACCCCAAGGATCCTGTGACAGTGGGGCCACCATGGCAGTGCTGTGCACTCTTTGTAGATATTATTGAGGCCAGGGAAAGTGAAGTTTGCTTCCCAGAGAAAGTGGCAAAGCTGGCATTTGGCCCTAGGTCAGTGAGGCTCCACTGTCCATTATCTTTCCTGAGAACCATTCATTCATTCATTCATTCATTCAGCAGAGATTTGCTGAGCACCTTCTACATGCTAGGCACTGTTCTATGGACTGAAAACACATGTGTGAATAAAACATAAGTATTCCTACCCTCATTGGTTTGGCTGTTTGTGAGGGAGACAGTCAGTTTAAAAATCACCAAACTGATAAATATGGAGTTTGAGATGCTTAGTTTTGAGGAATAATTTTCATGCAGTAAAATGTACTCTTTTAGTGTATAGCTCTCTGAATTCAGACAAACACATACAGTCATAGATAAACACCACCACTATAAAGATATAGATGGGTTCCATCACCCCCACAAAAGTTCCTCATTCCCAGTCCCTGGCAACCAGCAATTGATTTTCTACCCCTATGATTCTGCCTATTCCAGAAAGTCATATAAATGAGATCATATTGTATACAGCCTTTTGAATGTGGCTTTTTCACTTAGAATGATGTATTTGAGATTTACTCATGACGTGTGTATCAGTAGTCCCTTCCTGTTGCTGGATATACATACACGTGTTTATCTGTTCATCAGTTGAGGGGC